>NC_000003.12:158554058-158857089 GCF_000001405.40 Homo sapiens
TATATATATTAAAATTTATACCTCATTGGCTACAACTGAGTCAACTGACTGCTCTCCTGTTGCAAGAGATATTTGGAAAGGTAGTATTTCAGTTCATCCATAGCAGAAAATACCTTGATAATTATGAAGCTTTAGAAAATATTTAAATCCTGAAAAAGAACCTGGCCACATAGCACATCTACCAATCCAAATTTCCATTAACTCATGGAATACTGCTAGATGGCATAATTCCTTTCCTACCTCTCCTAAGGCTAGTAGACAAGCACTCTTTTCACAAAGTTATATTGTAATAGCAAGAATAGCTTTATGTAGAAACATTTCAAACATGAAGTGAATGAGTACATACAGTCCCTGAGAATTCCTAATTATCATTGCTCCTCAGCTCTCTATTCCAAGCCAATGCTAGTCAGTTAAGAGTACCTCTCTGAAACTGAATGTATCCCTTTTAGAGGGATCTGGCATGAATGTTTCAGCTTGACTTTATGTCATAATGGTATGATCTCTTAAGGAGTGGGCTCAAGGGAAAGGAGACACCAAATCATCAATTTAATTCTGGTGCCTAATCACCTCCTTGCCAATTTAATTAGTTTCTGTGTCTTTACTCAACTAAACATTTCCTTCTTTAAAGAAAAAAAAAAAGCCTTTCATTCATCTTATATTCTAAGCACATGGAAATGGCTAATTCTACTCTAATTCTATATTTACCAACCATTCTTTGATCCATGATTTCAGTCTCCATCAGCAGACGCTTCCTATCAACAAATCTTTTAATTTACAAAGGATCGGATACCAGGTGCATGAACTCCTATGAGTGAAGCAATAAATATGAATTTTTTCAGCCTGCACTTGGTCCTGAAGAGCCAAGAGAAATGGTCTATGGGAAACAAAAGGTATAGTCTGGCTCCCTCTGTCCTCCGGAGAAAAGGTTGAAAAGGGTCTGCCGATGCTTCTATTCTTCTCTGGCCAACTTATCAAGGCAGAAGACCAGCTAGAAATTAGTGGCAGAAGCTCCAGCTGGTAATAGAGGTGCATTTGCCTGGAGCTTCTCCTTGCTTCTTATTTTCCTGGGAATCAAATAGGTCATCAGGAAGCAGCTGGACAGAAAGTGGATCCAAAAAAAAGGGAACTAGATAAGAACCCTGCACCAAGAAGTGACAATATATAATAGAGTTGATACTCTCTGTAATGGTGTTATAAAACATGTCTGCAAACTTTTTGATGCTTCTCCCATTGAGAGGTGAAGATCTACGTCCCTTACATGACTCTGTGTCAATCTTAGTAACTTGGTCATAGCCAACAGAATACATCCGAAGGGACACAGCATAATTTCCAAAGCTAGTTCAGTAAAGGTTTGTGCCTAATTTTCTTGGGATGCTGACATGGTTTGGCTGTGTGAAAACAGAGGCATATAGTAAATTGGTACCAGTAGAGTGGGGCAGTGCTGTAAAGATACCCGAAAATGTGGAAGTGACTTTGGAACTGGGTAACAGGCAGAGGTTGGAACAGTTCGGAGGGCTCAGAAGACAGGAAGATATGGGAAAGTTTGGAACTTCCTGAGACTTGTTGAATGCTTTTGACCAAAATGCTGATAATGATATGGACAATGAAATCCAGGCTGAGGTGGTCTCAGATGGAGATGAGGAACTTGTTAGGAACTGAAGTAAAGGTGACTCCTGTTATGTTTTACCAAAGAGACTGGCGGCATTTTGCCCCTGCCCTAGAGATTTGTGGAACTTTGAACTTGAGGGAGATGATTTAGGGCATCTGGCAGAAGAAATTTCTAACAGCAAAGCATTCAAGATGTGATTTGGGTGCTGTTAAAAGCATTCAGTTTTAAAAGGGGAACAGCAAAAAAAATTCAGAAAATGTGCAGCCTGATAATGTGATAGAAAAGAAAACCCCGTTTTCTGAGGGGAAATTCAAGCCAGCTGCAGAAATCTGCATAAGTAACAAGAAGCCAAATGTTAATCACCAAGACAATGGGGGAGATGTCTCCAGGGCATGTCAGAGACCTTTGCAGCAGCCCCTCCCATTACAGGCCCAGAGGCCTAGGAGGAAAAAAATGCTTTCGTGGGTGGGGCCCAGGGCCCCCCCTGCTCTGTGCAGCCTAGGGACTTGATACCCTGCATCAAGCCACTCCAGTTGTAGCTAAAACGGGCCAAGGTACAGTTCGACCTGTGGCTTCAGTGGGTGCAAGCCCCAAGCCTTGGCAGCTTCCATGTGGTGTTGGACCTGTGGGTGCACAGAAGTCAAGAATTAAGGTTTGGGAACCTCCACCTAGATTTCAGAAAATGTATAGAAATGCCTGGATGCCCAGGCAAAAGTTTGCTGCAGGAGTGGGGCCCTCATGGAGAACCACTGCTAGGGCAATGCAGAAGGGAAATGTGGGGTGTGAGCCCCCACACAGAGTCCCCATTGGGGCACTGCCTAGTGGAGCTTTGAGAAGAGGGCCACCATCCTCCATTCCCCAGAATGGTAGATCCAATGACAGCTTGCACTGTGCACCTGGAAAAGCAAACACTCAGCCCATGAAAGCAGCCAGGAGGGAGCTGTATCCTGCAAAGTCACAGGGGTGAAGCTGCCCCAGGCCATGGAAACCCATCTCTGGCATCAGTGTAACCTAGATGCAAGACATGGAGTCAAAGGAGATTATTTTGGAGCTTTAAGATTGGACTGCCCTGCTAGATTTTGGACGTGCATGGGACCTTTAGCCCCTTTGTTTTGGCCAATTTCTCCCATTTGGAATGGCTGTATTTACCCAATGCCTGTACCCCATTGTATCTAGGAAGTAACTAACTTGTTTTTTACTTTACAGGCTCATAGGTGGAAGGGACTTCCCTTGTCTCAGATGAGACTTTGGACTGTGGACTTTGGAGTTAATGCTAGACTGTGGACTTTTGAGTTAATGCTGAAATGAGTTAAGACTTTGGGAGACTGTTGGGAAGGCATGATTGGGTTTGAAATGTAAGGACATGAGATTTGGGAGGGTCAGAGCAGAATGATATGGTTTGGCTGTGTCCCCACCCAAATCTCATCTTCAATTGTAGCTCCCACAATTCCCATATGTCATGGAAGGGACCCAGTGGGAGTAATTGAATCATGAGGGCGGGTCTTTCCTGTGCTGTTCTTGTGAAAGTGAATAAGTCTCACAAGATCTGATGGTTTTAAAAAGGGGAGTTTCCCTGCGCACGCTCTCTGTCTTCCCTGCTACCACGTAAGTTGTGAGTTGTTCCTTCTTGCCTTCTGTCATGATTGTGAGACCTCCCCAGCCATGGAGAGAACTGTGAGTCAATTAACTCTCTTTTATTATAAATTACCCAGTCTTGGGTATGTTTTTACCAGCAGTGTGAAAATGGACTAATATAGATGCTCACTCCTGGAGCCCTGAGCTTTCATGTAAGATCACCAACTACTCTGACGCTGCTACATTCTGAGAAAACCCATGCACTATAGACAGTGTGGATTTTAGTGTTCTAGCTAACAGTCCCAACTGAATTTCCAACCAATAACCAGAATCAACCACCAGACATGTGAGTGAAAACCCCTCTAGCCATAGAGTCTTCCCAGCTGAGGCTCTAGAGATAAGCCGTCTTCATTTCCCTGGCTAGATTTCTAACCCATAGAATCTGTGAGCATAATAAAATGGCTCTTTTATACCACAAAGTTGTGGGGGTAGTTTGTTACACACAACAGTAACAAAAACACCAACTCTGTTGAGTCCTTGAAAATCTGGTTGAACCACATACTGATAAATACTGATGTTCATATAAATGCTATGTACATGCTATGTAGCCTCTCTACGAATGGTAGTGATCACCCAGCTTCTTAAAGCTTCTTAAAGCTGGGTGATCACTACCATTAGTAGAGAGGCTACATAGCATGATGCTATGAACATGAGGTATAGAGCTAAATTTTGGCAAGCTACCTCCTGAACTTCCATGTCATGATCTAGTAAACAGGAATAGCAATTTCTGTCATGCAGAGTTCTCATGTGGATTAGAGTTGATGTGCATAAAACACTTAGCACAATGCCTAGCAAAGAAGCAGAACCAATTTTTTAAATAGTTAAAAATGACAATACTATAATTTTCTGATTTTATGTTCCCTTTATTTTATGAAGCTTTATTTTGTGAGTGATTTCCTTATTTTATGAATCATAGTCACTATATATTGCTATGGATGGACATACCTATAAAAGTGTTCGGGTTCAATGACAAATATAATTAGAAAATGAGAGTGCCATGAAAAACAAATACAGGGTTATTCATGCCTTTAGCTGGAAATTGGCATGTCCTACCAAGCTGACTGCCATGAGTAATATTGAATGAGCTGTGATCATCAGAATGACTGAAAATTAATAAAGAACATTAATTCCCAAAGGAAATCATTGTAGATCTCATTATTTCAGGAATAACCTACCTTAGGACTTTAATTAAAAATAATATTTATTCAAAATAAATGACTGCTGACAGGTTTCTGCAGAATCTTTAATCTTGGTTATGCTAAATTTTCTTATATTAAGGCAAACATCATTAATCTCATTTGAGATGCCCTCCTGTCTGACAGTCCTTACAGCACTGGGGCAATTTGCAGAAGCCTTTTTATCTTCACAGAAGAGTTATAACTCATGCAGATACCTAATGTGAAAAGGTCTGGGCAATTACAGCCTTCACTTTGAGATCTACACTGGCACTTTATCATGTTAGCAAGCATCTCATAGTAAATTTGCTCTCAAAAGGAGGCCAATATCTCAACATTACCATAAAATTAACAGCGGTTATTTAATTATTTTATTTATTTATTCCTACCAATCTTTGTTTCAGAAAAGCTCCAGGTATTTTATCGAAATTCATAGAATATCACCAGATAAAACAGAAATTTCAGCAAGCCAATGGAGAAAATGGGACAAAAGAAAGAATGAAAGTAGAATAGTGATAGGGTTTGGCTGTGTCCCCACCCAAATCTCACCTCCAGTTGTAATCCGAGTTGTAATCCTCACATGTCGAGGGAGGGACCTGATGGAAGGTGATTGGATCGTGGGGGGAGATTCCCCCATGCTGTTCTCATGAGTGAGTTCTCACAAGATCTGGTTGTTTGATAAGTGTCTGGTGCTTCCCCCTTCTCTCTCTCTCTCACCCACCACCATGTAAGACATACCCTGCTTCCCCTTGGCCTTCCACCATGATTGTAAGTTTCCTGAGACCTCAGGTAGTATCTTTATAGCAGTGTGAAAACAGACTAATACAGAACATTGGTACCGAGGTAGTGGGGCATTCTTATGAGATATCCAAGAATGTGGAAACAACTTTGGAACTGGTAACTGGCAGAGGTTGGAGCAGTTTAGAGGGCTCAGAAGAAGACAGGAAGATGAGGGAAAGTTTGGAGCTTCCTAGAGACTTGTTGAATGGCTTTGACCAAAATGCTGATTGTGATATGGACAATGAAGTCTAGGCTGAAGTGGTCTCAGATGGACATGAGGAACTTATTGGGAACTGGAGTAAAAGTCATTCTTGCTATGCTTTAGCAAAGAAAGTGGTGGCATTTTGCCCCTGCCCTAAAGATCTGTGGAACTGATGACTGGATCATGAGGGTGGTTTCCCCCATGCTGTTCTCGTGATAATGAGTGAGTTCTCTCAAGATCTGGTTGTTTGATAAGTCTCTGGCACTTTCCCCTCCTCTCTCTCTCGCCTGCCACCATGTAATACATGCCTCGCTTCCCCTTTGCCTTCCACCATGATTATAAGTTTCCCGAGATCTCCCCAGTCATGCAGAACTGAGTCAATTAAGCCTCTTTCCTTTCTAAATTACCCAGTCTCAGGTAGGATCTTTATAGCAGTGTGAAAACAGACTAATACAAATAGGTAAGAAGTTAGAAGGAATGAGGTTAATCTCCACAATGCATACTGTAAAATTTTGTAAAGTCATATGCTTTCAAGTTTGCCAGCTGATTGTTGGGTCATATTTCAAGTCTTACATAACAATTAACACTGATAATTTTGTTCTGTAGCTATTCTGATTATTTTTGTACAAGTTACTAATAGATACTCATACTGGGTTAAATAGTACCCTCCCTTAAAATGCACATCCACATGAAAAATGTGAATGTGACCTTATTTGGGAATAATGTCTTTGCAGATATAATCAACTTAAGATGAGGTCATAGTGTATCAGAGTGGGTCCTAAATCCAGTGACTGGTGTCTTTATAAGGAGAAGGAGAACTGGACTCAGAGACACACAGGGGAGAAGGCCACGTAATGACTGAGGAAGAGATTGGAGTAATACAAGGCAAGCCAAGTATCAGCAACCATGAGAAGCTAGGAAGAGGCAAGGAAGGATTCCTCCCTAGAGCTTCCAGAGGAAGCATAGCCCTGCAACAGCTTGATTTCAGACTTTTAACCTTCAGAACTGTGAAAGAATAAATTTGTGTTGTTTTAAGCCACCAGGTTGTGGTACTCTATTAAGGCAGCCCTAAGAGACTAATAAAATGCTTAAACATTTTTTTTCCTGAGAACCTAGAGTACATATTCAATATAAATATAAAGGTTTGAAGAGGAGAAAATAAGGTAAAAGAAAGACTCTCCTAAAAATATTACCAAGTTTTTTGTTTAACACCTATGACTCTACAATAGGTGACAAAACAAGTGACAAGTAAACAAATGACTAATATTATGAGAAAAAGTTTTGGAAGCAGTCAGTCACCTTTAGTTTAATAGATTGTTTTTATATGGAAATATGGGCTTTTGATATTTTATTATATACATTATTAGAGTCTAATTTTGCAAAGCTATACAGGGAGGGATGTCTTCATAAATAAGAAATTGAAAGGCAGGCACTTTAAAGCAGAGACCAAAATGATGTCAATCTATTTTAAGACTGACTAAAGAGAATTAAAACAGTAATATAATACACAGAACCTGATAAAGCTGTGCTAACCTTTTGTGGTCCAAATGAAAAAATTAATCTGTAATCTAAATATCCTGCAGAAATAAAACAACTGTCTCATGGCCCTGGAATTTTAAAATATGACCCTTCACTGATATGGTTGGTAACTGGTGTCCACTCACAAAGGCCTACTGCTAGGAGTCAGGGCACTTTGCTTCTCAGCTCTCACAACACAAGACCTGCCATCAACATAGTTTTGAGTTACACTCAAAAGGCAGTATGTGAATGTTACCAGGATCATGTGTCTCTTTCATGCCATGAAAACTCACTCTAACTAGATCATAGGCTTGCAGCCTATGGGCCAGGTTCACCGAAAGATTTGTTTGGCCTGCTATTTTCTTTTTAATTAGTTGTTAACTTTAAAAAATTAGATTTCATATACAATTCCATATTACCAGTGGGCATGAATTTCTTCAGGGCAATCATCTAGAGCTGAGTAGCAGTATTCCTTCTGCTGGAGGCAAGCCGCCTGCAGTGCCCGACTGTGCCCACCATGCCAGGTTCCTGTGAATATACAGCACAGTGATAAGAGCTAGGGTCCTCTGGCTGTGTGACCTTGAGCAAGCAGTTTTTCTTCTCTGACCTGTATCATCCTCTTATACACAATGGGCATACTTATAGTGTTTATCTCATTAGATCACCTGGGGGATTAAGGGAGTTAAAATTTGTAAAGCACTTAGAGCAGTGCTTGGCACACAGTAGAAACTCAACAAATGTTAGTTATTATTATTATTATTATTAACTCTTTTTTTGTTTGTTTGTTTGTTTGTCTGTTTGTTTGAGATGGAGTTTCGCTCTTGTTGCCCAGGCTGGAGTGCAATGGTATGATCTCGGCTCACTGCAACCTCCACCTCCCGGGTTCAAGCAATTCTCCTGCCTCAGTCTCCCAAGTAGCTGGGATTACAGGCATGCACCACCATGTCCAGCTAGTTGTTTTTTTTTTTGTTTGTTTTTTTTGTTTGTTTGTTTGTTTTTTAATCTTCAGTAGAGACGGGGTTTCTCCATTTTGGTCACGCTGGTCTCAAACTCCCAACCTCAGGTGATCTGCCCACCTCGGCCTCCCAAAGTGCTGGGATTATAGGTGTGATCCACTGTGCCTGGCATTATTATTATTATTAATTCTTATTCTCCTTATCATCTTACCTAGTTCACTTGCCTCACATTTTTACTTGTCTGATCCCTATTGGTGTTCGTGTTTTTGACTCCAACTCTAGGTAAAGCCCTACCCTCAACTGGAGGTAAAGAAGACAGCTAGTCTCCTGTGTGTTAGGCAGTGAGTGGGGCCAGCTGAGGTTATACTCAGTGATTAAGAGCCCAGATTCTACAGTCAGACAGCGTGAGTTCCAATCCCAGTTCTTCCACTTTCCAGCAATACTGCCTTTTGCAAATTAGTTAATTCTCTAAAACCTGTGTTCGCTTATGTAAAATAGTAATAAAACTGTTGTGAATTGCAGGAACAGGAAAACAGACAACACATGTTCTCACTTATAAGTGGGAGCTGAACGATAAGAACACATGGACACGTTGGGGGCAACAACACACACTGGGAGGAGGGGAGGGAGAGCATCAGGAAGAATAGCTAGTGGATGCTGGGCTTAATACCTAGGTGGTGGGTTGATTTGTGCAGCAGACCACCATGGCACACGTTTACCTATTTAACAAACCTGCACATCCTGCACATGTACCCTGGAACTTAAAGTAGGAGTTGAAGAAAAAAAAAACATGTGAATTAATGTGCCTAGTACATAGGTTTTAGCTTTTATTATTAACAACCTACAGCAGACCCCAACATTCTCCACCCCGCCCCGCCCCCACCCCGACCCCGCCCGACAACCTCTGGCCTTGGCTGTCTTATTTCTCCCAACAGGCTGCCAGTGCCATTCAGCAGTGTGAGCCTTCCTGGAGGCTGTTTCCCAGGGGAATTTCTAGGTCTTTGGGAGATATGAATTGGGAGGAAATCAGGTATAGGTTGGAGCCACTCATTCTCAATTCCCTAGCTCCCCTTTACCTTGTTACCCCAGAATATATATCACAAATGGCATTAAAACTTACATGGCCTTATAATGACTATTGTGTCCTTTCTAGCTTCTTGAAATTAAAAACAATTCTTCTGTGATTATTCCTACCATTTCAAATAGTAAAGACATCTAAGCATATGACAAAGAGATGAAGGTATTCCAGGTCCTTAATGTTTTCCAAAATAATTTACTTGTCCTCTGGACAGACTTCAATTGATTGCCTTGGCAGTGGGGCCTCCAAACTACAGTGTGAACTCTCTTCAAATCTTATCAAGGATTTAAAAATAACACTCTAGATAGCCACATTAAAGTGTTCCTGAGAACAGATGACCTCAACAGTATTTTCTGAAGAGTGCTTTCTACTATTCAACTTGTTTTAGGCTCTGTAATTCTAAGATTTTTTATTTTTTAAAAGAAGTGTTTCTAAGACAGTAGCAACTATCAAGGTGTTGACTCAATAGAAAAATCTTTCTTATAAAATTATTGTCTGTAGAAAAAAAGTTTCAGAATTTCAATGACAATAAAGATTCAAGAATAGCTGAATGTAAGTTGATTTTTAAAACTTAATCAGGAAAAACACAAGCATGATCATAGTGCCTTATTTTTTAAGCCAAAAAAAAGAACAATCAAAAAATCCATCAACAGTAGATGGGTAAATTACTTGTGGCAAATTCATATGCTAGAATACAACAAAGAAAAAGAATAAACTGCTGCTACATGCAATGACAGCAATGACAAGGATGAATTTTGCAGACATAATGTTAAGTGAAAGAAACAAATCTCAGAATAGTGGTTACCCTAGAGGGACATGGATGGGAAAGGGACACAAGGGAATTTTCTTGAGTATTGGAAATGCTTTATATCTTCAACTGGGTGTTGTTTACATAGGTTTGCACATATGTAAAAAGCTATTGAGCTATACATTGAAGTTTAGTAGACTTTACCATGTTTAAGTTATACCTCAATTTAAAACGTAAATTGTAAAGACTAAGCAAGCTTTGGATGTGGACTTTCATTCATCAACTGCACATGAATCCATTACGGGCTGTGTGGAAAGTTGGAGTTTTGTCACCAAAAAAAATTGGTATATTTGTATTTGACATTGCCATTCAAATTATTTGTCTTTAGAGTAAGAGCCTTTATTTTATTCATTGAATGATAGTTTCAGTGTTGTTTGTTTTGTTTTTCAGGAAAATTGAAAAACTTCTTTATGTACTTAAACCAAACAACCTAAGTTTGGATACTCCCAGAAGCTTTACATTTATGTAATTCCACACCATCAAGTCCTTTTTCGTTATCATGAGAGTTGGCTATGGGTGCAGTGAGAAGGGAACGGCCTTCAAAACGGTCAGGTCTGGATCAGAATTCACATTAAACCACTCACCAGCTAGAAGACCATTTATAGTTGAACCTTGCAAGCTAAAAATCATTTCCCCTACCTGAACCTCTGTGTTCGCACACACAAAATGTAAATAATGCCTCCCTCATAGCATTATTGAGAGAATTAGTTGGGATAAAAGTTTACAAAACTCTTGGTAGATACTTTGTTTCTCTTGGTTTTTTTTTTTTTTTTTTTTTTTTTTGCGATGGAGTCTTGCTCTGTCGCCCAGGCTGGAGGGCAGTGTCATGATCTCGGCTCACTGCAACCTCCGCCACCCGGGTTCAAGCGATTCTTCTCCCTCAGCCTCCCAAGTAGCTGGGACTACAGGCATGCGCCACCATACTCGGCTAATTTTTGTATTTTTAGTAGAGACGGGGTTTCACCCTATTGTTGGCCAGGCTAGTCTCGAACTCCTGACCTTGTGATCCGCCCAACTCGGCCTCCCAAAGTGCTGGGACTATAGGCATGAGCCACCGCGCTCAGCCCAGTAGATACTTTTTAAACAGGAACTATTACTGAATAGAAATTAGCACTTATCTAAATCATTATTTTATTTCATTTATTCTTTTCAACTTTTATGTTCGTGGGGTACATGTTTGTTACATGGATAAATTGTGTGTCACAGGGGTTTGTTGTACAAATTATTTTATCTCCCAGGTAATAAGCATAGTATCCAGTAGGTACTCACCCTCCTTCCACCTTCCCACCTCAAGTGGGCCCCAGTGTCTATTGTTCTCTTGTGTCCACGTTTATTTCATGTTTAGCTCCCACTTATAAGTGAGAACATGCAGTATTTGATTTTCTCTTCCTACATTAATCACCTTAGGATAATGACCTCCAGCTGGATTCATGTTGCTGCAAAGGACGTCACCTCATTCTTTTTTATGGCTGTGTAGTATTCCATTGTGTATATGTACCAAATTTTCTTTATCTAGTCCATCATTTATGGGTATTTAGGCTGAGTCCATGTTTTTGCTACTGTAAATAGTGCTGCAATGAACATACATGTGTATGTGTCTTTATGGTAGAAAGTAAAGGATTAGGCCGGGCGCGGTGGCTCACGCCTGTAATCCCAGCACTTTGGGAGGCCAAGGCGGGCGGATCACGAGGTCAGGAGATCGAGACCATCCTGGCTAACACGATGAAACCCCGTCTCTACCAAAAAATACAAAAAAAGTTAGGCGGGCACGGTGGCGGGCGCCTGTAGTCCCAGCTACTCGGGAGGCTGAGGCAGGGAACCCGGGAGGCGGAGCTTGCAGTGAGCCGAGATCGCGCCACTGCACTCCAGCCTAGGTGACACAGTGAGACTCCACCCCAAAAAAAACAAAACAAAAAAAGAAAGTAAAGGATTATTTTTAAAAGATTATGAAATACATCCCTAAGTAACCAAGCCTCAAAGATGTACATCAAAGAAATGAGGGAAAGGCCAAAACTTTTGCTTATGCTTATTAAACACTATAATCTTTGGCTCAGCCCTGACCCAATAGCGGATCTTGATTTCCTCTCCAGATTTTTCTGTCATCCTCACCCACTCTGCCCATCCATCACTGAAACAGAACATTCCTCTGCTTACATACACCCTCACTACCACCTGAATTCTTACATACTCCCTCACTACCACCTGAATTCTAGGACCCAAGTCCAGGGCCCAGAGCCCCAGCTTCTTGCCTCTAGTATCTTTTCACTAAAGCCAATCTCTTGTTACCAACCCCCCAAAAGTGGTATTTACTCAACAGTTTTCAAAATAAAATATGCCTCAATTATAATTTGTGCAAAATAAACCACTAGTCATAGGCATACACATCTACAGATAAAAGCTGTAAAAGTAAATATAACTTTAAAAGTCTGCCACTTTTTTCCTTTGTTAACTCAATTCTTCGTTAAATTTTTACTTCGCTGGAGGAAATATTTGCTCTAGAGAGTGTATTTCTTAAAAGGAGAGGACTGCTATTGGTATTTAGGGAAGGACGATTCATTGTGCCAGACCGTGCCACACATAGTGAGATGTTTAGTACCCTTGGCCCTACCCAGTGAGGGCAATAAAGATGACTTCAGGAATGCAGCATGGCTAGCAACCAACTACACCTTGGCATTGTCTCCGTGGAAGAGGAAATGGGAGTGACTCCCAGTGGAATGTAAGCCCAGAAGATAAATTAAGGTTGATTGCAGGAAAATAAAATTACATTTCTTGCACATGAGTTTGGGAGTTTGGGGATGAAGCTTGGCACTCAATTAACTCCTATGTAGCGGAAAGAATTCAAGATTAGGAACAGCGCTGCCATGGACATGTATACAACACCTAAGCGAGCACCAGTCAAATCATATACATTACAGCCTTGTCTATTTATTAAGACAAATTTCTCATTAATGGAAGTATCATGAGAGGGAGGCACTTTTTCTAATTTGAGCAAAGATGCCATTATGGACTAGAGGCAGCCCTACTGGGAGTTTGAAGACCTTGGGATCTATGCTCTTACAGGTCACTTAATCGGTATGCACCATTTTCCCATCTTTCAAAAAGATATAAAGCAAAACTGTTAGAGGACTGGTAAGTCAGCTGACTGTAAAGAAGATAAACATGAAAAATAAAATGAAACATATTTTTTAGAAAAGGAATGCATGATATTTTACATTTCTTTTTAATTTGAAGAAAGATTGTGGGATTAGACAGAGGTCCCCAAACTATCTTAGTTCATGAGCCCTTAGTTCCTCAGTAATTTTTTCATTGTGCCCCCTAGGTTTAAAGAAATACTGAATAGGTCCGTTATTGTATAATTTAGATACAAACAGCGTATTTCTGACCTAAAAACTCAGTACCTTTAAAAAATAATGCACATAAATTGAAAGAAACATATTTTTGTATAATTCTTAAATAATCATACTAACAGATGGGTGCCCGCCTAGCACAGCACAATTTTTCAAACTTTAGAAACAGACTGAATGTTGCCACCAATCTTTCCTGTTCCACATTGACAGGTACTTCATTTTCATCATAGTAACTTTCAGAAACCTACCTTTCCAATGATATGACATCATCTAAAACAATGTAGTGCAATCTAATATTGAAATATGTGAACTGCCCTAAACTAGTACATTGAACAATGTCTAACACATGCCAAGTTTCTCTCAAAATTTGTCCCATAGCCCCTTGTGAGTTTGCTATGGCATCTCATTCTCAGAGGACCTCTGTGCACTGTTTAAGACAAAGGGATTAGGACAACGAAACCCTAGACACATTGAGCTTAATTGTGGTAAAGGTGTTTGTAATGGCCTAATATTCACGGCTCTGGAAAGCTATAATTAAGTTAAAAGTTCAGCACTCAAGAGCCTGTTTATTTTCTTTTGGGCACTTGAGATAATGTCTTCAGAAACATTATGAAAATTCTGAGGTGCTGTAACAGTATTTGTAAAATTAGCTGGGGAAAGAGTTGTCCACTAGGATGTAAGTTCCGAAAGGCCAGGGAGTTTTGTAACCTCAGTGTCTAGAATAATGTCTGGGATATTACTAGTCCTTAATAAGTATTTGATAAATTAATGAAAGAAACACGAAATCACTTACATATTGAAGTCTTGGTGTTTTTAATAGAGTTGCAGAGTTGGCTTGGGTTTCATCCTTTTCTCTGTTTTTCCTTAGTCAGTGTCCTTCCAAATGAAACCTAAGCAACAGTGTAGTTACAGATTATAGATGTAAAAGTGTTTACTGCAAATATTTGCTCCATAAATAGTTAATTTTTAAAATAGGGAGGCAAAGTACGGATGGTGGTGAGGATACAGGCTTTGGGGTAAGACAAATCTGGGTTTGAATTGAGTGACATCAAATTTCAATCATCAAAATTTAATCAAATTATCAACTTTCAAATCAATTATCAAAATTCAATTATCAAATTTATCTGGGTCCCAGCTTTTTTTAATGCAATTTAGGGATAAACATAATATTAGACATGGTTGCTGTAAAGGTTAAACGAGAAAACATATGTGAAGCACTTAGTGCAATCCTTGGAATATATGAAGTGTAAATGAGAGCTATTACCCTATTAGGCAATTTTCAGTTTACTTGGCTCATCTCATTCCTCACTCAGAAGGTGAGTTTTAAGGCATATGAGTAGGACTGTACATTATATACACCAGGCAAATGCTACTTTAGCACTGCCCTGGAATGCTTTTCCACTAGACATCCACTTCCTTCCTGTGGGTCTTTGCTCAAATTCCCCTTAGTGAGGCGTACACAAAACTTGCTATTTATAATTGCACCTCTCCATACTCCTTACCCTGATCAGCTTTTCTCCCTAACACTTATCACCTTACAATATACTATTTTCTATTTTGTTTATTTTGAGTCTGTCCTTACAAGAACATAAACTCCGGGAAGGCAGAGATTTTTGTCCGTTTTGTTCAATGATGCCTAAGGTCGTAGATCAGTCCCCAACACTGGGTAGTCACTCAATAAATATTTGTAGAATTGAATTTATGTGATGTGAATATATTCCCACTGAATTTTGTACTTTTTAGTTTGGGTCCATTTAGCTTGTCAGCATGATTTTGAAAAATGATTACCCGCTTTCATCCTGCATCTTTAAGTATGACTCATCACTCACATACCATATAACCAGCACTCACAGAGGAAAGCTCCAGGTACCCAGCTCAGTTCAATTACTAGCTGTGTGAACCTTGGCAATTTATTCAGCTTCTCTGTGTCTTGAATGCATCATCTATACATGGGGATAAAAGCCATCTCTACTCCATAAAACTGCTAATGAGGATTCAATGAGGTAATGCATATGGAGTGCCTACAACAGTGCCTGGCACACATTCAATAAATATTAGCTATTATGATTATATTTACAGCCAAGTCCAGGACCCTCTCCTCTCAGTCCTGTTCTGCATCTCTATTCCTCCCATGCTGGAGTATTCATTCTCTCCTGACCCACGCTTTCTTTCATTTCCACCTCTTACCCATCAGTTCTGAAAATGATGTCAAGGTCTCTTCAGTGCCAACTCTGCTCTGCCCTCCTTTTTTTTTTTTTTTGCATTTGTCATTAGATCCAAACTGCTTTCACAAGGTTCAGCTAATTCCCTGACTAACCTGTGCCTGGACTAAAGCTTTTATAACAATGTGATTCTAAAAAAGTTCCCACAGAAACTAGAGGGTAACATTACAAATTTACTTGGCCTTAATCCAGAACTATTTTAACACCATCTTTTATCACATAACTTACTCCATTTCAAGTTTTTTTTTAAGTGTGGCCTCCTTCACATCTTGTGCTTATACTATTTTAAAGAGAAAAACAATTTAAGGTCTTATAAAACAATTTTGTTTGCCTTGAAATTTATTTAGAAATTTTCGAAATTTTGTGTATATGTTCTCTGAGCTTTATTCTGAGTCCAGAGGAAAAGAAAATATCCTCTTTCCTGGATGGGCTGTGCCATCTCATCTTGGGCTGTGAAGTCTGCCCTACCCCATGCCACCAGTCTCAGGGGAAGGAAGCTGCCAGAGAACTTGGCTAAAAAAGGGGGATGGGGAGTAAAAGATCCAAACGATTAAATTTCCAGCTCTCAAAATAACCCCTGACTACTCCTGTCACCTCCAAATCAGGGCTTGCACACTTCTTCATGCTGGCAAAGTGCCACCCCTCTGGCCTGATCCCAGGGGGCCCTGATGAGCTATGGACGCCCCTTTATCTCTGCAAGACAGCCACGTAGAGAAGCTGGGGAGCTCACTGAATTAAGGGTGGACATGCAAGATGTATTTTCTCTTTTCTTATACTCTTACCATTCTTCTCCTTAATCTCTCTTCTGTCTTCCCCTCCATCTGTCTCCAGGCTCCTGAAAGGCCCCGTGATAGTGTTTTCTAAAACTTAGTAATTTGAGTACCACTATCACGATGTTCCTCTCCCCTGCTCTGCCTACCCCTCCGCCCCACCATATCCAAATTCCACCTGTTCTATTTGATAGCTTACTTTTTCACTTAAAAATGCAAAATCTAGCTCTTGATGTATATCACTGATTTAAATTTAAAATCAGTTTCCTTGCCATAAATAGAAAGCTCCCTGATAAATGTAATGCAAATAAAAACATATAGTAGTGGAATTTTAGTTGGATATGGCTGCTTGCTGCAGGCCTGTGCCTGAAACCTGCTGTTAGGTTAAGAAATGCTGGAGAAGTGTTAAAAACATATCAGCATCGCAGTGAGACTTGATCTTTGAAAGAGAGACACAGAAGGACAACCGAAAAGAGAGCAGCTTTCTCAAGAGGTAAATAAGTTTGTTGAAATCTGATAGGCTTCATCCCATTTCCTTCAACAACTGAGTACACTATTTGCTAACTGTACTAAAAAACGTTTTGCACATTTTTTCTTATTATTTGCTCACAGCTTTTGACTACCAGAGAATGTTTCGGATACAGGACTAATTCCTGTGGATGACAGAATGCGACCGTTGAATGGGACATTGGGTGTCATCTGGTCCAAATCTTGACCCCTTTTCATTTTCCCCGAAAGAAAGACTTGCGGCTCGGAACCGAGGGCGGCATGCCCAAGGTCACAGAAAGGGTGGTCTAATGTTTTGGTTCCTGCAGCCCAGAGAACAAGCTATCCCATCCCACAGGAGCCTTGGCGAAAAGCTCCCCGGCCGGCGCAAGGCCAGACTTCTCGCCTCCACTGTGTTGATTGCGGTTGCCAGGGCAGCGGCGCATTGCTCCCCGCCTCGTCCTGGTGACGTCACAGAGCAATGTCCAATGGGAAAGCAGCTCGGTGTCACGCACCTCCTATCCCGGCGGGCACCGCCTGCGCCGCGGCGAGTGAGGCGTCGTCCGTACTGGAGGCTAGCTCTTGTCGCGGCCGCGGCGAGTTAACATCGTTTTTCCAATCTGTCCGCGGCTGCCGCCACCCAAGACAGAGCCAGAATGTTCAGGATGCTGAACAGCAGTTTTGAGGATGACCCCTTCTTCTCGTGAGTTACGGGAGCCAGGAGTCCGGGGTCGCGCGGGAATTAAGGTATCGAGGGGAGCTATTTTAAGGGAAAAGAGCGAGTTTTAGAGGGCGAGAGAGAATTCGGAGTAACTCTGGAGGCGGTTTGAAGGAGACGAGGATTTGGAGGCCTGGGAGGGAAGAGAGAGGAGGATTTAGGGGTGTGTGAGACAGGGAAGAGACGGATTTGGGCGCATGAGGTGGAGAGAGGAGGGTTTGGACGCGTGAGGTAGGCGGAGGGAAGTTTGGGGGCGTGAGGTGTGGGGAGGAGAGTTAAGGCTGGGAGTGGGGGGAGAAGAGTTGAGGCCGGGAGGTGGGGGGAGGAGAATTGAGGGCATGAGGTGGGGAGAAGAGGTTGAGGGCGTGAGGTGAGGGAAGGGTTTGGGAGCATGAGGTGGGAGGGAGGAGGGTTGAGGGCGTGAGGTGAGGGGAAGGGTTGAGGGTGTGAGGTGAGGGGAAGGGTTGAGGGCGTGAGGTGAGGGGAAGGGTTGAGGGCGTGAGGTGAGGGGAAGGGTTGAGGGCGTGAGGTGGGGGAAGGGTTTGAAAGCGTGAGGTGGGGGGAGGAGGGTTGAGGCTGTGAGGTGGGGGGAGGGTTTGGGAGCGTGGGGTGGGAGGAGGAGGGTTTGGGGGAGTAAGGTGGAGGGGGGAGGGTTGAGGGTGTGAGATGGACGAAGGAGGATTTGGGGGTGTGAGGCGTTTGGAGGAGGGTTGAGGGCGTGAGGTGGGGGGAGGGTTTGGGAGCATGAGGTGTGGGGGAGAGTTGAAGGTGTGAGGTGTAGGAGGAGGGTTGAGGACGTGAGGTGGGAGGAGGATTTGGGAGCATGAGGTGTGGGGGAGGGTTGAGGGTGTGAGGTGAGGGGAAGGAGGGTTTTGGACCGCGAGGTGGGGGGAGGAGGGTTGAGGGCGTGAGGTGGGGGGACGGTTTGGGAGCATGAGGTGCAGGGGAGAGTTAAGAGCTTGAAGTGCAGGGACGAGGGTTGAGGGCGTGAGTTGGTGGGGAGGGTTTGGGAGTATGAAGTGCAGGGGAGGATTGAGGGCATGAGTTGGTGGGGATGGTTTGGGAGCGTGAGGTGGCGGTAAGAGGGTTGAGGGTGTGAGGTGGATGGAGGAGGATTTAGGGGCTGAGGAGGATTTGGGGGCATGAGGTGTGGGAGGAGGGTTGGGGAGAAGGGTTGAGGGCGTGAGTTGGTGGGAAGGGCTTGAGAGCATGATGTGGGAGGAGGGTTGAGGGCGTGAGGTAGGGGGAAGAGGTTTGAGGGTGAGAGGTAGTGGGACGAGGGAGGGTTGGGGCGTGAGGTGGAGGGAGGAGGGTTTGGGGGCATGAGGTGTGGGGAAGAGGGTTTAGGGGCATGAGGTGTGGGGGTAGGAGGGTTGAGGGTGTGAGGTGGACAGAGGAGAGTTGATGGCGTGCAGTGGGGGGAGGAGGGTTTGGGGGCGTGAGGTCGCAGGAGGATGGTTGAGGACGTGAGGTAGAGAGTTGAGGGCCCCAGGTAGGGGGAGGAGGATTTGGCTGCATGAGATGGAAAGAAGGCCCTTCCTCACACTCCCGGGGTGCCTGCTGCTTTCCATTTGGCCGGACTTTGGGTGCCCGTCATGGCTTCCTGTGTGCAGAGTTGGCCTTTGCAGCTTCAAGGGCTTTGCAGGTGACATAACTACCATCTCGGTGAAACTTATGGTGAGAATTATGTTCACATAATTGCAAATGGGAGCAGGGAATATTTTATAGCTCCTCTTTAAATTCCAAATAGGAACAGGTAATATTTTATAGCATGACAGTTCATTGAAAAGGGGAAGTTTTTAAAACAGCATTTTCCATGTGAGTGGGGAATGTGTCAATGAGAGCACGACAAAGTTGGAGAGTTGTGCTTTCTCTTCGAAGTTGTTGGAAGTTGCCATGCCAATTGCGCTGTTTTCTTTGCTCGCTTTGTTACAGAGCTAACCTTGTTTGTGAAGGGACTCCGCTTTCTGTCAAAACTAGAAATAGGACAGGGAAGCTGATGGGGCGGGGCGGGGGGAGGGGGGCGGGAGGAGGGCGGCGGGGGGGGGGGGGTGTGTATTTAACACCTCAGGTAAGCAAGTGCCATTCGTTGCCTTTGAAGGTTCCCAGTGAAGTAATGTGATGCCCTAGAAAGAAGGCATCCAGAAATTGGTTTCACTATTATTTATTTTTGAGTTGTGGGATTTTTTTTCCTTAATTCTAACTTTGGCCATTGTTACAAACACATTGACATAGTCTAGTTGTATCCCTAAGAGGGGAAATTTGTAATACTTTTTAGCCTAAGTGTTTTTTGCCAGTTTGAATTTTGATTTCAAGTCTAGTTTATTTTGATCCCTTAAATTTTCTAGGTTTGCAATTTGGAGAGCATTTTTTAAAAAGGTCTTAAAATAAGAGTTTATTGCACATATTTTTCAAACAATATCTGTGGGGGGTGTGTTGTGCGTCTGTGTTTGTTTGTTTGAGACAGGGTCTCACTGTGTTGCCCAGGCTAGAGTGCAGTGGGTTGCTCTCGGCTCACTGCAGCCTCTGCCTCCCAGGCTCAAGCGATCCTCCTGCCTCAGCTTCACAAGTAGCTGGGTCCACAGGAGGGAGCCACCACACCCTGCTAATTTTTTTTGTAGAGAGGAGGTTTCGCCGTGTTACCCAGACTGGTCTCAAACTCTTGAGCTTAAGTGATCTGCCTCCCTCGGCCTCCCAAAATGCTGGGATTACAGGCATGCGCCACTGCACCTAGCCAATGTTGTTGTTTAAATAAATGATTGACTTAAATATGTTAGTACTAATTTAAAGCAAAATAACATTAATAAAAAGATAATGAACAGTGGGAAATGAAATGGTTAATATAGAAAAATAAAATGATTAAAATTTTTTTCTGAAGATTATTTATTAAGGCATACATGAACTCAGGCAAATTTATTATGCCATTTTAGTTAACGTGTTTAGGAGCTGTTGGGATATGGACAGTGTTATTTTAACAGGTTTAAATTTTTGTATTATTGTGATTCTCTCTTTTGAAAGCCAGAGGCGAGGCTTGGTGGCTCACGCTTGTAATTCCAGCACTTTGGGAGGCCGAGGTGGGTGGATCACCAGAGGTCAGGAGTTGGAGACCAGCCTGACCAACATGGTGAAACCCCATCTGTACTAAAAAAAAAAAAAAAAAAAAAATACAAAATTAGCCAGGCATGGTGACACACACCTATACTCCCAACTACTTGGGAGGCTGAGACAGGAGAATCACTTGAACCCAGGAGGTGGAGGTTGCAGTGAGCCGAGATTGCGCCATTGCACTCCAACCTGGGCAACAAGAGTGAAACACTGTCTCAAAAAAAAAAAAAAAAAAGAATATTTAGCCAGAGAATATTATTTTGTAAAATCCATAATTTTATTATTTTGTATTACATAAGCTCTGGCTTTCAAGAGAATCACAGTACTACAAATCCATAGATTATTGAGGTGTTGAAGTCATTCATATGTAAATATGACATCATACAATTGGTAACAGCTAAGAAGATTATGATAGACAATTTTCGAGTTGTATTATATCCTTGATTATACCAAAAGTTGTTTTATATCCTTCATTGTTAAGGATTCCATCCTTAACTGTGAATGTGTAATGAGTATAATATGTTCTTTAAAATGTCTAGCAGAAGTGTAATTTAAACTCTTGAGTGATTCTGAGCAGAGGCAATGAATTCAAGAGTCAGGGTCAGAAATAGTAACAGACTACAAATAGTAAGCATACAGAAGAACTCTTCCTCTGTGCTTAGGGTGAAAAGGACCATCAGTTACTCTTTCAGTTATCACTATCTATAGCCTTTTTCAAATGCAAGGAGCCATATCATAAAAATTGAAGGTAAAATTGTTGCAGTTAACTTTTTTTAAGCCTAATCTCCTTTATTCATCACAAAGCTTTTGCATAGACCTTTTAAATATACAAAATAGTGGCCAGAACTCTGCTTACAGACTACCATCTTTCATTACCACCATATTACAGTTAATTTTATAAAATTGATTCACACTTAACAATTTCTTTTCTCCACAATGAATTATATTTAACACACTTTTGGGGATAAGGGAGAAAAAGAATATGAGTTTATGTTTATTTCGGGTAATCTATTTGACCCACCCGTTTTACCTCAACCCCCAAACAAAATGAGTATCCATTTCTTAAGTTAAACATAAAGAATTCATAAAGGTGACAAACTCCTTAATGAATCATCCACTGACCTTAGGAACATAGAGATGTGAAACACATAGCTCATGCCCACTCTCTTTTATATAAATATTATCCCTGTTGCTAACATTGTGGTGGGTGGGTCATAGAGTCAGTAAATGTTGTTTAATGGTGAGTTGGTGTCCTTTATTCTCTTTCTTGTAGTCAATCTGGTATTTAGTTGATTGCTGAAAGTAATTATCATTTGCATTCAACAAATAACATTGTTGATACTGGTATTTTCTAATTAGAACATTACGATTTTCTAAATAGTCCATTAGAGTTGCTTATATTGTTCACAATCAAGGTTATTCAATATAAGCAAACGCTACTGATTTACTAATTATTCAAAAATGGACAAAAATGTATACTTCTTTGATATAAAAATAGAATTACTAGATACTACGATGCTGATAAGGTGCTGTGGTTAAATTGTTAATTGCTTAAAATATTTAAGTAAAAAGTAATTAAAATCTGTAGTTTTGAATTCAAATATATTCAGTTTCAATGTTTACCTTATTATAACAGTGCATCTTAAATGTTTCTTCAGAAAAGTAAAAGGAAATGTTAAAAGTTATATTTTAAAATTTGGTGTTTTATTACATACTTGGGATTTTTAAACTTTGGTATCTCATTATGTCTCAGGGCTGAAGTTATTTCATTGAAAATTTACATTACAGTATATTCAGATATACCTTCTTAAACAATATCTGTTACTTGATTAAAAACACAAAGGTTAAAAGCTAGCACTTCCTGGCATGCAGTTCTCTCAAGAATACTATCTTTCTCTCACATCTGTATTTGCTAACAATATGCATATTGTTAAGTACATATGTATAGACAAGAGGATTTTGAGGTTAAATGGTTTTGGCATCCTGTACCCTAAAAAACATCGATTATGTAGTATGAAAGTTTATAAATATTTAGTACGACCCAGAATTTTCTATTTGATACGAAACAGGAACTGTGAATCTTCTGAGCTACAAAAATGTAATTCTGATCGAGCAAGTCTACAAAGAATAATAACTATGTTACCACTTACCAGCTATTGGAGATAGAAAGCTCAGAAGCAGGCTGGCAAACCTGTCAACCTTAATTTTTTTTTTTTTTTTTTTGAGACGGAGTCTGGCACTGTTGCCCAGGCTGGAGTGCAGTGGTGTGATCTCGCCTCACTGCAACCTCTGCCTCCCAGGTTCAAGTGATTCTCCTGCCTCAGCCTCCTGAGTAGCTGGGATTACAGGCGCACACCACCACACCCGGCTGATTTTTTGTATTTTTAGTAGATACCGGGTTTCACTATGTTGGCCAAACTGGTCTCGAACTCCTGATCTCGTGATATGCTGGCCTCAGCCTCCTAAAGTGCTGGGATACAGGCATGAGCCACCGCACCCAGCCAACCTTAATTTTTAATCATAAATTATTGTTGTCTCTTCTTTAAGCCTCTCAGCTCTCCATATGAGCATCATATATCTGATGACCAGTATTTGGTTAAAGTACTGCATATATTCACAGGATGTTACTTCTTCTATCTCCTTATATGTATAATCTCTATTTTAAAAATTTTTACAAATTTGTATTTATTTTATACTTGGAAGTAGTTGGATTTATTAAAGGACATTGCTTTGTCCTATCCACTGATGGAGTTCAAAGTGAATGTATTCTATGTACAAGATGTGGGTTAACTTTTTTATTGATGGAAAACATTCTCATTGAAGGAAATAAAACCACCTTGTTAAGCTTTTGGAAACAGTATTCAAGGTTACTACTTAAATACTTGTTTAGACGTACAGTCTGAGGTAGAGTCTCTGCCAAATTGTCATAGCTTGGCTCTAGTTAATATTCTGCCACATATACCTCTCATTCTAAACAGTTGATAAAAGTAGCTTGAGAATACTCAGCTAAAATTTAAGTTACTTATTTTCAAGGTCCCACTTTATTCTAAGACCCTGAATACCTACTGTGAAATTACCTAGTATAATTGTTCTTAGGAATATTTTAATATATAAATTTCTTATAAATGAACTTTGCAAATTATAAGATCATATTTGAAAGAATGAGACACTGTAAGCCTTGTGCTGAAAGGATTTCTAAGGTATACTATTCATTTGGGGCATTCTTTGGTTCATGAGGTAAACACCACTGAATTAGGAGCCCAGGAACACAGCATGACTAGGACATGGTTGCTGGGTCAAAAATGCCATACAGTAGCATGTACCCACAAGATAATTCCTACTTCTGCCAATTAATATTGTAAATATCCATGAAAAAGGAGTGAACTATTTATAGAATATCAGGGGAGCATAATCATTTCCACAATTTTTTTGATATCAAAGGCTTTTGCCACACCAACACTTTGTACTTCAAGACAATGGAAAAATAGAATTGCTTAATAAAAATGTAATTCATTCTTTAAATATTTCTTCAGTTTCTACTATAGGCCGAACCCTGTGGGTTCTCTTTTAAATTTTTAGATGTCTTGGTTCCTGCCCTCAAGATCCTTCTTTGAATGTTACATGCATTATTTCTAGTATCAAAACATGGATCTTCTGGTCTATTTTCCTTATAGACCAGTCTACCTCATTGAAACTAGGGAACATTTCTTTATGATCAAGAGAACCATAACCATCTGCTGGCTAAGCTTTTGCCACTACCATGTATAATGGAAGGGAGGAATTTCCCTTAATGAGTGAGCCTGCCATGTCAGTTATCTGAGAACCTTATGTAATAGGTAATGCTCTTTGCTTAGAAGCACAAGTATCTATATTCTTATATAGATGAAAAAGAAGTGTAACTTAGGCAAAATAAGTGTGTGTGTGTGTGTGTGTGTACATATGTATTTGAGAGAGTTTTAAAAACAATAAATTATTCTAAAGGGAGACATTACCAGCCCTTAAACACATGTATGTACGTATGTACATACATACATACAAACACACACACACACACACACACACGTACACACTATGTTGAAATCATTCCCAAGTGACCTGGAATCAATCTAAGAGTTAAGACATAAACACTTTTGAAGGGGAAGTAGGCAACAATTTATTTTTCCTGCCTTGTGATATATGCTGAAGGTAAATAATATAGAATAGAAAAAGTACGTTTGAGACCAAAGTTTATTCAGTTTGGTTGTGGTTTGTGTGAGCAATTCTAAGAGAGGAGGTATATAGTCATCAGTGAGTAAAAGTACATTTTTCTTGACCTAAATGAAAATACATCCTCATGGAAAATCTGAAAAGTATAGAAAGTTTGGTAGCAGAAATAATACAACCCATTATTTTGATGTATTTTGTTTCAGATGTCCACATGTGGATTTTTATTTTCCAAAATTCGGACCACACTTTATGGTTAATTATTCAATGCTTTTCTGCAACATATACCATGAACGTTTTCCTGGTCTTTAGATATTCACTAAAGCATGACTTTAGAGTCTGCAAAATATTGCACCCTATGAACATACAAAGCATATTTCTCACATAAATCTTTAACAACATTTTCAAATTATTACCTTAGACTCTTTGTGTACATGAAATGACTAGTTTGTATAGCATGACCTTTTTAAAACCTCCTATTTCCAATTTGTTTTCCTAGAAGAATGAAATTTTATTTTCAAAAGAGAACATTATGAATGGGCTAAAATTTTTCATTTGAGAAAAAAAGCCTAGGTTAATTTTAAAAATATTAAAACAACTGTGTGCTACCATAGAATTTTTTTAGTTTTGATAAAAGTGAATTCAAACTTGGACAAGAGAAACATTAAAGCCTTATCTCCAAGCAGCTGCCTTTCTGGGTAGACATGAATTAAACTCACTAGAAGTTTCAGCCAGATTTCTTCCTGAATGGTTCAGACAGTTGCAAACACCAGACTATAGGCTCGCTTTTGTTTAGTGCATCTTCCAACAGGCAGTCATTTGTTCATGTCACTCAGAAAGATAAAATTTTTAGCATTTGCTGAACATACACATATTCAAATAAACATTTAAATATTCCCCTACTTCTATATAAAGAAAGAAAAACCCAGGCAAATTTTAAATGAGCCATATTTTGTTGATTAATTTTTAGCCCAATTATAATGCAATGAGAAAAATTAATTTTACTAAATTTTGATTCTGTAGAAAAGTAATAGCTGTTTAGCACTCCCTTATTCAAAGAACAAATTTAGTATTTCTTGAAATACTTTTCTTCATTGTAGTCAAATCACATCTACATATCTAAAGGAAAAGTTGACTGGTTTTCCTAAGTAAGTATATATTAATAGGAACAAGCATTTTAGTCTCCATACTTTAACCATACTCTAAGCTGTAAATGTCCAGTGAGTTTGGAGCTGTAAGCAAAAGGACCTCCTTTTGAAATGCCTGTTTTAAAACATCAAATGGTATGAAATCCTTTAACCTCATGCAGTTACATTTATTATGAAATATTTCAAACATACTGCAAAGGTATAACGAATACTTTGGAATAATCTGGTTTTTGAGGTAGGAGTTAGAAAATGTTCCATGGGTAACTCATTTGTGCATTTTAGAACTACTTGAAACTCTGTACCTTCAAATAAAAAGTAGAGTGGGGTGGAAGTAGGGAGAGCATTAGGAAAAATGGCTAATGCATACTGGACTTAATACCTAGGTGATGGGTTGATACGTGTAGCAAACCACCATGGCACATGTTCACCTATGTAACAAACCTGCACATCCTGCACATGTACCCCGGAACTTAAAAAAAAAAAAGAAAGATTTTGTGAGGTGGAAAAAAAAAGTAGAGTGATACGTATGCCAAATTTTGAATTACTAATTTTAAAGTAATTTTGTTCTTCATAATCTGATTTTGGAAAACAAAAAACGACTCCCTTTCTGCCTTCTAGTGTGCTAAAACATGAGCTGCTCCGTGTGTACTATTGATCTGTACACACTGAGATTTTAAATTAAAATTAATTTATAAATTGTCACAACTTCTTTATAGTGCTTGTTGCATATAATTTTGCTAGAATAGTGATTCTCAAACTTTTAACAGGTAGGAAATCTAGGAATGGTAGTCTTAAATTTCCTTTGCCCCTCAAGACAAAAACTCATACTAAAAATCCTACAAGAATCTGGTATGTGGCTGGGCATGGTTGCTCACACCTGTAATCCCAGCACTTTGGGATGCTGAAACGGGCAGAGCCCAGGAGCTCGAGACCAGCCTGAGCAACATGGCAAAATCCTGTCTCTACCAGAAAAAAAAAAAAAAAAATTATCCAGGCATGGTAGTGCACGCCTATAGTCCCAGCTAAGGAGGCTGAGGTGGGAGGATCAATTGAGCTTAGGAGGTCAAAGCTGCAGTGAGCCATGAACATGCCACATTGCACTCCAGCTGACAGAATGAAACTCTGTCTCAAAATAATAATATGCCATGTAAGAAGCTTAAGGTTACCACTTCACGCTAATAACAAATTAAAAACTGAACAACCTGAGAAAACAACTTTTCTTGTATATAGCAGAGAATCGAGGTCACAGGGCAAATCTCTGCCCCCATAATTGGAGATAGGCAGATAGAGAGAATCACAACTTAACTGGTGCAGAAACCTCTTCAGGAACCAGTGCGAGGGTAGTAGGAAAACCTGACCTGTAGTTGACAAATTACTGGAGACTCAGAGTGGACAAGTGTCAGAGTTAAGAACTCCATGGTCCCCCATAATTTTGTGAGTTTTACCTCCAGGAGCTCTACCAGGTTCTCCCAGTGAATATTGGAAAAAATCTTCTCATGCTTCCAGCAGAAGAGAGGGGTGGAAAGTAACCATTAAATATGCCAGAGCATTCTGTTTTTCTTAGCAAGGCCTGCAGTCAAGAGAAACTTTTTTACCAAAGCCCAGTCTGCCTGGGGGAAGGCAAATACCCAACTCCAGCTCCTCCAGCCATGTTATCACACTGGAGGGGAGGACTAAGGCACACTGGTGAAGTTTACAACCCAAGGCTAGGCTAAGCCAAAGACTGTGAGTTAATCTTATGACTACAGAACACTTTGCCTCCCACAACACCTTACCACTACATTACTAAAGGTCTATTTACTGCAGTTCCCTTTACCCAGTAAATATGTACTACTTTCAACAAAATATTACGAGGCATACTAAAAGGCAAAAAAACAGTTTGAAGAAACTGAACAAGTATCCAAACCGTATTTCTAGCAAGGAATATTGGAATTATCAGACCAGGAATTTTTTTAAACTATGATTAATGTGCCAAGGGCTTTAATGGGAAAAGCAGACAACGTGCTAGAACAGATATAAGCAGAGAAATGGAAATTGTAAAAATAAAATGCTAGAGACTAAAAACATTGTAACAGAAGGCCAGGCGTGTGGTGGCTCTCGGCTGTAATCCCAGCACTTTGGGAGGCCAAGGCAGATGGATCACCTGAGGTCAGGAGTTCAAGACCAGCCTGGTCAACATGGCAAAATCCCGTCTCTACTAAAAATACAAAAATTAGCCGGGCGTGGTGGTGCATGCCTGTAATCCCAGCTACTCGGGAGGCTGAGGCAGGAGAATCACTTGAACCCAGGAGGTGGAGGTTGCAGTGAGCTGAGATCGTGCCATTGCACTCCAGCCTGGGCAACAGAGGGAGACTCTGTCAAAAAAAAAAGAGAGAAATGAAGGATTCCTTTTATGGGCTTATCAGTGGACTATGAACAGCTTAGGAGAGAATCTCTGAGCTTGAGGATATGACAGTAGAAACTTCCAAAACTGAAAATCAAAGAGAAAAAAGACTGGAAAAAAAAAACCCATAATATCCAAGAACTGTGGCAAGAACTGTAGGGCAACTACGAAAGATATAACCTGTAATAGGAGTACCATAGTACAAAGGAACAGAAGCAATATTTGAAGAAATGAAGACTAAGAATTACCCCAAATTAATGTCATACACCAAACCACAGATCTCAGAAGTTTAGAGAACACCAAGCAGAATAAATGCAAAAAAAAATTAAACCTAGGTGTGTCGTATTTAAACTGTAGAAAATCAAAGATAAAGAAGAAATCTTGAAAGAAGCTAGAGGGGGAATAAAAACCTGTAGAAGAGCAAAGAAAATAATTATATCTGACTTCTCTTCAGAGACCATGCAAGCAAGAAGAGAATGGCATGAAATATATAAAGTGTTGAGAGGAAAAAAACCCACTGACCTAGAATTCTGTATCCTGCAAAATTATCCTTTAAAAGTCAAGAAGAAATAGACTGTCTCAGACAAACAAAAATTTGGTGAATTTGTTGACAGTAGACCTGCCTTGCAAGAAATGTTAAAAGAAGTTCTTCAGAGAGAAGGAAAATCATACAAGTCAGAAACTCTGATGTACATTAAAAAAGCAAGAGCATCAGAGAATAAGTTAAGGTAAAATAAACACATTTATTTTTCTTATTCTTAATGGATCTGATAGATAACAGTTTGTTCAAATAATAATAGGCACACACACATTTAATGGATTGAATGCCAATCTACCTCTTATATTCTTCTCCTTCCCTTTCCCCCAAGTGTATATCCCGGCCTTAAGTCTGCTCAGTAATTTCCAGCAGCAAAATGTTCTTTTCTCCTTTGTGTTGCTAATTTAAAGCAGTAGTTGAAAATGACTGTATATGACGGGAAGAATTTAATTTGCAGTCACTCCACTCTTCCCCTCACTTTCTTTTTGGATGATAGATTATTGCCCCCAGGTGCTATTTTGCTGTAGGGAATCTCAGAAATAAAGGAACCAACAGAAAGGATAATGTGAGGACACAGGGATCTGCAGGTCAAGGAGAGAAGAGGCCTCAAGAGAAATGAACTTTGCTGACATGTTGATCTCAGACTTCCAGCCTCCAGAACTGTGAGACAGTAAATGTTGTTTAAAAAAGAAATAAAGGGAAAGAAAGAAAGGGAAGAACAAGAAAATCAGCTAGAGAAGCTAATTTAATAGAAAAAAGGTATGTCTATTCGCTCTTATAATTAAAGAGTTTGGGAAGCATGTAAAAACAGGAAAGCTACTTAAAAAACAAATAAAAGGGCAGTGCAAGGTCTGAGAGACAGAGATGGGAAATGGAAGTCTCAGATATTGAACCAAACTGTAGGACCAAGTACACATAAAACTACTCCCCCCTAATTCAATTCCGTGGAAGTAACTTTACTTTTATTCATTTCCTGACATTCATTAATTTATTTTATTCTAAATATATTATTTCAAACATTTGATAAAAACTGACATCATGAAAGAGAGAAGCTATGCTAACCAAACAGAAGAACCAACACTTAAGGAATCAAAAGTTAATGAAACAAAGAAGATTCTAGAAAATAGTGTAACTAAAATCTTGAGGAGACTTTCATTTCTACTGTGACCAACAGAGCTCCAACTGGACCAACTCTCTTGCAGATAACTTTATAAGCCCAGGATGAAATACAAAAACAACTTACTGGAAAAGATGCTAGAGAATGACCAAAAGCAGATATATGCTGGAGAGGTCTCAACAGTTGAACAAAAGGAAAGACAATTCTAGCCTAATTGTCTTACATGTAGAGTGACTAAAACTGTTCGAAGACCTTTAAAGTCTTTTTGACCTAACAACCAAAGACAGAGTTCAGTATAGCCACAGTCACTGGAAAGGGAGGGAGAGAAGTCCCCAAAAGGAGAGAGCCAGAGAAGAGTGAGCACCAAATACTGTGAATAAATTCTGTACAAATCTGTCTAAGGCTTAACCACGTATGCATAAGACAGACTCAGAGCAGTTCAGCTAAGAAGGATAAATGAACTAAATGGAGATTTGAGCTACCACGCAAGAGACAGAATTTGACCTTTAAGGCTAACCAGATTAATTACCTATTTTTAAAAAATCAAAACTCTGGAGGAATATATCAAAATCCAGACCCTATACAACATAATATCCACAATGTACAGATGTAACCCAAAATTACTTAACAGGAAAATGTGACCCATTCTCCAGATAAAAAAATAAGACACTGATCCTGAAAAGACACATATGTTAGAATTAAAAGACAAGAATTTTAAATCAGTTGTTATAAATTTTGCCCAATGAAGTAAAGGAAAATATGCTTGCAAGGAATGAAAGGATATTTAATCTCCATAAAGAAAGTGTGTGTGTGTGTGTGTGTGTGTGTGTGTGTGTGTGTGTGTATACTTTTTTATGTATATACCCCCCCCTACCAATAGAAAGTCTAACAGGGATGTCCAATCTTTTGGCTTCTCTGTACCACATTGCAAGAAGAACTGTCTTGGGCCACACGTAAAATACACTAATACTAGTGATAGCTAATGAGCCTGAGCAACATAGTGGGACCTATCTCTACAAAAAAATACAAAAATTAGCCAGGCACAGTGGTGCACATCTGTAGTTTCAGCTACTAGGGAGGCTGAGGTGGGAGGATCATTTGAGCCTGGGTGTTTAAGGTTGCAGTGAGCCAAGATCATGCCACTGCTCTCCATCCTGGGAGACAGAGCAAGACTCTGTCTGAAAAAAAAAAAAAAAAAAGAAAAAGAAAAAGAAAAATACCTTGCTATAGCTCAGATGTTTGACCCTCAGAATGTCATGTTGAAATCTGATCCCTAACATTGGTAGTGGGAGTTAATGAGAAGTGTTTGGGTCATGGGAGGGTGGATCCTTCATTAATAGATTAATGCCCTCCCTGGAGGTTAGGGTGAGGTGGTAAGTGAGTTCTCACTTTATTGGTTCCCAGAGAGCTGAGAGCTGGTTGTTAAAAAGAGCCTTTCACCTCCCCACCCCTCTCTTGCTTCCACTCTTACCATGTGATCTCTGCACATACTGGTTCCCCTTTACCTTCCTCCATAAGTGGAAGCATCCTGAAGTTCTCATCAGAAGATGATGCTGGCTCCATGATTCTTGTCAGTCTGCAGAACCATGACCCAAATAAACCTCTTTTCTTTGTAAATTACCCAGCCTCAGGTATTCCTCTATAGCAACACAAAAATTGACTAAGACATATCTTCAGAGTTGGGAGAGGATATTTTCTTTAGAGATGTCAGAGGGTAATGCAGCCATTTAACAAAGAACCAGAGATACAGAAATTAAATTTTTTTAGAAAAATGAGTTAAGCAGAATGTTCACAAGCAAAGAGTAAATTAGTAAGCTTGGAAATTGAGTCAAGGAATTTCTTCCAACATTCAACACAGAATCACAGAGGATAAGAAAAATATGCTTTAAAAAAAGTTTGACAAAGAAGGCAAACAGATAGAAATAAGGTAATAGTAAATACCCAAAGAAGTAATTTAAGAACAATTTCTAGAATTAATGAAAAGCTGAAATGTTTTGGAACTCAGATTGAAAAGAGCAATTTAAGCTGGGCGTGGTGGCTCATGCCTGTAATCCCAGCACTTTGGGATGCTGAGGTGGATGGATTGCCTGAGGTCAGGAGTTCGAGACCAGCCAGGCCAACATAGTAAAACCCCATCTCTACTAAAAATACAAAAAAATTTGTATGGCATAGTGGCAGGCACCTGCAATCCCAGCTACTGGGGAGGCTGAGGCAGGAGAATTGCTTGAACCCAGGAGGCGGAGGTTGCAGTGAGCTGAGATTGCGCCATTGCACTCCAGCCTGGGCAGCAAGAGTGAAACTCTGTCTCAAAAAAAAAAAAAAGAAAAGAAAAAGGGCAATTTGGTGGTTGTCGGGATAATTTTTTTTAATCTACACTTGGACCCATGAAAGTGCAATTTTGATACATTAAAAAAATATATATAAAAAAACCATAAAGCATCCAGAGAGTAGATTTCTTAGAAAGAATGAGAACCAGATTGTCATCTGACTTCTGTTCAGCTACACTAGATGTAGGAAGATGATGGAGCAATATTATCAAAATACTGAGAGGAAATAATGGAGATTTATATGCCCAAGCAAGCCATGGTTTAAGTTTGAGTGTGAAATGAATTTAGACGTAAGATACTAAGGGTTTACTGTGTTCAAATTACTAGATGTTAGAATCCAGGAAGGAAATAATAAGATACAAGAAGCAGTGGTAATTCAGAAGTAAACCATCATCAACTTTTCTTGATGGAGAGAGACTGAACTAGAATGCTATCTCTTCCCCTGTTCTTTTAATGGAATTGTTTCTCACCATTTTTCCATTCCTTGGAGCTAGCACAGGACAGATTAAAAACCCCCGACTAGCTCATACCTGAAGTTTTGAACCTGGATGACTTGGAGTATAATGGTTGTGCCTTTAGTAGAAATAGAGACATAAAGAGGAAAAGCTGATTAAGGAAAAAATGTGGAAATAAGGTTTCAAGTTACTAGAATATAAAAAGGCAAATATTTAATCATAGCTTTATCATTATTTGTAATTTATATTTTGAGTACTTTGGAAAGTATGCCAACTTCTTGGCCAATAGGACATTGAAAATTAGCTTTAGACCTTCAAAGTTCAGGGCTCTATCCCCACTACCTGGAACCGTGCCTTTTACATATGTGTTCATTAAATATTTGTTAAATAAATGAGACAGTTTGCATTAAAACAAGAAATTGAATGCAGATTCCTGATAATATTGTTGAATAGACTGAATGCTTGCTAAAATGCAGATTAATGGGCCATGCTTGGGATATACTAAATCAAAATTCTAGGTATATGTCTCAGGAATCTGTAATTTTAATAAGTACCTCTAGTGATTTTTTAAGGATGTTCAAGTTGAAGTAGTCCTTAGAGGACAGGGAAGAGAACAGATAATGGATTAAAATTGGAGAAAGCATGTCTTTAGGGAGCAGTGCTTTTTAACATTTTAATGTCATTCATTTTTAAAAGGTGTTTGCCCATGTACTTGGGGTACGAGAAGGGACAGAGACCAGAGCGTAGGTAACCAGCTCCAGGGCTTAGTCCTCACTGGCTGCCCCAAGGCTGAGAGTATCAACATTTTGAGACACCAGTAACCTATCTGTGACACTCAGAAGCTCTGTAAAGGGCCAGAAGGAAAAGGAACAATTAAGGAGTTTATCAGAGTTCAAAACAATGCATTGCCATCAAAGTTAGAGATACATGCTGCTGATCCCCACTCCCTGGTATTCATGCCTTTATGTAATCTCCCCTTGAACATGGGCTGAGACTTACTAATTTGTTTCTAATAAACAGAATACAAAAGAAGAGATAAGATGTCACTCCCAAAATTACATTTTTAAAAGAGCATGGCTTGGCCTGGTGCGGTGGCCCACGCCCGTAATCCCAGCACTTTGGGAGGCCGAGGCGGGCAGATCACGAGGTCAGGAAATCGAGACCATCCTGGCTAACACAGTGAAACCCCATCTCTACTAAAAATAGAAAAAAATTAGCCGGGCCTGGCGGCGTGCGCCTGTAGTCCCAGCTGCTGGGGAGGCTGAGGCAGGAGAATGGCATGAACCTGGGAGGTAGAGCTTGCAGTGAGCTGAGATCGTGCCACTGCACTCCAGTCTGGGTGACAGAGTAAGACTCCGTCTCAAAAATAAATAAATTAATTAAATTAAAGAGCATGGCTTCTGTCTTAGGTGTTCTCTCACACATGATGGCTTACTTCGGGGAAAGAGCTACCATGATGTAAAGCAGCACTGTGGAGAGGTCCACCTGAATGAGCTTAGAAGCAGATTTTTGAGACTAGCCAATAGCTGTGTGAAGGAACTTGGAAGTGGATTCTCCACCAGTCAAGACTTGAGATGACTAAAGCCTCAACTGATAACTTCATTGCAGCCTACAGAGAGGCCCTGAGTCAGAACTACCCACCTAAACTGCTCCTGATTCCTAATCAACAGAAATTGTGACATAACAAATGTTGTTTTAAGCTGCTAAGTTACAACAGCAATAGATAACTAATACATGTTATGTCAGAATAACACATTGATTGAGACCATCCTGGCTAACACGGTGAAACCCCGTCTCTACTAAGTACAAAAAATTAGCTGGGTGTGGTGGCTGGTGCCTGTAGTCCCAGCTACTCGGGGGGCTGAGGCAGGAGAATGGCGTGAACCCAGGAGGCGGAGCTTGCAGTGAGCCGAGATCGCGCCACTGCACTCCAGCCTGGGCAAGAGAGCGAGACTCCGTCTCAAAAAAAAAAAAAAAAAAAAAAAAGCAGAAAAAAACTGCCCTCATTCTAAGTCATCAGTTTTGTTGCTTTCATCTAAAGACAGGAAAATGAACTACAAATCTACAAAAAGTTTATACGTGTGTTTCTGCATCATAAAAAACAGATATTTATAGATATTCGCAAAATTTTGAGACCACATTCAGGATGGCCTCAATTAAGACATAAGCTTCTATGGCATAAACAAACCTCATTTGAGGATGTTGTTTCTCAGACATACAGGTGGTCTTACTCTGCAGCAGCTGAAACTGAAGCACAAGAAGCCCTTGGAACTATCATCAGGACATGTAAGTCCCATGTACTAAAATACTTGGGCCAGAGAAAACCAAGTATAGTTTAAATAGGAGTTTCCCCTCCCCTAAAATCCAAAGTCACTAAGGAGGAACTTCAAGACTGCAGGCATTGGTTGCAGTGGAGATTTTTCTCTGTGTAGCAAGCACCAAGGTGAGCAGAGCCTTTAATTAAGAATAGTTAGTAATTTTGCCAAGAAATGGTAGGGGGACCATCTGATATATAGGATGGTTCAAATTCCATAAACATTATTTATTTATTTATTTATTTTGAATTTTTGTATTTTTTTTTATTTTATTTTGAGACGGAGTCTCACCCTATTGCCTAGGCTGGAGTGCAATGGCATGATCTTGGCTCATCACAACCTCCACTTCCCGGGTTTAAGTGATTCTCCTGCCTCAGCCTCCAGAGTAGCTGGGATTACAGGCACCTACCACCACACCCAGCTAATTTTTGTACTTTTAGTAGAAACGGGGTTTCACCATGTTGGCCAGGCTCTTCTCAAGCTCTTGACTTCGTGATCCACCCACCTCGGCCTCCCAAAGTGCTGGGATTACAGGCATGAGCCACCGCGCCCAGCCCTCCATAAACATTTATAATGTATACTGTGTGTCAAGCACAGAGGTTGGTAATATGAATGAATAAAGATACAGTTCCTACTCTAGAAGAACTTATACTCTAAAAGAGGAGTGAGACTTTTGTATATTTTAAAATTAAAATTAAAAAACTTGTATTAGTTTCCTATTGCTTCTATAACAAATTACCACATATTTAGAGACTTAAAACAACAAATCATCTTATGGTGGAGATCAGAAGTCCAAAATGGGTTTCCCTGGGCTAAAATCAAGGTGTTGGCAGGGCTACATTCCTTCTGGAGTTTATGGGGGTGAATCTGTTTCCTTGTCTTTTCTAGCGTCTAGATACTGCTGTGTTCCTTGGCTTCTGGCCTCTTCCTCCATTTTTAAAGCCAGCAGTGTAGCATCTTCTGATTATGACACTACTATCTCCTTCTCATAAGGACCCTTGTGATTACATTGGGCCCACTGGGATAATCCAGGATAATCTTCCCATCTCAAAATCCTTATACACATTAGCAAAATGTGGTAAAAACTGAAGACCTAACAAAGATTCATGGTTGTGTGGCTGAATATATTCATGTTAAGAGAATGAAAAAGGCAAGTCCAAGACTGGGAAAAAATTTAAAACCTGTATCTGATAAAAGTCTGTGTCCAGAATATATAAAGAACTCTTATAACCTGATTTTTAAAAATGGGGGAAGTATTTGAAAAGACGGTTCTATCAAAGAACATACATGAATGACAAATAATACAAAATAAAACTACAATGAGATGTTATGACCCTACCACTCAAATGGCTACAGTTAAACATTGACTATCCTATATTTCACCAAGAATGCAGTGCAACTGGAACTCTCAGTTACAGTTTTCATAAAATTTACATACTCTTCTAATACAAGCCATCAGTCCTTGCTCTGAGGTGTTTACTTAAGTCAAATTATGTATACACAAAGACTAGTACATAAATATTCATAGTAGCTTTATTCATAATAGCCAAAAACTAAAAACAGTTTTGTGATTATGATACTGATATATGTATGAACTTAGCAATAAAACTGAATGAACTGAAATAGAGAACAACATGGATGAATCAAAGAAGCATTATGCTAAGGGAAAGAAGCTAGACACAAAAGATGACATACTATGTGATTCCATTATATGAAATCTGGAGAAGACCAAACTATAATGACAGAAAGCCTATTCATGGTAACTAGGGCTAGGAGCAGGTAATTATCTGCAAAGAGACGAGGAAGCTTTTTGGAATGATAGAAATGTTCTACATCTTAATTATGGTGGAGGTTATGACTGCACTTTTTAAAATTCATCAAACTGTACAACAAAATTGGTAAATTTCGTTGAATGTAAATTATGCCTAAACAAGGCTGAATGAAAACATCTGTCTATACATACAAGCACAAATCCAGTTAAGCAGTTTGCTAATCTTAAACTCACACTTGGAACAATTATGCTTTTTTTAACCTCCAAGGTAATGTGTGAATAAATCTGAGCTCTTTTGGAATAGGTTTATGTATACAAATACTATGAAATTCAGAGGAAAAGCTCTTTCTACTTGGACTTATGAGCAGAAGACAGAATTTTTGAGCTTCCTCCTTTGAGCTTCCTCCTTTGAGCTGGAGTTGCAAGGAAAATTTCTTTTTTTTTTTTTTTTTTGAGACAGAGTCTGGCTCTGTCACCCCGTCTGGAGTGCAATGGTGCAATCTTGGCTCACTGCAACTTCTGCCTCCCGGGTTCAAGCAATTCTCCTGCCTCAGCCTCCGGAGTAGCTGGGATTATAGGCGTACGTCACCACACCCGGCTAATTTTTGTATTTTTAGTAGAGATGGGGTTTTACCATGTTGGCCAGGCTGGTCTTGAACTCCCGACCTCAAGCAATCCACCTGACTCAGCCTCCCAAAGTGCGGGGATTACAGGCATGAGGCACCACGCCTGGCCAAGAAAAAATTTTAAAAACTTTCTAGCTTCTTTATGATGACATCAGAGGATTGGAATTAGAAGGGGGAAGGGTGACCTAAGAAGAATAACTGAAGTGGAGAATCTGAAAGGAGGCCAGACTATTGGAGAGGGAGTTCCACTGGGCTGCAGGAAAGCATAAGATTGCCTTGGTAAAGTGAGCTCCAATCATGGTGTACCTTAAGTTCTAGAACGAGGAATAAGGAATTGATTAGTGGGTCAGTAACTGTCCAACTGGAACAAAGTTGGGAAACCACTGTGATAAGGTAAAAAAAAAAAATTTAGGTTCTTTAATGAGACTTGTGATGAAAGGGTAAATATCAGATTATAGTGTTGGTATTTTTATGCAATATGGGATAAATAAAGATGTTTTTTTTATTATGCATTAAATGAATTATATTGGATAACAGTAACAGGTTTTCATTAATTTTATTTATAACTACAGATGCTTCTCAACTTAACGATAAGATTACATTCCAATGAACCCATCGCAAATTGAAAATATTATACATCAAAATGCATTTAATACACTTAACCTACCGAGTATCATCAGAACATACACATTAGTTTACAGTTGGGCAACATCATCTAACATAAAGCCTACTTTATTATAAAGTGTTGAATGTCTCATGTAATTTATTGAATACTATACTGAAAGTGAAAACCAGCATGGCTGTATGGATCATTGAAGTACTGTTTCTCCTGAATGTGGAGTGCTTTCATACCACAGTAAAGTCAAAAAACCTTAACTTAAACCATTGTAAGTAGGGAACCATCTAATAATGGATCTTTATGAGATAATTCTATTCTATTTATGAATAAAATAGAGTTCTCTTCTACTCTTCTTTTATCTAACAAACATATTAGCCCAAAATAATTATTTGTAATATTTACCTGCCTACTTACTATTTAAACTCCAACACTGAATCTTTCATGATTATGTATATTTTCAACAGTGAGTCCATTCTTGCACACCGAGAAAATATGCGACAGATGATAAGAAGTTTTTCTGAACCCTTTGGAAGAGACTTGCTCAGTATCTCTGATGGTAGAGGGAGAGCTCATAATCGTAGAGGACATAATGATGGTGAAGATTCTTTGACTGTAAGTTCTTTTTTTTAAGACAGTTAGTGAGAAGGCCCTGTAGGAATTTGAAGAAAAGTATTACAGAAGTATATATCTATAATGATAGGATATGACTAATATTCTTGTTCTAGAAATCACTATTATATAAAAGGGGGGACCTTTGGAAAGGTGAATCCTGAACAGTGACTTGTCAGCTATATGGAATTTCACTGTGCTACCAAAACTGTTAGGTCCATAGAAGCATATATTAGAAGCAAAACTTAAACCATTATTTTTTATATTTATGTATACATTTCTCACCTTATAACTTCCTCTGATATCTGAAATTAGAACAGGCAAGGAAATATCCTTTCTCTCCCATACTCATTGTTTTAATACTTGAAAATAGTATCAAAAGCTACAAAGGATTGTCTTTATTGGACCAGGAAACACTGATCTTCTATATGGTTACGTATGGACCTTCAAAGCTTAGATTAACCTTTGCTTGTATCTCAAAAGCCTTACAACTGAAATATATTTTCATATGTCTTGCCTTAGAGCAAAGCTAGAGGTTACAAACATACTCAACTAAAAATTAAAAAAAAAACAGGATATTTATATATTGTAACCATTTTCTTTTTTGCCTCTTTTATTTCTTTTGCTTTTTCAGCCTCATGAATGATAGTTCTAAGATAACAAGCCCTCAGGGGTTTCTATAAAGATGAATCTCAGCAATTGAAATGTAGCAATTTGAAATTCAGTAAACATTTAATTGGTAAATTGAGAAACTTCTATATAATAAATGTCATAATCAAATGAATTGGATATTATTTTTCCAGGCAACGAGTTGTTCTCTTGTGCCTTTTGGCGATTTTGGTGGTATGGTTCGTATCTTAAGACACAAATCATTTTAGCAATATTTTCTGACAAATATTTATTTTTCATTAACTCAAGCTGACTGAATTGGCATGCAGCCTCACTTCCATAATGGCTTTTTAATGTTTGTACTGAAAACCTCTGTTTCAAGTATCAGACTTACCTTAGAAAGTTTAGGCACATGTTTCCTGAAGTAAGTCATTTCAACATATATAAAATTCATCTTCAAAAATAAAAAGTAGATTTTATTGAATGAATATTTGCTTGATTTACAAAAGGGATCCTCATAGTTGTGTTTGAAAGTTGGGGACTTCCACATGCTTATGATTACTTTCCAAAAGGTTTTTTAAAAAGTACTAAACTGTAGATAGATAAGCACAACGTTTGGAAAAGCACAGATTAACTGCTTTCTCTAGGATTTTGTTGCCACCTTGCCCAGGCAGCTTTTTCTTGTCTGTTCTTAAGAATGGCCACTCTGCAACCAGCGTTTCTACCACCTGTTTCTTAGGGTTTTTGTGCTGTGTCTGTGATGCTAGCTTCCAACACACTAAAAGCATTCTGGGGAGTAGCAGAAAATAACATGAATTTGGAACATTTGTATCTACAGTCTCATGAAAACGGTTTTTTTTTAATTATTTTGTGCTACAATTGAATCATTTGTTTCCTTGAAGTTTGGCATACAGGTATAACATTTATCCCTCCTGACCAGAGTATTTAGTAAGACAAATAACAAAAAAAAGCAGTTATAACACAGAGTTATGAGTAAAATGATCAGGAAGTTCAGCATGCTATGGGAGCACAGATGGAAAAAAGCACCTTTTGAGGTGGGGTGGGTCAATCCAAGTAGACTTCTTGAACTTTAAGGATTAGTAGAAGTTAGCCAGAAAAGGAGGGAGGGGAAAGGAATACTGTTCAACAGAGAGGAAACAGCATGTGCAAAGACCTGCAGGCTAGGGAGCTAAAACATGTTTAGTATCACTTAGCCCTGGAGTATGAGTTGAACAGTAGATACTGATGAGGAAGAAGAGGTAACCAGAGACTTCTTTAGACCGTAGAAGGAGAGTAAACATCATCTTAAAAGCAGAGGAAGCAGTGATGACTTACGTCAAAGTGGTAATAGAGTCATATTCTTGAAATATTAGAAGAGACCATAGTGGAGGCAGGGAAGCCAGAAGGCTGTTGAAGCATTCTTGGTAAAGTATTAGTGATGGCTTACTTCTACTAGGTAATGTCTGTGGTGATAAAAATGAATTACCTCATTTGAGAGAGAGTTAAAAGGGCGAATGGATGGAACTTGGTGATTGACAGGGTTGAAGGAGCAGTAGAGAGGGAGAAGGGAAGTATCACACCCATTTTTCTGGCATGAAGAATAAGGTAGATGGGAATGCCACTGAGATAAGGCATTGATTCAGTACAGATACAGGAGTGAGGTGGTCAAAACAATCATTTTAGTTTTGGATGTTTGGCATTTGAGGCATCTGTGAGTTTTCCAGGTAGATTTATCTGGTAAACTGTTGGATATATGGATTTGAGCTGAGCTAGAGATAATTTATTCATTCATTCATTCCGCAAATATTTATTAAACCCTCTTAAGTGCCAGGAATTATTATATATGTATTGGGGATATTGTAGTAAATAGACAAAATCGCCCTGCCCTCAGAGATTATTTTTATAAAGTGGGAAGATAGACAATAAACAACAAAATAATTTCAGATAGTCACAGTACCCTGAAGATGAAACAGGGTAATGATACAGAGATGGGGGGAAGTGAAGGAGGGATTAGACAGGTGACCAGCGGTGGCCTTTCTCAGGTGGTGATACTTGAATCATGAGAAGGAACTAACTAGGTTTAAAGTCAGGAGGAAACATTTAAGGAAGAAAGAGGAGAATGTGTACAAAATTTTTGAAGGCCTTAAGGGCCCACTGAAGTCTCAACTACATTTTGTACCCCAACTTTTTGTCACTCCAGTGTGTTGGGTCACCCCAGAGCAAGTGCAGATACATCTTTTGATGGTTGATTTGAACATGAATTGAGAAGAGGGCAGAAATACCCAAATGTCTAATCTTTTCCTCTCTCTCTTTTTATCCTTCTTTGGGTTAACCTTTCCATATCTCATGAAATAAGAACGGATTCTCAATCTAGTGTTAAAGCAAATATTCAGAATATTCCCTGAATTGTGTTTGCCTCTCTGAAATGCAAAATTAATTCTACTTCAGTCCTTTTTTACCCAAATATATATTAGTATTTCCTAAATGTGCCTTTGTTGTTCCCTACAATATTAAGTGCAGGTTCTAAGGAGGAATTTGGTTTTCCCACCTATTTTACATTATTATATCTGTAAAAATCCAATAGCAATAGAACACAGAGACACAAATAGAACTTAGGAGGATTCAGAGCTCCGCTTGGTTGAACAGAGAAGTTCATTAAACCAAGCAACTCATTCTGTTTTATAACAGATGATTTACTGGCTAACACATTGGAATGTGTGCCTGACTTTTATTTTCTGGTGAGTCTTCCAGTGATAAAACCTAAAATCAGTGGTAGATTTTAAAACCTAAAATCAGTGGTAGATTTTCCTAGAGCAAAGTTTCTCAACCTCAGCCCTACTGTCATTTTGGGCAGGGTAATTCTTTTTGTTCTGGGAGACTGTCCTATCCATTGTAGGATGTTAAGCTGCATCCCTGACCTCCACCCACTAGATGCTAGTTATATGCTCTCTTCATCTGTGACAGCCAAAAATGAGTATAGTTATTGCCAGTGTCCACTGAGAGTCAAAATCAATCTTGGTTGAGAAACTACTGTTTAGAGGAATTCTTAACTGTTTTTCTGAAGACACATACCTCATGCTTCAAGGGTATAGCCTACTGACCCTTCAGTAGGCAGCAAATTGAAGGCCTATTAGTAAAGTGAATTGATTTCTGTCACCCAGATCCTACTATGATGAGAGGAAGGCTGGCTACTTACTCGAGGGACAACTTCTGTCAGCCATGTGGTACTGCTGGAGGTGACACTGGCATCTTATACGCAAATTTAGTTATTTGCATGGTGGAGTATTGAGAGATAAGGAAAATTATGAAAACTATCGTATGCTAGAGAATGTATCACTTAGTATTTAACATACACCAAATTATGTTTTGAAAAAGTGAGTAATGAGTGATTAGGTGTGTATGTGTTTTTATATATACATGCACATATATGTATTTATAATGTTACAGTTCCCTAATTATTTGTATGTTGGCTCTTTGGGATTTTGTGTATGCTTCAATTTTCTCCTTAACTAATCACTGTCATTATATCCTCTAAGTTATCTTTGTCTGGTTGATTACTGCATGAGATTTCACTAAATGAATTGGAAAAAAATGTTTTAGCTGTTTTGGAAGATGTATTTGCATCTTTTGTGTTGTTACCTACAGTTAATAACATACTTCCTGATATTCTGTAGCATACAGATGTCAGCTCTTTCCAGACAATGGACCAAATGGTGTCAAATATGAGAAACTATATGCAGAAATTAGAAAGAAACTTCGTAAGTACTAAAAACAAAGCATTGAGAACATTGTGTATACTTTGATATATTCTATTTCATAGTGGCTTTCAAACACTTTTTTAACCATAGTGGTTAAAAAAGATACCTTACATGATTAACCCAATAAGCAATATTTGTATACTTTATAAATATATTTGAAGCAAAAGTTTCATGAAAAAATGACTATACTATTTACAGTATATACAGTTATTTTCTAGTCTATTTCATGTATTAAAAATCCTGGTTACAACCCACTAAATTGAGTTCATAACCTCCAAGTTTGAAAAATAATGTTAACTTTGAAAATTTTTTAAAAATTGGAAAAAAAATAACCTCAAAAACATTGATTCTATTGAAAGTCACTATTGTAAATGAACATTTTATATGAATTTGCATAATTTTATTATTAATAACCTGTCTACTTAAAAGGATTTGTAGCATCTGAAGAGTTTCAGGGTTTTATAAACGACTCTGAAAACAGAAATTTTAGGAATAATGTTTAGGTATAGTTCCCTAATAGTCCAAATAAACTAGTACTATAATAATACTCTCTATATTAACATCAAAACCAGTCACTTGATTTGATCTGAAGAAGACCCATAACATTCTAGTCATCCAGTTTGAATTCTATGGATCATTTCAGAATGCCCAAATAATCTAGGGCATTATTGGTTTTAGTAATGTAGCAATCTGGTACCTACAGGAGGAGGTACGAAACTTGATGTATAACTAATTGATTGGCTTAATGTTGGCAAGATTACACACAAGGGTCAACCACTGACTATAGAAGTATCACAGGTTTGGGGGCATAGCATCTTTATTGAAATCTAAGCCACGAGCACCCAAAGACTTAAGGATCTCTGAGTGAGTCACTTATTAGTCTTTGTAACGAGAGTGGGATAATTGTACCTAAAATGGACGACCGTTAGGACCCTCTAGGGGTGACTTTTTTTGGGCGGAGGTAATTTTTCAAGTCACTTCTCACTTGAGAACCTGGGTGTGCCTTTGACTACACCATATTGGTAGTTTAGTATCCTTAGTAGAACTTACAGCTAGTGTTGTTACTTATTTGAACTCTCTGGCAATAATTATTTATATTTGACTCGACTGAATTTACAATTTGTTTACCTGTAGGGTCAACTTTCAGTGGATCCAAATGGACATTCATTTTGTTCTTCCTCAGTTATGACTTATTCCAAAATAGGAGATGAACCGCCAAAGGTTTTTCAGGCCTCAACTCAAACTCGTCGAGCTCCAGGAGGAGTAAGTTTTCTATAAGCATTCCTAAAGTTTTATAAAGTTAGGGGATGATAGACTGTCTAGATCAAATTTTAACTATTAAAATTTAATCTGGTACAAGATGGTGGGGGGACAGGAGGGAGGTGTGGGGGTTGGGGGTAAGGTAGTCCTCACTGTGGAAACCATTAAAGCTCAACTGTATTTACTTAGTTTGTGGCATTTTTTTTGTAGCCCCCCCACCCCCCCGTGAGGGTGCCTTTTTTCATGTAAATATCTATGGATGTTTATTACCTTTACATGTTGACAAGGTAAACAAAACACGAAAAGAAGCCTTTGTTTCATGAAATTAATGTCTATTTTTAAGTTTACATTTGAAGTGAATTAATTTTTTAACTCATGAAATATTTCAAGTGTACAGAAAGGATATAGAGAATAACATAATAAGTGCCCATATTCCTGCCACCCAGTTTAGTCATATCATAACATTTTTCTCTATTTGCTTCAAGTTGTCTCTTGCTTTGTTTTCTTTTTAAGCGAAAATGTACAGAGGCAGTTAAACCTTCTAATACATTCCTCTGAGGTCTATTTTCCCTTTCTCCCCTTCTCAGAGATTACCATTTTCCTGTATCTGGAGTTTATCATTTTCACGCATGTTTTTACAATTTTATTACTTCACGTTTCTGTCATTAAAAAAATGGATTATTTTCCAGATTTCCCAACATTACATAAAGGGTATCATATTGCATATGTCCTCTGCAACTTGTCTTTGCTGAGTAATATGCTTCTGAGATTTATTCAGCTTGATACATGTGGCCCTGGTTTCTTTAACTTCTATGTAGTATCCAAAATATGAATATATTATGATTAATACGCTTCTGAGATTTATTCAAGTTGATACATGTGGCCCTGGTTTCTTTAACTTCTATGTAATATCCAAAATATGAATGTACCATGATTTTTAAATCATTTTCTGTCAATAGATATGTAGGTGAGTCTAATCTTTCACTAATTCATCTTTATACATGGCTCCTTATACAGAGTCTAGGAGTGGTATTGCTGAGTTGTAGGGTATGTGTACTTTCCTCTTTACCTAGCGTTTCCAAGCTACTATCCCAGTGATTGAAATTGTTGGCTTCCAAAACTGTGGCTTGTGAGTTTCCATTTCTCTACTTCCTTGTTAGTACTTATAGTAAAAATTTAGGTTTACCAATCTAATGAATGTGAAGTAGTACATTTTTTAGTTCTTACATATAAAGATGAACCTTTTAATGATGCTTTTGCCATAGTTCTGCTAATTAATCTCAGACATTTTAATTTTAACTTTCTAAAAGTGACAAACTTAAATGTAAACAGAATATAATTGTAGATGTCCCACAGTAAATCATGTTAGTTGCTATCAGAAATATTCTTATAATACTTCCATAGAGTTGATAGTCGGGAATCATGAGATTCAAGCCAATCAATATGACTGATGAATAATTAGTTGCCCTTATTTGTAGGAATCCCACCATAAACTTCCTTCTATTACATTATCTAAGACAGTCTTGAAGGCATTAAACTATAATTGCTACTTTTGTTTTAATATTTGATTACAATTTGGAAAAAGGTTAAATTGTATGGGTTCTGTTTGTTGTAGACATTTTCATTTTAAGGAGTTCAGGAAATATCAGAGACTTATTACCACAGTTTTACCACAAGTTAATAGTGGAACTGAGCACACATTATTTTTAGAGCAATAGATCTATGGCCATATCTCTGTAGGTAAGCTGGCCCTGAGATATACATTCTATATATATTTAAATAATAATAAAATTTCTTTATTTTTACAGATAAAGGAAACCAGGAAAGCAATGAGAGATTCTGACAGTGGACTAGAAAAAATGGCTATTGGTCATCATATCCATGACCGAGCTCATGTCATTAAAAAGTCAAAGAACAAGAAGACTGGAGATGAAGAGGTCAACCAGGAGTTCATCAATATGAATGAAAGTAAGTTATCACAAAAAAATAATATTCTTTCTTATAAATTTAAAATAACAGCCGTACTTGATGAATTTTTTTTTAGAAACATGTCATAAGATGTAGTTTTTGAATAATGCATGTAGAGAATACCTTGTGAAAGTAATAGGATTGTGTTTTCATCCTTTCATAGGAGAGCTCTTTTTTATAGTGATTTTTGGCAATATGGGATATTACTTATTTTTATTTTATCCTTGGAAAGTGGAATCTTTTGAATTGTTATTTAGTAATATCATTAGGCAAAATGTGTCTTTAAATATTTTTTCTGATTATCAAGAAAGTACATTTGAAAAGTATAAAGACAAAAATAATCCATAATCCAAACTCAAAATACTAGTAATATTTTAATGTATTTCTTCCTAATCATTTTATATATATAAACACTTTTTTCTCAAATTATTATTCTACTTTTATATAGTTTATATTGTGCTTATTTTAATTTACCATTATAATTGTAAAGTTACTTATGATGCTATTTTTCAAAAGCATTTTAAGTGGTTACCTTAAAGTTTTATTGTAAATAAGCCATAATTTTTACTTAAATCATTCTGTACTGTTCAGTAGTACTTAGGCTTTTGTATAGACAAGATTTTAATTTCTGTTATATGTTAGATTACATGTATGTCTCTCTCTCTCAAGTAAATCTTTTCTTTTTCTGGATTTTGTATTTATTCTTCAATGCATTTACATCCTTCTAGTGTCCTAACTCTTCTCCCTGTAGTTTTTAATTATATTACAATTTATTAACAAATTTAATCATTAAATTTAAATTATTTTTATTAATTTTTAAATCAATATTAAGCTTTTATATTTAATTGTATTAATTCAATAATGAAATTATATTAAAATTTAGTTGGATTCATCTCCTAGTTTCAGAAAGTATTTTGAATAATGTTTTTCCATAATAGAGTGTTTAAATTTTAAATTGTTGTATTAAAAAAGAAATTCTGGCCGGGCACGGTGGCTCATGCCTGTAATCCCAGCACTTTGAGAGGCCGAGGCAGGTAGATCATGGGGTCATAAGTTCGAGACCAGCCTGGCCAACATGGTGAAACCCCATCTCTACTAAAAATACAAAAATCAGGGCCCGGCACAGTGACTCACGCCTGTAATCCTGGCACTTTGGGAGGCCAAGGCGGGCAGATCACGAGGTCAGGAGTTCAAGACCAGCCTGACCAACATGGTGAAACCCCGTCTCTACTAAAAATACAAAAATTAGCCGGGCATGGTGGTGCACGTGCCTGTAATCCCAGCTACTCGTGGGGCTGAAGCAGGAGAATCGCTTGAACCCAGGAGGCGGAGGTTGCAGTGAGCCAAGATCGAGCCCTTGCACTCCAGCCTGGGCGACAGAGCGAGACTCTGTCTCAAAAAAATAAATAAATAAAATAAATAAAAATACAAAAATCAGCTGGGCATGGTGGCCCGCGCCTGTAATCCCAGCTACTTGGGAGGCTGAGACAGGAGAATCTCTTGAACCCGGAAGGCAGAGGTTGCAGTGAGCCAAGATCACGCATTGCACTCCAGCCTGGGCAAAAGAGCAAGACTGTGTTGGGTGGAGGGGAGGAAGAAATTCTATTAACATTGGGGTTTGATAAAATTATTCTTTTTTTTTTTTTTTTTTTTGAGACGGAGTCTCGCTCTGTTGTCCAGGCTGGAGTGCAGTGGTGCAGTGGTGTGATCTCGGCTCACTGCAAGCTCCGCCTCCCAGGTTCACGCCATTCTCCTGCCACAGCCTCCTGAGTAGCTGGGACTACAGGTGCCCGCCACCATGCCTGGCTAATTTTTTCTATTTTTAGTAGAGACGTGGTTTCACCATGTTAGCCAGGATGGTCTTGATCTCCTGACCTTGTGATCCGCCCACCTCAGCCTCCCAAAGTGCCGGGATTACAGGCGTGAGCCACCACACCTGGCTGGGGTTTGATAAAATTATTCTTATGCAGTAAGATAGAAGCCATGATATTGTGACCTGTGTTTATTTGTAACCTCTGTAATTTTATCACATTTATATATATACTGAGTATTTCACAATAATCAACATTTTGATGAAAAATTGAGTGAAGGAACATAATATTTTAAAGCAGTCTTAAGAAGTACTATCATGTCTCTATTGTTGCTATTATGGAAGTTAGATTACTTCATAACAACATGAATTGACATTCTAGCTGAGTAACCTGTCTTAGGAAATTGACAACAGAAACTTGTGAGGTCAAGTTACACAGAAAGATGGTTAGGTGAATAGAAGTGCTAGCCACAGAAGTATACACTATACAGGAAGAGTATATTCACTGTGAGATGACCCAGGAAGAAAAACTGTTAGTTAATATAATTAGGTCAGCTGGTCCATTGGGTAGAATAATATGTTATCCAGGCAGTTGAAAAAATAGATCATCAATAACTAGATCATCAGTAGGAATAGGAGAGGAACAGACAGGAAAACAAATACTACTTTTGTCAAAGACCCTTATATTTGAAGCAGCTTCCTGCCTCTGTATTGAGGTTACACTAATGAAAACACCAGACTAGACTGAAATATGTGGGAGCAAGGCAGTTACTGACAGTTGATACCTTAATACTTATTCCCATTATTTTTCTGTTTGACATAGGTGATGCTCATGCTTTTGATGAGGAGTGGCAAAGTGAGGTTTTGAAGTACAAACCAGGACGACACAATCTAGGAAACACTAGAATGAGAAGTGTTGGCCATGAGAATCCTGGCTCCCGAGAACTTAAAAGAAGGTAAAAGTTGTTTCTAAAATAGTTTGGTTTTTTAAGAAGAATTTGAAGTAAAGTTATGTAATTTACTTCTGTTATCAGAAAGTTTTGATGATCATCCAAATTGTATCCACAGTATCTTTTGTGAAAGATGTAATAATTTTATATGAAAGCTGATTATTCCACACAAATTTAAATTTATATCTAAAAATCAATAATAGTTTAGGATTTTATGGTTAGTAATTCACTAGTAAACTATGCCTCAGAAGACAGAGACCAAAATCCTCTTAAGGAAAACTGATATCCTGTAGTGTAGTTATTCTTGTAAAACACATTGTAATATGGATATAGATAGAGTCATACATTTCACACTGGTAAAGATATCTAGAGATATGATAAGGGGAGAGGGGCTCTATTTGGAAGACTTAACAACTTTCTTAACAAATCAAAATTTAGCATTTAATAGTAAATTTCAGACACTTGTATAATATGTAACAGTACATGCAATACCATATTCGATGTGTATTAGATATTTTGGAAGAATTTTGCAAGAACATTAGCTTCTTTTAGAATTCCCTTTTAGAATAGCTGAGAAAAATAAATTTGCTGAAACCACATATTAAAGATTATAGAGATTTCTGTCTGGACATGGTGGCTCATACCTGTAATCCCAGCACTTCCGGAGGCCGAGGCAGGTGGATCAGTTGCGGTCAGGAGTTCGATACCAGCCTGGCCAACATGGTGAAACCCCGTCTCTACTAAAAATACAAAAATTAGCTAGGTGTGGTAGCACACACCCTGTAATCCCAGCTACTTGGGAGGCTAAGGCAGGAGAATTGCTTGAACCTGGGAGGCAGAGGTTGTGGTGAGCCAAAATCACACCACTGCACTACAGCCTGAGTGACAGAGCAAGACTCCATCTCAAAAATAAATAAATAAATATTATAGAGTTTTTAAATACATTTTGTACATACTCTGGAGCTACAGTTTAATGTGGTTCTCAGAGGAATAAATGGATAATAATATCTAATTCCTATGAAGTTACACTCAAAGGCCTCACCAGACCTTAAATAGAAATCTGTTCTAAGCTATAAGAAAGTGGAAAATTGCTACAGAAGGTGGAAGCCTTCACAGAACTAGCAGTGGACAAGTGAGTATCAAGTAAATCAGAAGCCTTATGCAGAATTTCATATGCTAGGATCTTTTCTTCTAAAATACTTGTTTAGGAATTTAGAGCCCTAGTATTTTCTATTGAATTGCTTGAAAACTTGCTCCCATATTCATTATAGATATTTGTCTCATTTGAAAAATGTATTGATTAAAAACCTGGCAGTGCCAAGTTTGAATAGGAAATCCAGGTCGCACTTAGAGAAGGCATGCTCTTTATGGATGACCTATAAATTTCTGGCCCTAACAGTGGCATTTTCTCTTAACCGGCACTGTCCAATGGCATTTTCTGAAATGACTTCGGTAATGACAAAAATGCTATATATCTATTCTGTCCAGTGTAGTAATCACTAGCCACATGTGGCTGTTGATTCACATTTGAAGCATTGCTGGTACAACTGAAGAACTGAATTATTTTATTTTAATTCAAATATAAATGTGGTTAGTGACTACCATACTGTTAACATTAAACAGTGTTTAAACTATAAACAGTTAAATCTAACAGGAAAACAGCTGTTGCTGTCTTAAATTCACTGAAATAGTCTGCCTTATTTTCTGGTTTTTTTTGTTTTTTATTTTTTGTTTTAGGGCAGGGGGTACAGAGTCTGGCTCTGTCGCCAGGCTGGAGTGCAGTGGCGCGATCTCAACTCACTGCAACCTCCACCTCCCAGGTTCAGGCAATCCTCCTGCTTCAGCCTCCTGAGTAGCTGGGACTACAGGCGCGCATCACCACGCCCAGCTAATCTTTGTATTTTTAGTAGAGATGGGGTTTCATCATGTTGGCCAGGATGGTCTCGATCTCTTAACTTGTGATCTGCCTGCCTCAGCCTCCCAAAGTGCCGGGATTACAGGCATGAGCCACCGCACCTGGCCAGCCTTGTTTTTCAAAGCCATTAAGGAATTTTTAAGATAAAACTTTTCTTATATTACAGTGGTTTTTAACATGTTTGTATTGATTTATAAACCATTGGCCATTTTTTAAATGATATTAATATTCACATGTATATTTCTCAGGGAGAAACCTCAACAAAGTCCAGCCATTGAACATGGAAGGAGATCAAATGTTTTGGGGGACAAACTCCACATCAAAGGCTCATCTGTGAAAAGCAACAAAAAATAAATAGCCATGCATTTGATTTGTTTAGTTTTGATTGTTTTAACAGTTAGTAATGGTGCTGGGTAATAAGCATAAGACCAATCTCTTGCTGTTAAATCAGTTCTGTCCTTGGCAACTTTCTTCTGATATCTGAATGTTCATGAAGGTCCTAGCTTTATATTGTCCCTCTTTTAGGAATAAAATTTTGATTTTCAACAATGTGAGTAAATTGAGTCTATTTAATGTAAAACTCTTTAAAACATACTAATTTTTTAAAGCTTATATGCTTATTTCGCTTCCCCAGTTGTTTTTGTGTTGGCTAAATATTCTTTTATATTTATCAAGATTGATTGCAGAGCAGTTCTATCACTTATAATTAGTTATAAGAAATTATAATGTTAAAAAAGTCTCAGTTTTTACTAACACTGTACTAGGGTGATATTAATAAAGGTTTAAATAATTTATCTCTAATTTTATAATGTGTTGTAAAGCCAACTAGCTTAAAACTTTAAAAATAATAAAGCAAAACTACACTAGTACTCTTTTATGAGAAAATAGTTACTATTTTGATAAAGGGCAAGGATAATCAAATAGTTCATTTTCAGAGAAAAATATTTTAAATTGCTAATGTACATGATTGTTTTGGTTATAATTTATTTATAGAATGTATCTTTTCTATATTACATTCTTAATATTCACCAGATATTATATTGACCATTCTCTTTAACTTCTTAATGTGGCATATTTCTACTCTCCTTTCCCACAAACAGCTTCATCTGTCTCCAAGGTTAACATTCTGAAGCTGGAGAGTCCTTGGAGAAACTCTGCTCAGCTTTTTTGTGACATTTAGAAAAATGCATTTGGTATTCTCCAAACCAGAATGATACATTGTCTCAAAATCTGTTAGACAGCTGATGGGTGTTTTTGAGCAACGTCTTAATAATTCAGTTGTTTCTGTTTTAATTATACCATTAAAAATCAGCTTTAGCTTTTTAATTCTAGAATTTAAGCATCAGTCTGTTCTTATAAAAGTTAGGTTTGAAGTTTATAAGAATATAAAATCTTAACTCACATTTGTTGTTTAATATTTCTGTCAAGGAAAAAAGCCCCCAAAAATTGCTATCACTCTATAATCCTAAGTATTTTTCTTTTCAATTTTGTAAGTAAAATTATATGACTATGTTCATACTTCTCTAATTTTTTATATAATATTTTTGTTAATTTTACTAGTTTGTGTTTTATGCCTTTAGTCATTAAAATAAAATGCAAATGTGTTAATTCATTGTTGAAATTGAGCATGTATTAGTTAAAAATTTCCTTTTAGGCATACTTTAGTATACTCCTAACATACCATAACACATTGGGAAATTGTCATAAGGCACACATTTTAAATAACATCTTGATATAAATTAACCTGATAGAGCAAAGTCTTAATAAAGTACATACTTGATTTTCCTTTTGCCTAAATCATTACACTGATGATAACTTGAATCATTGTAGTCAAATCTAAAAACACCCTTTAATAAATAATTGTGTTTAACAGTATAATTCCTGTACATCAGATTGCAGTTAGAGATTGTGGTGAGGCAGAATTTGAGATGGTAGTACCGAGAAAAGTTCTGTTTCTTTCTTAAAAGTCAACTCTATCTTTGCACCATAAAAACATAACTATCGATATCTATACCCCAGAATAATATTTGTTTGCAACAACTTCTTATGATGGGTGTTTAATACTGTTAGTCTGTAAATTGAAACTATTTAAAACTATATACATGCCGGGCGCAGTGGCTCATGCCTGTAATCCCAGCACTTTGGGAGGCTGCGGCAAGTGGATTGCTTGAGGTCACTTCAAGACCAGCCTGACCAACATGGCAAAACCCTGTCTCTACTAAATATACAAAAATTCAGCGGGTGTGGTGGCGGGCACCTATAATCCCAGCTACTCAGGAGGCTGAGGCAGGAGAATTGCTGGAACCTGGGAGGCGGAGGTTGCAGTGAGCCGAGGTCGCATCTCTGCACTCCAGCCTGGGCAACAGAGCAGGAGTCCATCTCAAAAAAAAAAAAAAAAAAAAAAAAACCTATATACACATACTAGGTAGGATGGTTTATTTTTAAGATTAATATTTTATTTCCACTCCTTTTATGAGCCAATGAATTATTTTATGTGAGTTCATGAGGTTTTTTAATAAAATAAATAGAAATTAAAAGCTTGTTTTTCATCTGTATATTCATTATTGTTAATTTCATGAGAATGACATTTGTTTTTATTCTTGGAAGTCTTCAACAGGAAGAACTATATTTTTTCTTTTCACTGTGCTCTGTTACAGGGTGTTTTAAAGTGATGTACCTTGCAGTGAGCGGAGATCGCGCCATTGCACTCCAGCCCATCTCAAAAAAAAAAAACAGAGTCTGAAAAGTCAATGTGTGTAGATCTATGAAATTACTTTCCACGTAATTTGCTAATTGTAAAAAAAAAAATTCCAGACTTATAAAACATTAATGGCTAATCTTTTGGGAAATGTTAATCCTAGAATTAAAATAAGGAACAATAGATATAAATTGGAAGAAGATAATCAGAATTAAAATTTTCTAAGGTCCTTGTATTCTTAAGGTTCAAAGTAAAAATAAATGATTAACTGATGACTGTTAAGAATGCTTGTCAAAATAAGGTAGCCACTAAAAGAATAGACAATAGAGTGTATACCTTTGAAGGAGATAAAATGAATTCAATCTCAAGGCAAGAAATGAGGAAAAGGTAAATACAAAACATAAAAAATTGATGAGAAATAAATGCAAATATGTATATAATTAGTGACAAAAAGATTAAAAAGCAAACATTGTCAGTTCAAATTTTTAAAAAATCTAGCACTATACTGTTTCCAAAAGTCATATTCAAAAGACATTAAAAGGTTGACAGATGATGGAAAAGATACAATGGCAAATATTAGCCATAAGAAAGTTAGTATATCTATATTATAATAAAACATTTAAGGCAAAAAGTGACTACTAGATTATAAAGGGGGACCCTGCTAAAAAAAGATTTGATTGATCAGGAAGATACATCAATTCTAAGCCAATTATACCTAATAACGTAGCATTAAAATATATGAAGCGATATTTGAGAGAAGAGACTTCTGGTTCTAAACAAATGGAGCATACATATTTTTTCTTATTCTTCCCACTAAGTACAGCTAAAAACTCTGGAAATAATTCTTAAACATTAGAGAAGAGAAAAAGACTAGCTAGGGACTTTGGTACTTGAAGAATGTTATGGTGTGAAAGGAGTGGAAATAAAATATTAATCTGAAAAATATACAACATGTTACATTGTGTATATAGTCTTAAAATGGTTTATAGACTATCATAAACTGATACATACAAATATGATTGTGGGATATAGACATTAATAATCCTTTTTCTATGGTGCATAGAGTTAATTTTTAAGAAAAAAACGACTTTTCATAATACTCCAGCCTCAAATTTTGCCTCACCAGAATCAGTGTGTTTTCAAGAACTGGAACTTTCTCAGGTTGTTTTCATTTTTTAAAATGATCGACTTTACTATTTGATTACATTTATTATGGAAAATGTAAATATGCAGAAGAATGCTAAAATAGAAAGTACCCATTATCCCATCATCCCCCAAACAACAAAAGATAATGTGTATTCATTTCTAGTCCTTTTATGTGGATATATAGAATTTTAAAAACAAAATACTGTAAAATTATATCCTGATTTTTCACATTTTGGAGTAACCATTTCTTGAGGACAATATTCTTTGAAAACATGATCTTCAGTTTCATTGTTTACATCAGAGTCTAATTATAGCTGTACCATACTTTACCTCCAAATATTTGGTATTTCAGATTGTTTTAAATTTTTGCTATTGTAAATTTGTATGAATATAATTTTTATACATAACTGTATTGCTGATAATTTGTTTAAGATAAATTATGGGAACAGAGTTACCAATTCAAAGAGTATAGCTATTTTTAAATTTTTGATACATTTTACTAAATTACAGAAAGATTGTACTTATTTATAGTCATACCAATGAATGTCCCGGAAATGTCCATTTTTTTCATATCCCTTGCCCAAAGAGAATGGTGGAGGTTACCTCTCAAACTTTTATTATTACAAATTTTAATAGAGGTAAAATATTACCTCCTTATCTTAATTTTGCACTTTTTCTCTGATAATTAATGAAGTATGATCTTTTTCCATATGTTTACAGCTGATTTGCTTTGCTTTTCTGTATATTTTAAGCAGCGTAGGTCTTGTAGGAGCTTCCAATGTAAGCCATTACTTGTCATATCATTAGTTCTTCCTAAATGAGCAAGACATGAAACTACATGTATTTATCACATTATTTCAAGTTAAGTATCCCAATGTGACTGAAATTATAATCTTTTCTCCTGGGCAGCCATGTTATTTTAATGTCTTGTAATCTAACAAAATTGGCTCTTATTCTTCACGTAATAAAGAGGTTTTGAATATTCCATGAACCCTATATGTGATATGATAAGTGAAGAGTAAGTTTAAGATCTTATTTGCATTTTCTGTCAGGGTCTTCAAAACTCTATTAACTGCATATTCATGCTCCTTGTAGCAATCACTGTCTGTAGCCATGGCAATGCTGGTATAGTAAATTCCAGCTTATTACCTCTAGAATTCCACCTCTGGAATTGTAGTCGTATAATATCCACCCCTTCAGTATAGAACAAGAATATTTCTGCTCAGGAGCTAAAACAGAGGCCTACATTTGTGTCCGTTGTCCCCTTTGAGTGACATCACAGTCCTAGCTTCTTGGCAGTTGCAGAGAACCTCTTTAGTTTGGGGGCAGCTTGGTTTAGGCTTTGGAATATGGCACAGGAATGACTCCTGTCATAGAAGATCTGAGAACTTGTGATTGTCCTGTCAATGAAGTGATCAATAATGATATCACCAGGCTGAAATTTCTTCTTTTACATATGTATAGGAATCTCCTCCTTCAAAGCCCAGATGTTTGCTTGGGTGGTGACCAAGAGACTACACCTGGCTGGCCAACTACAGGGGATTTAGTTGATAGAGGGGTTGGCTGGCTGTGGTCTGATCCATCTGTGCATTTTCTCTGAGAATGGTCTTCCCATGGGCCGCTCCCAGTCAGTGACTAAGTCCTGCAGGGATAGGTCTGTTCCTGAGAGTTGTTGGACTCTGACATCTGACTTTGGCTCAAGAACTCCCCAGTGGCCTTGCCAAAATTTCTGGAGAGTGAAAGGCAGTATAGGATGCTTTCACCAACTCTTCCTTCCCTCTCTCTTTCACTCGGGATCAAACTTGTATGACTGACTGGTGGCCCTCTCAACCTTACCTAGCTACCTCCATTTTCTCTCTCAGGTGTTTCTCCTAATAAAATCTTTGATCATTTAATCCTTTCTTGGCATCTGCTTCTCAGAGAAACCAGACTAATGCAAGTTAGTAGTTGACTTCGAAAAACAAAATGGTTTTCTGCCTCGCATACTTTGCAAGAAGAATGTAATCAACATTTTATATTTTCTCTAAAATTAAGGCACTGGATAGCTTGCCATATGGATGGCCACATATTTTTCAGTTCTTTCTCTAACGTTTCTGGATCATCCAGGCCCATTCTACCAATTATTTTAATCCAGGGTCATGGTAAGTAACATCTAAGTTACATACAAGAGACAGGAGAGGGTCTTTACCATGCATATGGAGGCTGACACTGGGAGAAGGCTGTGGTCAGAGCACAGGGAAAAATGTGCAAAAAAGTAGACAGCAGTTCAAAATGCAGTGTGGAGGTGAGAAAGGCAGAGTCTAAAGGAGCAAGCTTCTTATGCCCTGGAATAGTTGGATTGTTTTATTGTATTCAAATTCATTTTTTAATTTTGACAGTGTGATGTTTTGATACATGTCATGTATACACCGTGTAATGATCAAGACAGGATAATTAGTATACTTATCCCTCAGATACTTATTGATTCTTTGTGGTGAGAACATTCAAAATCCTCTCTTCTAGTTATTTTGAAATATACAATCCATTATTTGTTAACTGTAGTCATCATACTGTGCAATAATTAGAACTTCTAACTGTAACTTTGTACATTAACCAACCTCTCCCCATTTTCCCATCTTCCCTACTGTCCCTAGCTTCTGGTGACCCACTATTCTACTCTTTTTTTTTTTCTTTTTTGAGATGGAGTCTCACACTGTCTCCGTCAGGAGTGCAGTGGCGCGATCCTGGCTCACTGCAACCTCTGCCTCCAGGGTTCAAGTGATTCTCCTGCCTCAGCCTCTCGAGTAGCTGGGATTACAGGTGCCCGCCATCACGCCCAGCTAATTTTGTATTTTTAGCAGAGACGGGGTTTCACCATGTTAGCCAGGCTGGTCTCAAACTCCTGACCTCAGGTATCTGCCTGCCTTGGCCTCTCAAAGTGTTGGGATTACAGGGGTGGGCACCGTGCCCCACCTACTATTCTACTCTTTATGAGATCAACTTTTTTAGATTCCATATATGAATGAGATCATGTAGTATCAAATTCATCATTTTAAATATTCTTCTGTATCATCAATTTTTAAAATATTTTCCCACAATACTTTTGCTCACCATCCACTTTTTGTACCCCAGACCGTCCATCTGAGATCTTTTTTTTTTCCTTCCTGAACTATATTTGTTTTTTGTTTTCTTGAGAGTCCCAGCCTCTGGAGTAGCTGGGACTACAGGGAAGTGCCACCATGCCTGGCTAATTTTTTAGGCATTTTTGTAGAGGCAAGGTCTCACTATGTTGCCCAAGCTGGTTTCGAACTCCTGGACTCAAGCAGTACTCCTACCTCAGCCTCCCATAGTGCTGGGACTACAGGCGTGAGCCACTGTGTCTGGCCTGAACTATATTCTTTGGAAGTTCATTGAGAAAGGGTATATACCTAAAGGATTATAAAACATGCTGCTATAAAGACATATGCACACGTATGTTTATCGCGGCACTATTCACAATAGCAAAGACTTGGAACCAACCCAAATGTCCAACAACGATAGACTGGATTAAGAAAATGTGGCACATATACAGCATGGAATACTATGCAGCCATAAAAAATGATGAGTTCATGTCCTTTGTAGGGACATGAATGAAGCTGGAAACTATCATTCTCAGCAAACTATCGCAAGGACAAAAAACCAAACACAGCATGTTCTTACTCATAGGTGGGAATTGAACAATGAGAACACATGGACACAGGAAGGGGAACATCACACACCGGGGCCTGTTGTGGGGTGGGGGGAGGGGGAGAGGGATAGCATTAGGAGATATACCTAATGTTAAACGACGAGTTAATGGGTGCAGCACACCAACATGGCACATGTATACATATGTAACAAACCTGCATATTGTGCACACGTACCCTAAAACTTAAAGTATAATAAAAAAAAAGACTATTTTCACAGTTAAATTGAACCAGGTTTGAAGTGGAGATTATCTGAAATTGTTGTTATTTAACCCACTAATTGAGCAAAACTGTTGGTAATGGAATTGTAATTTTACAATTGTTTTCTCCCAAATAATACTAAATAGAGTACTTCCTTGGTGTTTAGATTTCACTGTTGCTCATGAAAAAATATGCAACCAGTATGATGGTGTTCCTCCTTAGAGGATTTATCTTTTTATTTCTGGCAGCTTTGCTGATACTTTTTTTTTTTTTTTTTTTGAGATAGAGTCTCGCAATGGTGCAATCTTGGCTCACCACAACCTCTGCCTCCTGGGTTGAAGCAACTCTCCTGCCTCAGCCTCCCGAGTAACTGGGATTACAGACATGTGCCACCACGCCTGGCTAATTTTGTTTTTTAGGAGAGATGGGGTTTCTCCATGTTGGTCAGGCTGGTCTCAAACTCCAGACCTCAGGTGATCTGCCCACCTGGGCCTCCGAAAGTGCTGGGATTACAGGCATGAGCCACCATGCCCAGCCGCTTTGCTGATTTTTTAACTTGTCTTTGATACTCTTCACTTTTTTTAAAATTGGGATATATTTAGGTGTGGATTTATTTATCATACTTAGGAGTCATTAAGGTTACTGGGTTTGAGACTTGATGTCTTACCAATTCTGGAAAATTATCAACCATTATTGCTTTGAATAGGGCTTCTTTCTAATTCTGTTATCTATTTTTGGAACTCCCAAAAGATATCTGTTAGATCTTCCCACATTATCTGCATCTTAGTTCAGGCTGCTATAACAAATTATATAGTCTGGATGGCTTAAATGACAAACATGTATTTGTCATTGTTCTGGCAACTGGAAGTCTGAGATCAGGATGCCATCACGGTTGGGTTCCGGTGAGGGCCCTCTTTCAGGTTGCAGATTGCCGACTTCTTCTATCTTCACATAGTGGAAGGAGCACTAGAGAACTCTCTCTGGCCCCTCTTATAAGGGCATTAATATTCATGAGGGCTCCACCCTTATTAACTAATTAGCTCCCACAGATCCACCTGCTAGTACCATTATATTGGGGGTTAGGATTTCAACATACGAATTTCGGAGGGGAGGTGAGGAGCAAACATTCAGTCCATAACATCCTCCATGTCTTTTAATCTTTTCATATTTCCTACCTCTGTCTTTTCAGGCTGCATTTGGGATAGTTTCTTTAGCTCTACCTATCACTAAAGTGATATTCTCTCTTTAGCTCTGTTTATTCCTATTTTTAACCCTTCTGCTATGTCATTAATGTCAGTTATTTTTCATTTCTACAAGTTCTATTTGGTCCTTTTTCAATTTTGCTTGGTATCTATAGTCTCTTGTTTCCTGCTCAAATTTTCATTTTGCTCTTTTATTACTCTTAACATATGCATAATATTTTCTGTGTCAAATAATTCTAATTATTTGAAGACTATTTCTATGTTTGTTGTTTCTACCGGTTTTACTCATGTTGCTTGTTTCCCTGTGTTTTGTAGTTTTTTATTTATTTATTTATTTATTTATTTTTTTTTTTTTTTGAGACAGAGTTTTTCTCTTGTCACCGAGGCTGGAGTGCAGTGGCACGATCTTGGCTCACTGCAACCTCCACCTCCTGGGTTTAAGCAATTCTCCTGCCTCAGCCTCCTGAGTAGCTGGAATTACAGGCACCCGCCACCACACCCAGCTAATTTTTGTATTTTTGGCAGAGATGGGGTTTCACCATGTTGGTCAAGCTGGTCTGGAACTCCTGACCTCAGGTGATCTGCCCACCCAAACCCCCAAAGTGCTGGGATTACAGGCGTGAGCTACCATGCCCGGCCTGTAATTTTTTTCTATGAACTCATTTTTTTTTTCCCTTGGACTTTTTATCTGTGGGAATCCTTTTTTTTTTTTTTTAATTTTTTGTCACCCAGACTGGAGTGCAATGATGCAATCTCTGCTCACTGCAACCTCTACCTCCTGGATTTAAGTGATTCTCCTGCCTCAGCCTCTGAGTAGCTGAGACTAGAGGTGCCACCATGCCTGGCTATTTTTTTTTTTTTTTGGCATTTTTTTGTAGAGACAGGGTTTTGCCATGTTGCCCAGACTGGTCTCGAACTCCTGGGCTCCAGTGTTCCACCCGCCTCAGCCTCCCAAAGTGTTAGAATTACAGGCATGAGCCACTGCACCCAGCCAAGAATTATTTCGTCCTGTATTGAAGGTTTTTTTTTTTTTCTCTCTCTCTCTCTCAAAAAGGATTCCTATGTTGTTCTTCTAGCTGCAGTTGCTTGGGGATAGCAATTGGTCAATATGGATAATCTTAAATTCAATTATCTGCATCCTCTCCAGCATTTGTTACTGTTTGTCTTTTTTAATAATAGCCATCTTAACAGGGGTGAAATGATACTTTATTGTGGTTTTGATTTGCATTTCCCTCATGATGGGTGATGTTGAACATTTTTTTTTCAAATATTTTTTGGCCATTTGCATGTTGTCTTTTGAGAAATGTTTGTTCAGATTATTTGTCCATTTAAAAATCAGATTGTTTGGGTTTTTTGCTGTTAAAATGTTTGAGTTCCTTATGTATTTGGGATGTTAATCCCTTGTCAGAGAAGCAGTTTGCAAACATTTTCTCCTATTTTGTACATTTTCTTTTCACTCTCTGTTTGATTTGTTGTGCAGAAAATTTTTTAGTTAGATATAATCCCATTTGTTTACTTTTGTTTTTGTTGTCTGTGCTTTTAATGTTTCATTCATAAAATCTTTTCCCATACCAATGTCCTGAAATGTCTCCCCTATGTTTTTTTCTATTAATAATAGTTTTATCATTTAGGTCTTACATTTAAGTCTTTCATCTGTTTTGAGTTGATTTCTAAGGTAAGAGGTGGGGGTCTAGTTTGATTCTTCTGCATATGGATATCCGGTTTTCCCAGTACCATTTGTTGAAGAGACTGTTCTTTTCCCAGTGATTATTCTTGGCAGCTTTGTCAAAAATCAGTTGGCTGTGAGTATGTGGATTAATTTCTGGATTCTCTATTCTATTTCAGTAGTCTATATGTCTATTTTTATGCCAGTGTCATGCTGTTTTTGTTACTACAGCTTGTAGCATAATTTGAGGTCTGGTAGTTTGGCACCTCCAGCTTTATTCTTTTTTCCTCAGAATTGCTTTGGCTGTTCAGGGTCTTTTCTAGTTCCACAAGGAATTTTAGAATTTTTTTTTCTATTTTTGTTAAGAATGTCATTGGTATTTTAATAAGAATTGCATTGAATCTGTAGGTTACTTTGGGTAGTATTGTCATTTGAACAATATTAATACTTCCAATCCATAAGCATGGGATGTTTTTTCATTCGTTTGTACCCTCTAATTTTTTTCATCATTGTTTTATAGCTTTCCCTATAGAGGGCTATTATTCCCTTGGTTAAATTTATTCCTAGGCATTTATCTTATTTTTTATAGCTAAATGGGGTTGCCTTCTTGATTTCTTTTCAGCTAGCGCACCGTTCATGAATAGAAATGCTACTGATTTTTGTATATTAACTTTGTATCCTACAAGTTTACCAAATTCCTCTATTAGTTTTAACAGTTTTTTGGTAGAGTCTTTAGGTTTTCTGTATATATAAGATTATGTCATCTGCTAACAGGACAATTTGATGCCCTCCTTTCCAATTGCATGCCCTTTATTTCTTCCTCTTGCCTAATTACTCCACCTGGGACATCCAGTACTATGTTGAGTAAGAGTGGTAAGGCTGAGAATCCTTGTTTTTGTATCAGTTCTTAGAGGAAAAGATTTGAGCTTTTCCCCATTCAGTAAGATGTTAGCTATGGGTTTTTTTTATGTAGCCATTATTACATTAAAGTTATTTCCTTCTATACCCAATTTATTAAAAGTTTTTATCATGCAGGGATGTTGAAGTTTTCATCAAAAGCTTTTTCTGCATCTATTTTGATGATCATGGTTTTTGTCCTTCATTCTGTTGAAGTGATATATGGCATTTATTAATTTGCAAATGTTGAACCATTCTTGCATTTTTATATAAATCCCACTTCATTATGTTGTATTATCTTTTTGATGTGTTGCCAGATTTGGCTTGCTAATAGTTATGTGGAAGATTTTTGTGTCTATGTTCATGAAGGATATTGGCCTTCACTCTTTTGTGTGCCCTTGTCTGGTTTGGTATCAGAGTTATGCTGGCCTTGTAGAATGAGTTAGAATGAGTTAGAAAACATTGCCTGTGCTTCAATTTTTTTGGAATGGTTTGAGGATAATTTGTATTCATTGTTTTTTAAATGTTCACTAAAATTCAGTGGTGAAGCCATCCAGTCCTGGACTTTTCTTTGTTGGAAGATTTTTTCTTTTCTAACAGATTCAATCTCATTACTTACGATTGGGCTGTAGAAGTTTTCTGTTTCTTCTTGGTTCAATCTTGATAGGTTTTATTTGTCCAGGAATTTAGTCATTTCCTCTACATTTTCAAATTCATTAGTGTATAGTTGTTCACAATAGTCTCTAATGATCCTTTTTATTTATCTGGTATCTGCTTGTGACTTCTTTTTCATTTATGATTTTATTTATTTAGGTCTTCTCTTTTTTTCTAAGTTAGTCTAGCTAATGGTTTATTAATTTTGTTTAACTTTTCCAGGAACAAGCTTTTTGTTTCATTGATCTTCTCTATTATTTTTTAGTCCCAATTTTATTTATTTCTGTTCTAATCTTTATTATTTATTTCCTCCTACGAGTTTTGGGTTTTGTTTGTTATTGCTTCTCTAGTCCCTTAACGTGCATTGTTAGGTGCATTTATTTAAAAATGGTTCATGCTGTTTTTATTAGGGGTTATTGTTTGGAAAATTAAGTCTTCTCTCTCAAAAAATGAAGGTTTTTGCCTTTTTTTTTTTTTTGAAATCCTTGCAAAATGGTTTGGCTGTGTCCCCACCAAAATTTCATCTTACAACAAACAGAACTTGAGGGGAAAAAAGTTGTATGAGCTGAAAATGAATTGAAGGAGAGTGTTACTATTTCATGCCCTTTAAAAAGGGAGAGAAAACTGAAAACAGCAAGACGCAATAAAAGTTGAACTTTGGGTTAAAAAAATTAAAATCTCTTATAATTTATTAAGAGTAAAACAATCCTGGCCGGACGCAGTGGCTCATGTCTGTAATCCCAGCACTTTGGGTGGCCAAGGTGAGTGGATCACGAGGTCAGGAGTTCAAGACCAGCCTGGCCAAGATGGTGAAACCCCGTCTCTACTAAAAATATGAAAATTAGCCAGATGCAGTGGCAGACGCCTGTAATCCCAGCTACTCAGGCAGCTGAGACATGAGAATCACTTCAACCCGGGGGATGGAGGTTGCAATGAGCCAAGATCACACCACTGCACTCCAGCCTGGGCGACAGAGTAAGACTCCATCTCAAAAAAATGAAAATAAGAGTAAAACAATCCTGTAAGAGAATTTCATTGTTCTAATCAATTATTTAGTGTACAAGTGTTTTTTTTTTTTACATCAAGCCCAATCTCTAGAAAGACCATTATAATTTCCCTTTAATTACAGACAACTTGATCATTATATTTGATTGTATACAGCTTGTTTTGTTTTTTTTAATCCTCCTATTGTGACTGACACAGACCATTCATGACATGCTTGGACTTTCTGGTTTGTCCTGAACATCCCTCTTTCTTAAACAATCATTTTATTCAAGGACTAAATTTACCATACAAGATTCTTTCTCATATAAAATTATTTTTCCTTAAGCTTTCTTACCAAAAAAATACCTCTTTATAACTTTCTTTACATCTCTGTTATTTCCTGGTTCCTTTTGCCTTGTTTTATGTATAACAAAGTTATTTAAAAATAAGCTTTGAATTAGGCAAAAATTCTTCACCTTGTTAAAAAGGACACACTTTTTTTGTTTTTAGAAAGTTTTTCTACAGTATGTTTTTATTGGAAAATACCCAAATAATGAAATATCTGTTATTTAACATCACATTAGATTCTAAATTATGATATGTGTGTCTGCAAGTATTTATCCCATTACATTTACCTAATTATTTTAACCATTTTACCTAGATATTTTATGAAAACTGCACTAGTCATCATTTAAAGTTATGGAACCACCATTGCAAAATTATAGCTGAGACAGTGAAAAAGATCTGATCTAACTGACTCCATCTTGTTTCTAACCTCCAAGCTGTCCTTGTTCATTCCTGGGCACAGGCCAAACTAACTTTTGGAATAACTTAATTTATAGTTTAGCTTTGAAACAAAGATGATAACTGTCCTTTGCCAATACAAACCTTACTGCCTGTGGCCAGACTGCCTAAAGCCACAAGATTAGAAGTTATGCTAATCTTACTGAATTCAAGATGTAGCTATTTTCATTAAACCAATATCAATGTCTTATTTATTTAAAATTACACAAGCAAAGATCATTCTATTTTGGACCAAGTTTACAGTTTTGTAACCCCTATCCCAAATTTTGACACCTTATAGTCAAATTTGGCAGGGATAAGTATAAAATTGCTTGATTGATAAATGTAAACAAAAGGGTATACTGGCAAATCTTAAGACATTTCTAATATTACTTTACCAATAATTTTAAAGCTAGTTTATTTATTAAAGATTTTACTTAAGTTACATGAACTTGAAAGAGCATTTAACTTGTCTTCTCTTTTTTCCTGATAAAGTATTTCATTCAAGTGCTTTTATTTTCTTATGCCAATTAATTAGAGCTCTTACATATATTTTCAGTAGTGAAACATTGTGTACACAACACATAAAACATAGATGTATTAGGTATGCCAGTAGAAGTACATCTTATAAATTCATAAAGACCCTTATTTTTCATACCTTAGACTTTCAAATTCTTGATAACCTATTTCACCACCCTAGACAGTTGTCAGCTAAATAGCCCTACATTTGCATATTAAAGGAAACAACTCAGGTGAAAATCAAATAGCAAAATTTATATCATGAGGTACAGACAGAAAAAGTCTGGTGTGCTAGAGGGAAATTAAAATGGGTTTAATTGCCAATTAAACATAAAATTATAGAAATTATGAAGGCCTTTTAAATACACACACACACACACACACACACACACACACACACACACACACACAAAGACCCTAAAGCATTTACTTCTGAACTTTAGCCATGAGATAAATAGAAATTCACCAGTTTGTGAATAAAAAAACTTGTTAGATCCAAACAGTGATTTTAATCTTTGTAGAAAAATAACAGCAGATTTTAAGCATGCGGAAAAGAAAGTAGAAAAAAAGAGAACTTAGGAACTCTACAGTTTGCAGGTCAACCTTAGGGCTCTTTTTCCTTAATGTAAATGTTCACAAATACCATATTACTTCCATTTTATGTAAACTCCGGCAAGTAGAGGTGCCATAAAACCTATGGAATGTTCAAAAGAGGGTCATTCTCCTTGTTTTCTCCTCATTCTTAGATTATTTGTTTGCTCTCCTTGCCCAGGCTGGAGTACAATGGTGCAATCTCGGCTCACTGCAACCTCCACCTCCCGAGTTCAAGCAATTTTCCTGCCTCAGCCCCCCAAATAGCTGGGATTACTGGCATGTGCTACCATGCCTGGCTAATTTTGTATTTTTAGTAGAGACAGGGTTTCTCCATGTTGGTCAGGCTGGTCTCAAACTCCCGACCTCAGGTGATCCTCCCGCCTCAGCCTCCCAAAGTGCTGGGATTATAGGCATGAGCCACCACACCTGGCCCTACTTCTTTTCTTAAAAGGAAGAACTGAGCTGTGGCTTAGGGTTTTTTTGTTGTTGTTGTTGTTGTTTTTGAGATGGAGTTTCATTCTTGTTGTCCAGGCTGGAGTGCAATGGCGCAATCTCAGCTCACCACAACCTCTGCCTCCTGGGTTCAAGTGATTCTCCTGCCTCAGCCTCCTGAGTAGCTGGGATTACAGGCATGCACCATCACGCCTGGTTAATTTTGTATTTTTAGTACAGATGGGGTTTCTCCATGTTTGTCAGGCTGGTCTTGAACTCCTGACCTCAGGTGTTCCACCCGCTTTGGCCTCCCAAAGTGCTGGGATTACAGGTGTGAACCACCATGCCTGGCCCTGGATTAGAGTTTTTGTGCGGTGGATCAATGTATGCTGCTTATGGGCAGGACTCCACAGTGTGTCACCACTGAGTTGTTTCCACCCCTTATATGTCTCAGTTTCTCTCTCCTGAGGTGAGGGCTCAAAATGTTGGGTAATCAGCCCTTATATGCTTTTCCTGGACAAGATTTTTTTTTTGTCTCTGTCACCCAGGCTGGAGTGCAATGGCGTGATCTCAGCTCACTGCAACCTCTGCCTCCCGGGTTCAAGTGATTCCTCTGCCTTACCCTTCCAAATAGCTGGGACTACAGGTGTGCCCCATGACCCCCGACTAATTTTTGGATTTTATTTTATTTTATTTAGTAGAGAAGGAGTTTCACCATATTGGCCAGGCTGGTCTCAAACTCCTGACCTTATGATCCGCCCACCTCAGCCTCCCAAAGTGCTGGGATTACAGGTGTGAGCCACCCTGCCTGGCTGCCTTTTTTTAAATCAATTTTTGTTGGGGATTTCCCTGTAGGGCCACTGCATGTTGTGAGGGGCTGCCGCAGACCCTGGTGGACTAAACAAAGGAGGATGAATGCAGGAATAAAGACAAAGACAAAAGTGTATCTTTGGAAGAAGGGGTCAGGGGGTTCCTTGCTTCTAGTGAACAAGGGCCCTGAGCTTCTAGAGCCCTTCGTATTTATTGAGTAAAAGAGATAGGGAGAAGGGGGTGGTTGTCAGTCAGCTGCTTGACTTAGGGCAGGCCTGCATGACTGCATTCTTTGAACAGTAGGCCCCAGATGTCCCAGTAGATAACCTCAAGGAGCATGGTGCCAGGGAGTGATTGCCCTCAGCATACCTTCTGGCAGCAGGTGCAGATGTGTTTGCCCACATCCTGCATTCATGATAAACAGTTTGCTGTTTGATCATACAGCCTCCAGTGGAATGCTGAGTTGGTCACAACCCTCAGGCTTTCAGCTCCCAACAAGGGGCCAACCCCCTAGATACTCCCAGGAGGCCCCCAGTCACCCAGGGGTGCCTTTTGGCTGGGAGGAGCAAAATGCCCTTTCTCTTCAGAGCTGAGAAAACTCAGCGTCTTGTTTACCTGTGAATTGAACAATAGTTCAGTTCCTCAGGCAAATGTGCACCAAGAAGCCAAATCAAGATTAATGTTCAGAGAAAAAGCAATAGAGAAGACCCTTTAGGATGCATCTCTGGACTAGAATTAGGATTGTTAAACAACTTCCTAGGAGAAAATAAAAAAACAAAAAACAAAAAACAGCCATGACCACTTCCTGTAAACTGTGCTCAACCACCCCAACACTGTAGTTCTTGTCTGCCATTACACATGCCTCTCACAGTACAAGGTAATCTCTGGTACCCCCAGAGCCAAAGAGGTCAGGAAAAAAGAGCTTTAGACCTAAGAAGTGTCTGCCCATGATTCTTGACACTCCACAAAGAAAACAGAACACACCAAAAGGGGTGAGTGGTGGCTTTGTTCTGAATTCTTTAAAGGAGTTCAAGTCATTAGAAGCCTTCTCTAGATTTTTTTTGATACTGCAGATGGCAAAGGGGGAAGGAGGTATTGGGTGAAAGAAAAGTAAATTAAAGAACATTTGGTTTTCAAGACAGGAAGCAAACACGGAAACCAATTGCATCGTATTTTTTGTTTTGTTGTGTTGGGTTTTTTTTCCTCTTGCAGCTGTGAGGAATTTTAGCCAAATTAGAGAGGCTTTGTTACCCATAATCTGGAATTCTCACTCAGATTTAACCAAGTCAGGTAGAGTTGGACAAATCTGATGAGGGGAAGACCAGAACAGACAACAACCAAAAACTCAACAATATGATCACTGAGCACTCTAATGGTAAGGAGAAATTAAGACCGGGTGCTTTTTAAGCTTAGCCAAGTTTAAGTTTAAGTTTTAAGTTTTTAAGTTTAGCCAAGACAAAACCCCAATTCAGCTATTTACCTAGGAACGGGTCTCAGGCTGAAGACTGCTTTACCATCCTACAAGCAGGAAAAAACTCAAACTTGTCTTTCTTGTTAGGAGTAAGCTCAAACTCTGTTAAAGGAGTTACCTGCCTTCCATCATCATGGAAGCAGGAAATCTTGCCTTCCTTGTTGGAAGCAAGTAAAACTCCAAAAATGGGAGTTGCACAGCAAAATAAACTTTAGATTTCGACCAAATTTTGGGAGATTAGGGATTCTCTGGAGGGGGTGTTCCCAGACCTCAGCAAATTGTCCTATTGGTTTGAGCCATAAAATTAGCTCATGCTGGTACCAAGCACTGATCAAAGATTTGTCAAAGATCTGTTGGATATAAAATGCTCCAGGAATAAATGCTTGGTGCAGCAAAGTAAAACCAGCACCCAGGCAAAATTTAGTTCTCTTGGCAAGGCAATTTACTTTTGCAAAAGGGTGCCACTCGCGTCAATCAAGATCGCAAGTGCACAGAGAACAAAGGAGACGAGAGGGTTTTTATCCTTAATGCAGTCCCTATCTCTGTGTCACTCCCCCATGGGCTGAAGTTGGACTGCACAATCTGAGCTGACCCAATTGGCTACTTGTATATATTTTCCTAAATATAGAAGGGGAGGGGGACATGAGGTACAGAGGTGGAGCGGGTGAGACATGCAGTTTCAGGGGAACAGTGGATACAGGTAACCAAAAGAACAGATGTGAGTTATTGATTAGAGCTGATGGGAAGTGGGTAGGCTGTTTACGGTAACTAGGGGCAAGGAAGAACAAGAGAGTTGAGTTTGAGAACAAAGGATAACGAAGTTAACAGGCTAAACCCTTTGAAGAGAAACTCAAAGATTTACTGTATCTTACAATTCCTCCCTTTTAATTTTCTTACGGTTCTTTCTCTTCAAAGTTTTATAACATGTCTTGGCTTTGCTGTTTGATTTTATCTTCTAAAAGGAAAAGCTTACTTGAATAAGGTGGAGGAGAACTAAGGGAGGCTTTAGTAAGTGCTGTTTGTACAATTCTTTGTATTAGCCCATGGATGCATGGTATGACACAACACCTAACGAGAATGAGTATGCCTATTATGACTGCAAGGGAAATAAGGATTGAGACCATGATTCCTTTCTATTTACTGAACTACTTTCCTAGCCATCCTGAAATGGGGTCATTGACTCCAGAATTTTTAGCTAATTCATTGGATAAAGCAGTACGTCTCTCCAAGGCCTTTGTTATGCTCCCATCAGGGGCAGTGTTGTTTGGGATGAAGATACAACATTGGGTTTTAATCATCACACAAACTCCACCTTTTTTTGGCTAATAACATGTCTAGAGCTATTCTGTTTTCCTAAGCCATTTGGCTAGTAGGCCTTAATTGGTCAGCTATTCCTTTGACAGCATCCCTGGTGTAATTAATAAACTGCTGCTGATTATAATAGATGTAATTTATCCAAGCTACATGTTTATTAATAGTTACTCATGGAAATATGGATTCAAATCCTGCAGCTATTTGGTCTCGGGCTTTGAAACTGTCAGACACTCCTGGGGGACTCCAGTGGCATCTGTGTAAACTTGAGAGTCAAAAGACCCATAAGGGGCTTCTCTTATTTTTTGGTGTTGTGGTTTTTCTTTTTCTGGTTGATGAAATGCCAGGGTGAAAGGGATAGCCAATTGGACAAGAGCACAAGTGCTGCTCCAGTTACTTGGCAGAGTATTCAGTAAGGGTCCACTGCAATACCACCATACATATGCTTGAGGATGACTAAGGGGAGACTGATGGGTAAGCTCTTGGAAGGGCTTAAGCTCACTGCATCCTATTAAGCAAATTTTCCCCCTGTTGTGAGAGACATGAGGTGAAATCGATGTTGGGAAACGGAAGCTGGATGGCCCTCAAGGGCTGACCTGCAGGGTGTTGGACTTCAGGATATAGCAGAGAGAGAGCTTGACACGATTTGTTGCCCCAGGCTGTGGAATCCTGGAAAAGAGCTACTATACAGCCTATGCCTGGTTGATTGAAGGACCATCCTAGTGGAAGGGGGACAATCTGTGCCTCTGGGCTGCTGTATGCACAAGCATAACAATTGCTTTTGTTTAATGTGCGGAAGGAATATTGAATCCATTCCAACCAGGCATTTACATCTTGATATCCTGTCTCAATTGTTAGGGTTTGTCTTAAATCTTTTACTTCTAAAATATTTACTTTGACATTGTTAGGTAGGGTAGAAGGTTCGGATGGAGAAGAAGAAGAGGGGTCAATAAAGCATGTTTTAAAGAAGCCTATATGGTCACATCCATTGGCCTCTGCTCCTAAGCCGTACAAGTGTTCTAAAGGGGTCGCAGGGTTGGTGGAGGTAGGGGCATTAATAGAGATCGTTACTGGGTTACAATGGTCAAGTTGACAATTAGAGGGGGTGGTTCCTTTGGTAAGGCAGAGGTAAGATTTTAGGTCAGTACAGCCTTATGGGAAGGTCCTGCCGTGTGCTCTGGTAGTTAGGATGACATCTGCACATTGAGAACATATCTCCTAACTTAGAGTGCCTTGGTACCCCTGCCATGAGCAAGGTGGAGGGTCAATGGCTTCTCTGAAGGAGCAGAGGTATTTTTCTTAAGTAGAGACATATCTTTGCCAGTATTCATCCTTTTGACAAGGCATGCCAAGGCAAGCATCAAAAGTAATGATTTAGGGTGAGTCTGGCCTAGTTACATTGATAACAAGGTCAGCAATATAATGAGGAAAGAAGAAAGGGTAGTAGACTAGATAAAAGAGAGTTAAAGTTTTCTTAACCTTAGTTTGAGGAGGTTTTTCTCTTGGATAATGACCCATGACTTCAGGGATGGTGGTGCTTTCTCGACTTGGGTATGATGGGTCCATCTTTTCTTGCTATTTGGACTATGGTTTCAGTGGTTAGAAGCACTAGGCCGGCTCCTCAGGCTGGTGTCAATGTACTGGAAACTCTAGGGGTGATGCCTGTACTGGAAAATTGTGAGTTCTGAAGGAAGAGAAAGTGGAAGATAAAGCAAGTATTCAGGAATGTTGGATTGCTTTGAGAGGCAGTTTGGATTCTTACTAGGGTAATAGGAAGTCAGAAGACATTTGATTTTTGGCAACAAAGTCTCTAGACTTGTTTGGCTAAGGGTGTAAATTCCTATACAGGTATAAACTTTGACCGTGCTATACATGGCTTGGGGTCTTTAATGGATCCTCTGATGTAGGTGGGATAGGACTGCCTTTATAAAAGGTTTGAATAACATTTCTCTGAGTTCCCTTTAGCACCTACAGGAGAAATGGCAGCTGGTCCAGCTTATCTGATTTGCTAGGTTATTTTCTTGACTCTTGAAAGACAGGCTTTTTGGTGCCTGGGGACATGGACAATAGCTATTTTTTCTTTTCTGGTAACTGAAGGCTATTCAACACTTGGGTGATTAACTCCTCATGAACAAGGCTTTGACTTTTACTATTCATTCAGTCTGAATTTTTCTAAATTTATGAGCCACTGTAAAGGCGTATTTAGAATTAGTATAGATGGTTCTCTCCTGATCTTGCAGATACTTTAAAGCTTGACTAAGTGCAGACAGCTTATAAATTTGGATAGACTACTTATTAAAACACTTTGATTTTATCTCTCTAGGAACTTTTATTAATAACTGAACACTTGTTGTGTTCTTTTTCCCTTAATCACTTTTGAGGGGGGTTTCTTTTAAGTTCTACTGGATGTTTGTATGGTAATCAGTTAAATCTAAACATGTGTGCTTTTAGATTTGGCTCTCTCGTTAAGAAACTTGCTAGGTTAAGCGAATTATCAGTAGTTAATGTTAAACCATCCTTTTTAACAGAATAGCCTCATACTTATACACATATAATTCTTTTCTGGTGGCACATTTTAATATAAAACATAAATATTAATATATAATATATATAAAATAAAACAATATATAATATAAATACATAATATACAACTTAATATAAAACTTAATATATATAATATATAAAATATAAAACTTAATATATAATAGAAAACTTTAAAGGATCAAAGTTCTTTTCTGGTGGATATTTTCACTTTTAACACTGACTTGACCACAATAAATGCTAGTGGATATATCAGCTGAAAGATTATCTACTCAGGAGACTTAGCTGCAGAGATGCCTAGCTGCTTGGAGCCATGGCTGAGGCCTGGTATTACTTGGCCCTGGCAAAAGTAAGGCAGATGTCCCATAATGTAGTCTGCTCAGGGCATAGGCTGGGACCTGGACTGTGTGTCTTGCAGAGCTGCCGTCAATGTGGTGCCGGGACCTTGGACCAGCCAGGGGGCAGGAGCATGGGCTTTGCCTGCCGCTGGGGCGTACTATGGGCTGGATGATGCCGACAACATGTTGCAGCTGATCCTTGATGTTGCTAGCCCGGCAAAAGCCACCGGCGAATTACGAGCTTGGAGTTCTTTTGGGGAGGGGGACTTAGGCTGGGCCTGAGGGAAGGGTTGGGTGTATTAGGTGGGGGACCAGGGGTATTAGGTGGAGGATGGCCTAGGGGATCCCGTGTGCTGTTCTCGTTTGCCAGGATTCCCTGAGCCCCTTCCCTCACTGGTTCTACAGTAGGGGCAGGGGCATAAGGGAAAAGGGAGGACAGGTCTTTGCTTCCAACAAAGAGCATAGACCAGTTTTTCTTGAGAAACTGGGCTTTTATTATTTACATGTTGAATTAAAAGTTGACATAGTATATCCTCAGTCGACCCAAACTTTGGCCAGAAGATTGAGGGATTGAGGTTAGGTCTTTGAGTCCAAATAGAACAGCAATATTTTATCATTTGTTGCTTTTATTTATGTTTAGTTCTTTCATTATCTTCCCAGCCTTTTAGCATGAGACCTAGAGGGTTATCAGGTGGTATATCTTTGAGACCTAAGGGACTATCAAGGGGATATCTTTGTTGCTAACTTCATCTTTTTTGCTTGTAATATTTCCCATACTGGGTCCTGGCTAGGCTCAATCCCTCTTATTAGGAATCTCTTGCCAATTTGGGGAGTTCCTTGTGGCTCAACCCCTCATATTAGCGATCTCTTGCCTATCCTTCAGTGGAAGCTTTGCTAAGGCTTAATTCGCTTATCTCCATCTGCTGGAGGTCCCTTGAACCCTTCTTTTGCTTCGTCTGCTCTGGCCACTTCCCTCTCGGGAATGTTTCAGGTCCCTCTTACCATTGATGGCGGGTCAGTATAAATCCCTGATGGGACCCCCAAAGGGCCGCCCTAAGCCATATGTGGTGACCACGGAATCGTAGATTGGACTCACTCATTCCTCACAGCAGTAGTGCTTGTTACCATTCATGCACTTTCAACCTCCAGAATGCCCCGACCACCCCCTCTGACCACCAAAGAAGTACTTTGTCGCCCCTGTGACGTTTCGTACCTTGGTCTGTGCACAGAGTTTACCTGGTCGCCACGGTATTGCAAGCCTCTCCTCCCCACGTTGCTGAGAGTGTGGGTTTATTCGTCACCAAGGGTGGGTCTCAATCTCACCTCCCTGAGGCCACCGCAGTGGGGCAGTGGGACACGTCTTGCCTGAGTAAGGAAGTTAACAGGCTAAACACTTTGAAGAGAACTCAGAAAGATTTATTGTATCTTACAGATCAGGGTACCTCTGCTCAGATTCCCTTCATGGATACCAAAATGTGAACCCCGAATATCTGAGACAGGTCTCAGTTAATTTACAAGGTTTGTTTTGCCAAGGTTGAGGACATATGCCTGTGACACAGCCTCAGGAGGTCCTAACAACATGTGCCCAAGGTGCTCAGAGCACGGCTTGGTTTTATACGCTCGGAGACATAAGACATCAGTCAACATACGCAAGATGAACATTGGTTCTGTCTGGAAAGGTGGGACAACTCAAAGCAAAAGCAGGACAGCTCAAAGCAGGGAGGGGGCTTCTAGGTCATAGGTTGATAAGAGACAAATGGTTGTATTCTTTTGAGTTTTCGATTAGCCTCTCCAAATGAGGCAATCAGATATGCACTTATCTCAGTGAGCAGAGGGATGACTTTGAGTAGAAGGGGAGGTAGGCTTTGCCCTAAGTAGTTCCTAACTTGACTCTTCCCATTAGCTAAGTGATTTTGGGTCCTCAAGATTTGTTTTCCTTTCACAAAAATGTGTACTCATAAAAATTTAGCTAGACATTTCATAGATTTCTGTGTTCTATTTTTCTCTTTGCAGAAAGCAAAAGTGGACTACTTTGATTAAAAGTGGTGATTAATAACAATAAAAATATACTTGGTACAATAATCATGGAAAAAATGAATATATATACACATAATAATGAATATAAATCTTTACTAAGGAAACAGTTCATTAAAGTGGTAATTTCAATATAGTAGATATACAATCTTATTTAATATAAGATTAGTTATCTGCATACTAAATAAAATATAAAATTAAAAATTAAAAACCTTTATTGTGTATTTACATAATCATGTATTTTAAAATAATACTTATAAAGGTATATAAAGACTAAATTTTTAGAAGTCTAAATAAAAAAGTTTATTTAAAGTATTTGATATGGTTTGGCTGTGTCCCCACCCAAATCTCTTCTTGAATTGTAGCTCCCTTAATTCCCATGTGTTGTGGGAAGGACCTAGTGGGAGGTAATTGAATCATGGGGGTGGGTCTTTCCCATGGTGTTCTCATGATAGTCAATAAGTCTCACCAGATCTGATGATTTTATAAAGAGGAGTTCCCCTGCACAAACTATCTTTTTGCTAGCTGCCATGTAAGACGTCCCTTTGCTCTTCCTTCATCTTCCACCATGATTGTGAGGCTTCCCCAGCCATGTGGAACTGTGAGTCAATTAAAATTCTTTCCTTTCTAAACTACCCAGTCTCGAGTATGTCTTTATTAGCAGCATGAAAACAAACTAATACCGTATTTTTAATGTTAATGGATTCATTCATTAAAGTGACTTAGAAATCCTTTATTGCATATTACTACATGGGATGATATACAAAAAGTAACTTTGAAATTCATCATTGAGCCTCTCATTTTCCTTTTCTTGTCCCTTGTACTTTTTTCAATTTACTTGATCTCATTCATTCATTCATTTAACAAATATTTATTAAACACCTCAAACATGTACGGAGACACAGTAATGAGCAAACAAAACTGTTGTCCTTATGAAACTTATATTCTCACATGGAGAGTCAGACAATACAAAGATATGTATGCAAAATGTCTGAATTTAAGAAGTGCTCTGAAGAAAAATGAATCACAGTGAGAAGATAGAAAGGGAGGGAGGGAGGCCAGGTGTGGTGGCTCACTCCTGTAATCCCAGCACTTTGGAAGGCCAAGGCAGGTGCATCATGAGGTCAGGAGTTCAAGACCAGCCTGGCCAACATGGTGAAACCCTGTCTATACTAAAAATACAAAAATTAGCTGGGAGTGGTGGCAGGCACCTGTAATCCCAGCTACTCAGGAGGCTGAGGCAGAAGAATTACTTGAACCCAGGAGGCAGAGGTTGCAGTGAGCTGAGATCATGCCATTGCACTCCAGCCTGGGTGACAGCGTAGACTCCACCTCCAAAAAAAAAAAAAAAAAAAGTGAGGGAAAAAACCATGCTGATATCTGGGGAAGAGCAAAGGCTCTAGACACATGAGGATCAGCAAGGAGGGTGTATTAGCCAGGGTTCTCTAGAGGGACAGGACTAATAGGATAGATGTAAATATGAAAAGGAGTTTATTAAGGAGTATTGACTCACAAAATCACAAGGTAAAGTCCCACAATAGGCCATCTGCATGCTGAGGAGCAAGGAAGCCAGTCCGAGTCCCAAAACCTCAAAAGTAGGGAAGCCAACAGTGCAGCCTTCAGTCTGTGGTCAAAGGCCCAAGAGCCCTGGCAAACCATTGGTGTAGGTTTGTGAAAGGAAATTAAATTTTGCGACCCCAAACTCATTTAGCCAAAGAGAAAAGTCAAGCTGGGAACTGGGTCATGCAAACCTGCCTCCCCTTTTGGTTCCTAAATAAGATGGCTACTAGATGAAAAGCTACGTGCCTCCCCCATATTTTTCCCACAAGGAAATTCCTAGTGAGCTGTTAAAATTTCTCCATGCAATGCAAGTTGATAGCTTATCTTTACAGGTGCAGTCAACCTGGCCCGCCAGACACAAATGTGTATGTGATTGTCCCCCTACCCCATTTTGGCTGTGTTATCTTAGGTAAAATGCAGATTCCCCACATTTTTCCTCTCCCCCTTTTGTTTATGTAAAAACTGAGTGTTTCTCAATATCCTGGCCTTTCCCCTTTAAATTTGAAACCCTCAAAATCATCTTTGAAGAAAGGCATATATCTGTCTCTCGGGTGCGTTGTTAACTTTGGCAAATAAGTCTCCTAAAATGACTGAGACTAGTCATTTTCCTCGATTGATAGTGTCGAAGAAAAGACTCAAACTCTGTAAAATATTTGGAGAGATTTATTCTCAGCCAAATATGAGTGACCATGGCCCATGACACAGCCCTCAGGAGGTCCTGAGAACATGTTCCCAAGGTGGTCAGGGCACAGCTTGGTTTTATACATTTTAGAGAGACATGAGACATCAATCAAATACATTTAGGAAATACATTGGTGTGGTCCAGAAAGGTGGGACAACTCAAAGCGGGTTGGATGGGGGGCGCTTCCAGGCTGTAGGTGAATTTAAACATTTTCTGGTTGACAATTGGTTGAGTTTGTCTGAAGACCTTGGATTGATAGAAAGGGAATGTTCAGGTTAAGATAAAGATTGTGGAGACCAAAGTTCTTTTGAAGTCTTATAGTGGCTGCCCTTAGAGAAAATAGATGACAAATGTTTCTTATTCAGATCTTAGTTAGTCTCTGAAGGATTGGGAGGGTCTGGAAGAAAAAGATCTAGCTATTTAATACAGATTCTTTACAGATGCAAATTTTTCCCCACAAAGAACAGCTTTGCAGGGCTATTTCAAAATATGGCAAATAAACATGTTGTTGGGTAAAATATTTTTATTTTCTTCCTTGTCTCGTAATGTTATGCCAGGGTCAGGTTAGAAAATAAGTCATGATATACAGAGTTAAATAAAACCCATCTGATGAGAATTTATGGTTTGTAGGGCATAGGGCATTACACCCCAGACCCCTTAGACAGGAATTTGGGCAAGATAAAAAAAATCAGAGTTTAGTCCTCAACAGGTTCAAGAGTCCAAAAGCTGAAGAACTTGGTGTCCTATGTTTGAAGGCAGGAAGAATCCAGGATGGGAGAAAGATGGAGGCCAGAAGACTTAGCCAGTCTAGTCCTCCCACGTTCTTCGGCTTGCTTTTATTCTAGCCACGGTGGCAGCTGATTAGATTGTGCCCACCCAGATTGACGGTGCGTCTGCCTCTCCAAGTCCACTGATTCAAATGTTAATCTCCTTTGGCAGCACCCTCACAGACACACCCAGGAACAATACTTTGCATCCTTCAATCCAATCAAGTTGACACTCAATACTAATCATCACAGAGGCCAATGTGGCTGGAGCAAAAGGGGCAGGGAAGTAGGAATTCCTTGCAATAAGAGCAACAATAAATTCACTGGATGGAGTGTCTTTAGCAGACAAAGGACCTGGTCTGACTTAAAAGGATCCCTTTAGTTACTGTGTTGTGAATTTGAGGCAGGATAAATAAGGTTAGGAGGCCATGCTAAGCAGTTGTACAGGATACCAGCCCACTGCCCAATGGTTACAAGTTCCTGACATCCAATACAGCTGGGAAAGACAACAAAAGCCTTTATTCATATTGTAGCTTCCCCAATTTCCAGCCAATTAGCATCAAAACCCAAGAAGCTATTAGCTACAAATTCCTGCCTTGAGTGAGGGGCAGGGGGAGGGGGACTGGGTGGCTAGAAACTTTTTCAGGTTCCTGCATGTGTAGCTAGGCTCAAGTTTTAGCTTATAATAGTTTTTTCCTTATTTTAATAGTAAAAATCACACTGCTAGGAAGAGATTTTATATGCTAATGATACATGCAATGCCTGTTAGAGCAGTGGTCACCAACCTTTTTGGCACGAAGGACTGGTTTCTTGGAAGACAATTTTTCCAGGGTTAGAGGGTGGGGGGATGGTTTCAAGATGATTCAAGCACATTTGTTGTGTGCTTTATTTCTACAATTTTATCATTTTCATTATATATTACATTGTAATATATAATGAAATAATTATACAACTCACCATAATGTAGAATCAGTGGGAGCCCTGAGTTTGTCTTCCTGCAACTAGACATCCCATCTAGGGGTGATAGGAGACAGTGACACTCAAAGTGTGTTGCTTATGTCCAGTCTACTCCATAATCTCATTTTGGTTGCTGTCACCACAGAAAATGCTACTTCACAAAGATAGGATGTTAGAAATGAAAGCAGGCTTTTCAGTGCTTTTTAGGCAATCTCAGGATATTCTGCCTTGACTTTAATCCAGAATGTATGGAGATTTGAAGTTGTCTCAAACATACTTTTAAGGCCACCGTTATTTGTGATCTCAAACCTTTGATCCTCTTCCAGCATGGACAAAGTTGATTCACAAATAATTTGTTCACAAATGTATCGGGGGAACCAGCCCCCAGTATTTCAATGTAGGTTCTTTCTATTTTCCCTAAGTGTCAGCTGGTCTGAGAAATAAAAAAGAAAGAAAATAAAGAGAGAAATTTTACAGCTGGGCCTCCGGGGGTGTCATCACATATTGGTAGGATCGTGATGGCGACCTCGAGCCGCAAAACCAGCAAGTTTTTATTAGGGATTTTAAAAGGGAAGGGAGTGTATGAACAGGGATTAGGTCACAAGGATCACATGCTTCAAAGGGCCATAAAGATCACAAGGCAAGGCAAAATTAGAATTACTGATGAGGTTCTACGTCCCACTGTGCAGGCATTGTCTTGATGAACATCTTAACAGAAAACAGGGTTCAAGAGCAGACAACCGGTCTGACTAGAATTTACCAGGCTGGAATTTCCCAATCCTAGTAAGCCTGAGGGTGTATTTCAGTCCTTATCTCAACCGCATAAGACAGATACTCCCAGAGCAGCCGTCTATAGGCCTACCCCCAGGAATGCATTCCTTTCCCAGGGTTTCAGTTATTAATGTTCCTTGCTGGGAAAAGAATTCATCGATATTTCTCCTACTCACACATCCGTCTATAGGCTATCTGCAAGAAGAAAAATATGGTTCTATTCTGCCCGACCCCACAAGCAGTCAGACCTTATTGTTATCTTTCCTTGTTCCCTGAAAATCGCTGTTATTCAGTTCTTTTCAGGGTGCACTGATTTCATATTGTTCAAACACACGTTTTACAATTAATTTGTACAGTTAACGCAATCATCACAGGGTCCTGAGGTGACATACATCCTCAGCTTACGAAGATGACAGGATTAAGAGATTAAAGTAAGACAGGCGTTAAGAAATTATAAAAGTATTAATTTTGGGAACTGATACATGTCCATGAAATCTTCACAATTTATGTTCTTCTGCCTCGGCTCCAGCCGGTCCCTCCGTTTGGGGGGACCACAACACAAATGGGTCACAGATACATTCCTTTCCAGTTCAGGGGTCTTTTGTGGTTGGGAAGTAATGCTCAAACTCTTTTGAAAGCTAAGATAGGTGATCATGCACTAGCTGGGAGAGAGAAGGCCCTGGCTTAGTCTCTTTCAAAATCTCTGCTAATATTCGAAACATGTTAAAAATCCCAGTGTTAACTCATCACCCCCATAATTCCAGTTTGATTTTGAATGCAGCCACTTTATCTGCCAACTTGAACACAGTTGTCATTCTCCCTTGAAGTGACAGACTGAGTTCATTGAGCAGGTTAAATATGTCATACGACTGAGCAAATTTTGTGACCCATTCTGTGTCACTGAAATGTGCTGCCACTGGTGACTGTTTTTCTAAAAGAAATCTGTGGAATGGAAGATGGCCGAATAGGAACAGCTCCGGTCTACAGCTCCCAGCGTGAGCGACGCAGAAGACGGGTGATTTCTGCATTTCCATCTGAGGTACCGGGTTCATCTCACTAGGGAGTGCCAGACAGTGGGCGCGGGCCAGTGGGTGTGCGCACCGTGTGCGAGCCGAAGCAGGGCGAGGCATTGCCTCACCTGGGAAGTGCAAGGGGTCAGGGAGTTCCCTTTCCGAGTCAAAGAAAGGGGTGACGGACGCACCTAGAAAATCGGGTCACTCCCACCCGAATACTGCGCTTTTCAGACCGGCTTAAAAAACGGCGCACCACGAGACTATATCCCACACCTGGCTCGGAGGGTCCTACGCCCACGGAATCTCGCTGATTGCTAGCACAGCAGTCTGAGATCAAACTGCAAGGCAGCAGCGAGGCTGGGGGAGGGGAGCCCGCCATTGCCCAGGCTTGCTTAGGTAAACAAAGCAGCGGGGAAGCTCGAACTGGGTGGAGCCCACCACAGCTCAAGGAGGCCTGCCTGCCTCTGTAGGCTCCACCTCTGGGGGCAGGGCACAGACAAACAAAAAGACAGCAGTAACCTCTGCAGACTTAAATGTCCCTGTCTGACAGCTTTGAAGAGAGCAGTGGTTCTCCCAGCACACAGCTGGAGATCTGAGAACGGGCAGACTACCTCCTCAAGTGGGTCCCTGACCCCTGACCCCCGAGCAGCCTAACTGGGAGGCACCCCCCAGCAGGGGCACACTGACACCTCACACGTCAGGGTATTCCAACAGACCTGCAGCTGAGGGTCCTGTCTGTTAGAAGGAAAACTAACAAACAGAAAGGACATCCACACCGAAAACCCATCTGTACATCACCATCATCAAAGACCAAAAGTAGATAAAACCACAAAGATGGGGAAAAAACAGAACAGAAAAACTGGAAACTCTAAAACGCACAGCGCCTCTCCTCCTCCAAAGGAACGCAGTTCCTCACCAGCAACGGAACAAAGCTGGATGGAGAATGACTTTGACGAGCTGAGAGAAGAAGGTTTCAGACGATCAAATTACTCTGAGCTACGGGAGGACATTCAAACCAAAGGCAAAGAAGTTGAAAACTTTGAAAAAAATTTAGAAGAATATATAACTAGAATAACCAATACAGAGAAGTGCTTAAAGGAGCTGATGGAGCTGAAAACCAAGGCTCGAGAACTACGTGAAGAATGCAGAAGCCTCAGGAGCCGATGCGATCAACTGGAAGAAAGGGTATCAGCAATGGAAGATGAAATGAATGAAATGAAGCGAGAAGGGAAGTTTAGAGAAAAAAGAATAAAAAGAAATGAGCAAAGCCTACAAGAAATATGGGACTATGTGAAAAGACCAAATCTACGTCTGATTGGTGTACCTGAAAGTGATGCGGAGAATGGAACCAAGCTGGAAAACACTCTGCAGGATATTATCCAGGAGAACTTCCCCAATCTAGCAAGGCAGGCCAACGTTCAGATTCAGGAAATACAGAGAACGCCACAAAGATACTCCTCGAGAAGAGCAACTCCAAGACACATAATTGTCAGATTCACCAAAGTTGAAATGAAGGAAAAAATGTTAAGGGCAGCCAGAGAGAAAGGTCGGGTTACCCTTAAAGGGAAGCCCATCAGACTAACAGCGGATCTCTCGGCAGAAACCCTACAAGCCAGAAGAGAGTGGGGGCCAATATTCAACATTCTTAAAGAAAAGAATTTTCAACCCAGAATTTCATATCCAGCCAAACTAAGCTTCATAAGTGAAGGAGAAATAAAATACTTTACAGACAAGCAAATGCTGAGAGATTTTGTCACCACCAGGCCTGCCCTAAAAGAGCTCCTGAAGGAAGCGCTAAAGATGGAAAGGAACAACCGGTACCAGCCGCTGCAAAATCATGCCAAAATGTAAAGACCATCGAGACTAGGAAGAAACTGCATCAACTAACGAGCAAAATCACCAGCTAACATCATAATGACAGGATCAAATTCACACATAACAATATTAACTTTAAATGTAAATGGACTAAATTCTCCAATTAAAAGACACAGACTGGCAAGTTGGATAAAGAGTCAAGACCCATCAGTGTGCTGTATTCAGGAAACCCATCTCACATGAGGAGACACACATAGGCTGAAAATAAAAGGATGGAGGAAGATCTACCAAGCAAATGGAAAACAAAAAAAGGCAGGGGTTTCAATCCTAGTCTCTGATAAAACAGACTTTAAACCAACAAAGATCAAAAGAGACAAAGAAGGCCATTACATAATGGTAAAGGGATCAATTCAACAAGAGGAGCTAACTATCCTAAATATATATGCACCCAATACAGGAGCACCCAGATTCATAAAGCAAGTCCTGAGTGACCTACAAAGAGACTCAGACTCCCACACATTAATAATGGGAGACTTTAACACCCCACTGTCAACATTAGACAGATCAACGAGACAGAAAGTCAACAAGGATACCCAGGAATTGAACTCAGCTCTGCACCAAGCAGACCTAATAGACATCTACAGAACTCTCCACCCCAAATCAACAGAATATACGTTTTTTTCAGCACCACACCACACCTATTCCAAAATTGACCACACAGTTGGAAGTAAAGCTCTCCTCAGCAAATGTAAAAGAACAGAAATTATAACAAACTATCTCTCAGACCACAGTGCAATCAAACTAGAACTCAGGATTAAGAATCTCACTCAAAGCCGCTCAACTACATGGAAACTGAACAACCTGCTCCTGAATGACTACTGGGTACATAACGAAATGAAGACAGAAATAAAGATGTTCTTTGAAACCAACGAGAACAAAGACACAACATACCAGAATCTCTGGGACGCATTCAAAGCAGTGTGTAGAGGGAAATTTCTAGCACTAAATGCCCACAAGAGAAAGCAGGAAAGATCCAAAATTGACACCCTAACATCACAATTAAAAGAACTAGAAAAGCAAGAGCAAACACATTCAAAAGCTAGCAGAAGGCAAGAAATAACTAAAATCAGAGCAGAACTGAAGGAAATAGAGACACAAAAAACCCTTCAAAAAATCAATGAATCCAGGAGCTGGTTTTTTGAAAGGATCAACAAAATTGATAGACCGCTAGCAAGACTAATAAAGAAAAAAAGAGAGGAGAATCAAATAGACACAATAAAAAATGATAAAGGGGATATCACCACTGATCCCACAGAAATACAAACTACCATCAGAGAATACTACAAACACCTCTACGCAAATAAACTAGAAAATCTAGAAGAAATGGATACATTCCTTGACACATACACTCTCCCAAGACTAAACCAGGAAGAAGTTGAATCTCTGAATAGACCAATAACAGGAGCTGAAATTGCGGCAATAATCAATAGTTTACCAACCAAAAAGAGTCCAGGACCAGATGGATTCACAGCCGAATTCTACCAGAGGTACAAGGAGGAACTGGTACCATTCCTTCTGAAACTATTCCAATCAATAGAAAAAGAGGGAATCCTCCCTAACTCATTTTATGAGGCCAGCATCATTCTGATACCAAAGCCGGGCAGAGACACAACCAAAAAAGAGAATTTTAGACCAATATCCTTGATGAACATTGATGCAAAAATCCTCAATAAAATACTGGCAAACCAAATCCAGCAGCACATCAAAAAGCTTATCCACCATGATCAAGTGGGCTTCATCCCTGGGATGCAAGGCTGGTTCAATATACGCAAATCAATAAATGTAATCCAGCATATAAACAGAGCCAAAGACAAAAACCACATGATTATCTCAATAGATGCAGAAAAAGCCTTTGACAAAATTCAACAACCCTTCATGCTAAAAACTCTCAATAAATTAGGTATTGATGGGACGTATTTCAAAATAATAAGAGCTATCTATGACAAACCCACAGCCAATATCATACTGAATGGGCAAAAACTGGAAGCATTCCCTTTGAAAACTGGCACAAGACAGGGATGCCCTCTCTCACCGCTCCTATTCAACATAGTGTTGGACGTTCTGGCCAGGGCAATCAGGCAGGAGAAGGAAATAAAGGGTATTCAATTAGGAAAAGAGGAAGTCAAATTGTCCCTGTTTGCAGACGACATGATTGTTTATCTAGAAAACCCCATTGTCTCAGCCCAAAATCTCCTTAAGCTGATAAGCAACTTCAGCAAAGTCTCAGGATACAAAATCAATGTACAAAAATCACAAGCATTCTTATACACCAACAACAGACAAACAGAGAGCCAAATCATGAGTGAACTCCCATTCACAATTGCTTCAAAGAGAATAAAATACCTAGGAATCCAACTTACAAGGGATGTGAAGGACCTCTTCAAGGAGAACTACAAACCACTGCTCAAGGAAATAAAAGAGGATACAAACAAATGGAAGAACATTCCATGCTCATGGGTAGGAAGAATCAATATCATGAAAATGGCCATACTGCCCAAGGTAATTTACAGATTCAGTGCCATCCCCATCAAGCTACCAATGACTTTCTTCACAGAATTGGAAAAAACTACTTTAAAGTTCATATGGAACCAAAAAAGAGCCCGCATCGCCAAGTCAATCCTAAGCCAAAAGAACAAAGCTGGAGGCATCACACTACCTGACTTCAAACTATACTACAAGGCTACAGTAACCAAAACAGCATGGTACTGGTACCAAAACAGAGATATAGATCAATGGAACAGAACAGAGCCCTCAGAAATAACGCCGCATACCTACAACTATCTGATCTTTGACAAACCTGAGAAAAACAAGCAATGGGGAAAGGATTCCCTATTTAATAAATGGTGTTGGGAAAACTGGCTAGCCATATGTAGAAAGCTGAAACTGGATCCCTTCCTTACACCTTATACAAAAATCAATTCAAGATGGATTAAAGATTTAAACGTTAGACCTAAAACCATAAAAACCCTAGAAGAAAACCTAGGCATTACCATTCAGGACATAGGCGTGGGCAAGGACTTCATGTCCAAAACACCAAAAGCAATGGCAACAAAAGCCAAAATTGACAAATGGGACCTAATTAAACTAAAGAGCTTCTGCACAGCAAAAGAAACTACCATCAGAGTGAACAGGCAACCTACAACATGGGAGAAAATTTTCGCAACCTACTCATCTGACAAAGGGCTAATATCCAGAATCTACAATGAACTCAAACAAATTTACAAGAAAAAAACAAACAACCCCATCAAAAAGTGGGCGAAGGACATGAACAGACACTTCTCAAAAGAAGACATTTATGCAGCCAAAAAATACATGAAAAAATGCTCATCATCACTGGCCATCAGAGAAATGCAAATCAAAACCACTATGAGATACCATCTCACACCAGTTAGAATGGCAGTCATTAAAAAGTCAGGAAACAACAGGTGCTGGAAAGGATGTGGAGAAATAGGAACACTTTTACACTGTTGGTGGGACTGTAAACTAGTTCAACCATTGTGGAAGTCAGTGTGGCGATTCCTCAGGTATCTAGAACTAGAAATACCATTTGACCCAGCCATCCCATTACTGGGTATATACCCAAATGACTATAAATCATGCTGCTATAAAGACACATGCACACGTATGTTTATTGCGGCATTATTCACAATAGCAAAGACTTGGAACCAACCCAAATGTCCAACAATGATAGACTGGATTAAGAAAATGTGGCACATATACACCATGGAATACTATGCAACCATAAAAAATGATGAGTTCATGTCCTTTGTAGGGACATGGATGAAATTGGAAACCATCATTCTCAGTAAACTATCGCAAGAACAAAAAACCAAACACCGCATATTCTCACTCATAGGTGGGAATTGAACAATGAGATCACATGGTCACAGGAAGGGGAATATCACACTCTGGGGACTGTGGTGGGGTGGGGGGAGGGGGGAGGGGTAGCATTGGGAGATATACCTAATGCTAGATGACGAGTTAGTGGGTGCAGCGCACCAGCATGGCACATGTATACATATGTAACTAACCTGCACAATGTGCACATGTACCCTAAAACTTAAAGTATAATTAAAAAAAAAAAAAGAAATCTGTGGAATGACTCTCATAACTCAGAAACTCTGGCCAGTGATCCACCTTTAAAAAGCTATCTCATTTCTGTGTATAAGAAGGTGTGTGTGCTCTGTGTGCATCTCCTCACGGAGCTGTGTGAACAGATGTGAGTTAAGGGCACGTACTTTAATGTGGTTGATAATTTTAATCACATCCTGCAAAACGTTAAGTTCATTTGATACTTTCTGGCTAGCTAGCATTTCTCTATGGACGACTCAGTGTGTAGACTCACATTCAGAAGCAACCTCTTTGACCCGAATAGTGAAACCAGAAAGCTGTCCAGTCATGGCAGCTGCTCTGTCGGTCCATAAACTGACACAAAATAACCAATTCAGTTTTGCTATGTAATCATTCAAAGACTTGACTAGTTCTGCCGCTGTGGTGTTGGTTGGCAACAAAAGTGCACATAACATATCCTCATGCACATCCACCTGAAAAATCACACAAAAACAAGCATTGTTGACTTGTTGTCAACCTCAGTAAATTAATCAACCTGGATTTTGTACCAGAGTGACCCATTAATCCTTTCTTTTCTTTTTTTTTTTTGAGATTGAGTCTCGATCTGTCACCCAAGCTGGAGTGCAGTGGCATGATCTTGGCTCACTGCAACCTCCGCCTCACGGGTTCAAGTGATTCTCCTGCCTCAGCCTCCTGAGTAGCTGGGATTACAGGCGCATGCCACCATGCCTGGCAGATTTTTGTATTTTTAGTAGAGATGGGGTTTTACCATGTTGGTCAGGCTGGTCTTGAACTCCTGACCTTGTGATGCGCCCGCCTCGGCCTCCCAAAGTGCTGGGATTATAGGCATGAGCCACTGCACCCAGCCCCATTAATCCTTTCTAGTAATTGTGCCTCGATATCCTCTGCTATTTCATCATTTCCTCTAATTATGGTGCTAGCCCAAAGAGGCACACGTGCCACCTTTTGAACTGCAGCATCTCCTAAAAGTTCATGACAAATGTCCTTAGCAGCAGGCAGGTTCAATTCTCCAGTAGTAAAGAGCTTCTTAGCTTAGCAATGCTGTTAGCCACTAAGAATGACACTGTCAATGCAGACACATTTGATGGAAGTGGCGGCCTTCAATAATTGCTTCTGTTCTTCGTGTCCACATTTTTTCTTTTGAAAAACTCCAAAGGCTTCTCTTTTTATGTAGGGTGCTTGGTCTCCATGTGGCGAAGCAGTTTTGAAGGTTTCATGGGTTTGTTGGATAGCCGCTTGCCACATATTATATAAAGCAGGCTTGGAGAATGTGAATCACCTGTTGCAGTGAACCTGCAATTTAAGTAGGACTCTAGGTATTTTCTTTCACATGCAGCTTTCCTTTTATTAGCAGTCTTAGAGTTTTCCATTTTCTCATCATTGGGTCTTTCCCCATTTTCAAAGAAGCTCTCCAGTGACATTTGTTTTTTACTCGTTTTGGCTAGAGTTAGGTTGTGGGCTTACCAAAACTGTGACTGAGGCAAGTGCTCAGTGTGGGAAGGAAGCGCGGACGGAAGTGGTAAATAAAATAATGGGCGGGCCACGCAAGACTTTAAAGCCTGCCATCAGATGCAACTGTACAACTGAAATACATCAACTCACTTGCCACTATAAAGCTTGCCACCAGTGCAGCTTTTGTCACTTGACACTCACTGACAGGGTTTTGATATGAATCTGCAAGCAATTGATTTATTATGGTCTCTGTGCAGTCAAACCTCTTTGCTAATGTTAATCTGTATTTGCAGCTGTTCCCCAGCCCTAGCGGCCACACCTTAGCTCCACCTCAGGTCATCAGGCATTAGATTCTCATAAGGAGTGCGTAACCCAGATCCCTTGAATGGATAGTTCACAAGGGGGTTCACACTCCCATGAGAATCTAATGCCACTGCTAATCTGACAGGAGGCAGAGCTCAGGTGGTAATACAAGTGATAAGGAGAGGGTGTAAATACAGATGAAACTTCACTCGCTCGCCCACTGCTTACCTCCTACTGTGTGGCCTGGTTCCTAACAGGCCATGGACTGATACTGGTCTCTGGCCCAGAGGTTGGGGACTCCTGTGTTAGAACATGTAGATGCCAAGTACCTGTGCCAACCACAGGTCCACCTTTGCATACTTGACCTTACCAGTATTTTATGAATATATATGTACAGCTCCCATGTTACCAGTGAAGGGTCTTGACTATGAGTCATACAGGTTCTTGGCGTTTGAACAAAGAATTGGACAAAACACATAAGCAAAGCAATGAAAGAATGGAGCAATGAAGGCACAGATGTGTTGAAACAAAAGTACACTCCACAGCTCAAGAGCACCTGTTACAGAATTTTCTGGGATTTAAATACCCTCTAGAGCGTTCCCATTGGTTACACCCTATGTAAATGAAGGAGTGGCCCATAACCAGCCTGCTTGGTTGCAGGAGGTGACCAATCAGAGGCTGAAGTGAAGTTACAAAGTTACACATGAGGACTTGGCCTGCTACCAGTCTGATTATTTGCCAGAGGGGACCAGTCAGAGGTACTTTCCATTTTTTCATCTGCAATGCAGTGCATTGGGAGTAGCCTCCGATCCTTTTGTTACTTGGGCATGGAGAGGTGGGGTTTTCCTTTTGGTTCAGCTCTAGGAAGTCAGCAGGGCCTTCGGTTCCCTGTCTCTAGACCCTGTTCTCCTGCCTCACCCATAAAGGGAATTCCCTAGAGATACTAAAGGCTGTCTGTCTCTCTTCTGAGCAGCCCACTCTGCCTCTCAGAGTGTACTTTTGGTTTACAATAAACTTTTTTGCCTACTCTTACTTTGTACTTGCTTTCAAATTCTTTTGTGTGGTGAAGTCAAGCACCTGAACCGGCCCACTGACAACAGCAAGGATAGAAGCAGTGAGATCGGTTACAAGGCTATTACAATAGTTCCCTCCAGAAACGGCAGTACTGAGAGGTGGGGAGAAGTAAGTTCTGGATTTTCTTTTTTTTTTTTTTTTTTTGAGACTCGCTCTGTCACCCAGGGTGGAGTGCAGTGGCGTGATCTCGGCTCACTGCAAGCTCCGCCTCCTGGGTTCACACCATTCTCCTGCCTCAGCCTCCCGAGTAGCTGGGACTACAGGCGCCCGCCACCGCGCCCGGCTAATTTTTTTTTGTATTTTTAGTAGAGACGGGGTTTCACTGTGTTAGCCAGGATGGTCTCCATCTCATGACCTCGTGATCTGCCCGCCTCGGCCTTCCAAAGTGCTGGGACTACAGGTGTGAGCCACCGCGTCCGGCCCTGGATGTCTTTTTGAAAGTAGAGCTTACAGGATATGCTGACTGATTAGACCGGAGATGTCACAGCATGGTGTCAAAGCGACTAATATTTTTGGCTAGAATCACTAAAGTTTACATTTATGAGATGGATAAGACTGTGGAAGGTTTGGGGAAGAAGATCCGAAGCTCAGTTTTGGACCTGTTAGGTTCAACATGCCTCTTAACACATCCAAGCAGAATGGTCAAGGATGCAGTCTTCCACATGGACAGGACATGAAATGTCTGACATCGAACAATAACAAATAACATTTTGACATGAGGAAAAGTATTTGTAATTGTAATTGATAGTTCATTCACTATAATTTGTCCACGTTCTTTTTCAGGCCATGTCATATATATACCTATTAATATTTGTAATAGACAATTTTGCTCTTTTCTACTTAAATTGTTATATACATTTCTCCACATTGCTTTATAGGCCTAACAACCATGTTTAAATTCTGTATCTTCATACAGAGGTAATATTTAAAAAAGAAGACGAAGACAAAAGGACTCCCTTCCCTCACCCATATACCTATGCCGTCTTACTGGGAGCAAACACTTCTTTAGCTCCGCAAAGCGATTGCACTTTCTCTTCCAAGTCGGCAGACGGCGCGCGAGCAGCGTAGGCACTGCTCCGCCTCCAATCCAGTTGCTCTTCTTTCTTTTCCTCACTCTCTTTTTCCTCGCGTCCTTTGCCCCGGAAGTGCTCTTACAACATTGGCTGCCGGCGTGACTTTGACCGCTTCCCGGTGCGTTACCGGCAGCTGAACCCACCCGGCGCCACGGGACTTTGACGCGTGCTCTGCGCTTGCCATGAGACTCCTGGGAGCTGCAGCCGTCGCGGCTCTGGGGCGCGGAAGGGCCCCCGCCTCCCTAGGCTGGCAGAGGAAGCAGGTACCGGAGCATAGAGAGGCTAAATCGGGACCATTCCCGGAACCTTGTGATCCCTTCTGGGCAATGGAAGGCCGTGACACCCCCTGGGTCCTCATGACTGACAGCTCCGAATACTGGCAGTCGCTCGTCAGTGCTGAAAAGCACCTCGGTGCCTGCACATTAGCTCGTTAGCTCGTTTGTTTCGCTCTCTGGTATCCCTAGGGTTTAATCAACTAAAAGTGTCTGTCACTCAGATACTTTGATATTTTATCCACCTTTTCTAAGGTTTTTTTTTTTTTTTTTTGCCTCTCTTTTCCCGTGAATAATTGTGCATTTTGGATGTGCAGTCCTATAGGGAAAGGTTTATATTGTATCTTCATTCCATCTAATAGGGATCCCCATCCCCTGCCACCAGAGTAAAGTTAAAACAAGCTTCATGAATTGTTTTTGTTTGGAGGGAATTGGAAATCTTTGGGGGCTGTCTTGGAGCTACTAGCATCACTGCATAGAGCATATAAGTTCTCAAACATATTTGTCATCTGTGAACTACAATAAAGGAGAAAGGGAAAAAAATTAAGTTAAATTTAAGCTAAAATTTGTATTTTCTATTAAAGTATTTTTTGGAGCTGTCTTTGTGATTTTATCTGCCCCAGTGTGTATTTTCAAATCTGCAGTAAAAAGTGTCTCCCATTTTAATTAAATTTAACTTATTCATTAATTAATTTTAAAAGAATACGTCTTTACTGTCTTGTTTTGAAGTCTGTCCTCTGATTACAAGAGTTCCAGGCTTAAAGGTTTCCCCTGGTGCCTTTCTCAAGCTATCTCATATCCAGTGAGATTTCTTGGAGGAATAATGTCCACCATACTCCTTTTAATTGTCTGTTGTTCTCTCTTATAAAAGGTGCATAGAATTGAGCTCTCGTATTTTTTTCAGGTTAATTGGAAGGCCTGCCGATGGTCTTCATCAGGGGTGATTCCTAATGAAAAAATACGAAATATTGGAATCTCAGCTCACATTGATTCTGGGAAAACTACATTAACAGAACGAGTCCTTTACTACACTGGCAGAATTGCAAAGATGCATGAGGTATATATTCACGGTTGATTCCGGATTAATTAGAACCAGATTTTAATTGTTTTGTTGCTATTATTTAATAAAGCTTATAAACCTGAAAGATTAAAACAATGGTAACAGCGGACTTTTGACAGTTAGGCTTATCTGAAAGTTGCTTAAGTTAAGTATCTGTGTTCTGGTTTTATTTTTATTTTTTATAGAAGAGGTCTCACTTTGTTGCTCAGGCTGGTCTCAAACTCTTGGGCTCAAATTATCATCCTGCCTCAGTCTCCCACAGTGCTGGGATTATAGGCATGAGCCACTGCACCTGGCAACTGTTTCCATTTCAGTTAAGATTTCTTTCCTTCTTGGAATGCAGGGACAGAGAAAGTCTGAATTGCTGTGCTTGTGTTTAGGTGAAAGGTAAAGATGGAGTTGGTGCTGTCATGGATTCCATGGAACTAGAGAGACAAAGAGGAATCACTATTCAGTCAGCAGCCACTTACACCATGTGGAAAGATGTCAATATTAACATTATAGATACTCCTGGTGAGTTGGATTCTTGGTTTTATTGCAGCTTCTTTGGCAAAAGCACATTTGGTTCTTTCTCTTACTGTGACCCAATTAGTTTTTGATTGTCAAATACTCAAAAGTGTAACACTGAATTCCTATTAAAGAAGACTAACTTAGGACCTAGAGCACTTCATCCTTATGTAGTTTTCTTGAAAATTTGTGCAAGTAAATTGTGAGTAGGCAGATTCTTGCCTTTTACATATTCTAGCTGATTCTAAAGGTGCCTGTGCCCTAGTATTTTCTTGAAGTGATCTTGCCAGGCCCTGCACCTAAGGGTTGGTGAATAGTATTGGTGAGCTCAGGAATCTACATTCTTATTAGAAGACTTATGTGATGAGCAGAGATACAAAAACTTCTAATAGTGCATATATTAAAAATTCAGATTGCTCTTTAAGACCCTCTCATACTTCATCTTATTCAGGGCATGTGGACTTCACAATAGAAGTGGAAAGGGCCCTGAGAGTGTTGGATGGTGCAGTCCTTGTTCTCTGTGCTGTTGGAGGGGTACAGTGCCAGACCATGACTGTCAATCGTCAGATGAAGCGCTACAACGTTCCGTTTCTAACTTTTATTAACAAATTGGACCGAATGGGCTCCAACCCAGCCAGGGCCCTGCAGCAAATGAGGTAATGAGCCTTAGAATAAACAAAGAGGATGTGATGATCTAGACAGCAAACCTTATATCCAAAAGGGTGATTAATTCACTGTCATTAAACTTTATTCTTAAATTTAGTTTTTTAAATATATTTATGTGAGTTAGTAAGTGGAACACTGATTTTAGTAAATTGGCTTGTGGTATGATCTCATCAACTACCTTATCTCTAAAATGGGGACAATATTACTTAAATTCTAGGGAGGTTGAAGATGAATTCAGAAAACAGTCTGACCGTTTATACTGTTTTGCTATTATGAGAGAAGTTATAATCTAGATTCTAAAAATACCTTGTGTTTTATTTAGACAAAAGATCATCTTTGGTTTTAATTTTTCCTTGAAGCATTTTAATTAATGCCCTTAAGTAGTTTGCCATAGAGATGAGATTTTCTTGTTTTCAGACGGAAACATATTTTCTAGGACAACAGTAACACTTCCTTTCTGTACCAGATAGAACCAGTAGTATTTATAGCATTTTAAATTTTACACAATATTATATATTTCACAAAGCCTTTAAAAAGAGTCAGAATTTCACTTTTCACCTTTTGTAGATGTGCACGTGTAGCTGTAGAGCTCATACTTACGTTTCACATGGCATAGTTGATGGATATGTAGGTGTAAAGTTTATGGTAGTGGACAGGCTGAGAATGGTGTATCTGATGACAAAAAATCTGATGGAAGTGATATATTTGATATGAAAGTGAACATTTTCTTAGTTGGGTGTTTATAACTTTTTTTTGGTAAATTGTTTTTAGTTTTTATCCTTATTTTACTTATGCTTGGCAATAGATGGTCTTTTTTCCCCAAATCTTCTTCTGAATTCCAAGGAAACACTGTTTTAGCATTTATTTGATTACTTTGGTTCATTCTTTTCTCCACTCCCATTTATTTGTTTTCCATTTTGTAACTTCTATAAAGCAGATAAAAATCTGGAACTTCTAGATCTGACCTTCATGCCTTGTCTTTTCTATGGTACTTATTCTTTCTGTCTCCTTCTCATTTTGGATTGGGCTTATGAGAGAAATCTTGGGGTTGATCTTCCAGCTCACTAATTTGATATTCATTTGTGTCTCTTCAGTTACTTAGCTTGCCTGAAAACTTTTTTTTTCAGCAATTGTGTACTTAATTTTCATAAACTTTCTCTTTCCTTGCAACATTTTTATCAGTAGAGGTAATTGTTTCTCAAATCTTTACATTTTATTTTCTTTCCTCTAGTAACTCTCTTCTTGGAGGTAAGTGCTATTAAGTTCACATTTCTCTTTCAAGCTTTTGGTTTCCTTCAAATATTTGGTGATTCTTAGATCTTTAACCATAGTTATAGATGGGAGTCTAGAGTCTAGACTAAACAGTGGTAGCTAGAGCATATTCTTTTCCAGTGAGGATTCTTGCCAGTGAATGCAGTTTCTATTCAGTTTTGAGCCTGGGCCGGGCGCGGTGGCTCACACCTGTAATCCCAGCACTTTGGGAGGCCGAGGCGGGTGGATCACCAGGTCAGGAGTTCAAGACCAGCCTGGTCAACATAGTGAAACCCCATCTCTACTAAAAATACAAAAAATTAGCCAGGCGTGGTGGCGGGCACCTGTAGTCCCAGCTACTCGGGAGGCTGAGGCAGGAGAATTGCTTGAAGCCGGGAGGCGGAGGTTGCAGTGAGCGGAAATCACACCATCACACTTCAGCCTTGGCAACAGGGCGAGACTCTTGTCTCAAAAAAAAAAAAAAAAAAAAAAAGAGGTGGGCTCAGCTATCCTACTATTTAATTTCCTGGCTAGCCCTCCATTATCTGTTCTTCCCCCTTCTGCTTTTGATCCAGTGTATCTGGGGATCTGATGGTAAAACAGTTATTCTGGAGTTCTTTTTGTTGCCTAAATGGGTTTGTGGCTTCCTGAGCTCCTTGAGTTACGTTGTCAGTCTGTTCCCAGCTGCTTTATATTTTCTGTTCTGACCTGATGGTAACACCCTTCTCAGTTCTCCAGTGTCTGCCACTGATTTTTTAAAATATTCATTTTGTCATTTCAAAGGGATTAGGGGAGAAGAAAAAAGGTAAACAAGTGTATTTTTATTTTTCAGGTCTAAACTAAATCATAATGCAGCGTTTATGCAGATACCCATGGGTTTGGAGGGTAATTTTAAAGGTATTGTAGATCTTATTGAGGAACGAGCCATCTATTTTGATGGAGACTTTGGGTAAGTGCTAAAAATACATTATTAAAATTTTAAATTTTAAAAAGCATTAAAAAGAAGGAAAGGATAAGTTCATCAAACGCAGAGTAACTATCTTTTTGAAATGCGACTGCAAGAATACTCTGAGATGGTTTTGTTTTAATACCTTTAATCCTAGTCGCTCCCCATTTTATTTAGTATTTATTCTGTGAGAGACTATGTTACTTTTTGGGTAATATACCCATATCACATTATGGCATGCATGGTGTGGTAGAAGGAGGCCTTCAGTTTGGGTTAGTAAATTTGGGTTAGTGAATGTATTGTATCTTTTTGCACTTGTTCATTTATTCATTCATTCTGTGGACTTTTATAGAGCAGCTGCCAGGTCTGGGGTATTGTGATAAAAATTAGGAAGAAAATAGAGATCATAAATATTTGCTCTTCCTGCTTTATAATTACATGGACAGAAAAGATTAATAAATTAAAACAGTTAAAATTGTACAAATGTGGTTTGGGAAATGCAAGAAATAAGTTGGTAACTTTTTGATGTGGTATTTGGTCCATCAGCTCTTGAGTGACCTTTACCTACAAAGTACTGTAATTGCCTGGTAGTTATCAAACCTTAGCGTTGTTCATAACAATCCCCTGGAGACTTTGTTAAAAGACATAGTCCTGGCTCTACCTCCAGAGATTCTGATCAGTAGATTGGGGTGGGGCCCGTAGTTTGCATTTCTGGAAGGTTTCCAGTTGATGCTGCTCTTACAGGTCTGCAGACCACACTTTGAGTGACACTGATCTAGACAATGTGAGGAGTCATAAATGATCCTTTGTTCTGAGGAGTGACCTCTGTAGCCTGGTCGTTTCTCCACAGGCACTTCCTGAGGGATTTCCTTCCTCTGCTATGGAATTGGGATCGCAGGTCTGGCAGGTGGGCGAATGGCATTGTGATCAGTGAACTATAGAATTTATCTTCATCAGCCATCTTGTAAGCAGGAAAAGGATGGAGTCTGTCCAGTGGATAAGGTGTTTCTCTCACTTTTTATGTAACAACTGAGTAATGACAACAAAGTTTACCTACCACTCCTTAGGATATAAGGCCCAGTAAGGCAGAGTTTTTGTTTTTCTTTTTTCCTACTTTATTCACTGCTATGTCCCAGCCCCTAGAACAACTAGTTACAACTAGGCAGTTGTAACTGCCTAGTACATAATAGGGACTCAAAAATATTTGTAAATGAATGAATAAATCCACTTTCCCAGAATTACCAAGGCACATATTTCTGTTGTCAGAAGTAGAGACTCTTAAACTTTGTTGTACATCAGAACCACAGATGCAGCATCTTAATGTACATGTCCCCTTCCCCAGCCCTAGTTTACTGTATGTGTATTTGGAAAGGAATCCACAGATGATTCTGACATGTGAAAGGCTAAGAAGCAGGGAGCTTGCCAGGAAGGTTGAAATTAAAATCTGAAAGTTGTGGGGAGTCTTAGAATATTAAGTGTTACTTTTTGTTGGAAATGGCTTCTTTTGTCTTTATTAAAGTTAGGAATGTGTTTTCTGAAAAGCTTACTTTTTGATATTAATTTCCATTTTTAAAGAAATAACTTGAGGCCAGGCGCAGTGGCTCACGCCTGTAATCCCAGCACTTTGGAAGGCCGAGGTGGGCAGATCACGAGGTCAGGAGATAGAGACCATCCTGGCTAACACGGTGAAACCCGTCTCCATTAAAAATACAAAAAATTAGCCGGGCGTGGTGGCGGGTGCCTGTAGTTCCAGCTACTCGGGAGGCTGAGGCAGGAGAATCTCTTGAACCTGGGAGGCAGAGCTTGCAGTGAGCCGAGATGGCACCACTGCACTCCAGCCTGGGTGACAGAGCGAGACTCCGTCTCAAAAAAAAAAAAAAAAAAAAAAAAAGAAATACCTTGAAAAATTTTCAGACTGCTTTTAAATATCATGTCAAGTATATCCATTTTGGCTTTGAACATTTTATTTGTAATTTTACCTGTTCAACCTCTGGTGTAATGGAGAACTGATGTCACAGATTGAAGAGTCTGTCATATTTAGTCACCGTTTTTTTAAACTACAAATTGGGATATTCTTTGTTAAAAAGTATATGATCAGGTCTGTTATTAATGGAAAGGAATAGAGTAAGGTCTTCCTAGTACTGCTTACTAGAGATTGTTATGTTGTGATTAATAAGAATATGATTAATACAATTTCAAAGAACTCAGATGGGCCCTAGGCAGGTTGGCTTTGAATCTTACCTCTTCTGTTTACTAGTAGGACAGCCTTGGGCAAATTACTTTGCCTGTGTAAGTTAGTTTCCTGATCTGAAAATGCAGATAATAGAAGCTACTTCATATGTGAAGATCAAATAAATAACTTGTCACATATTTAGTTTAGCGCTTACTGCATTATAAGTATTCAGTAAATGGATGCTGTTATTACTTTGCATGCCTGCCAGTTTTAAAATAATTAGAGTACAGTAAAAACTACACTGAAGAGTTTAAACTTTGATTTAGGTGATACTTTGTCAAGTCATTGTTTTGAACTTGTATTTTACTGTATATTGAGTAAGGATAAACCAGGTTGCATTAAATTGGGAAGATTTTGTGTTATATATTTTATCATTTTCTTCTGTAAAACTTGATATGCAGAAAAGTAGAATGTGATGTCTATTATAAAACCAGAGATTTTTTTTTTCTCATTATAGTGGACTGTTTTAGCTCTTCCGGTTACTGGTAGTACAACCTTGACCTTAAACTTGCCTATTTCAGTATATTTATCTACTATTCTGTGTACATTTTAAAGGTATACATTAGTCTTATTTGCCATTTGAATGCAAATGTATCAGAGCTCTTTGTTACCTAAAAAAATATTTTAACCATTAATCATATATTTTTCATTAGTCCTTCATATATTAAGTTGAATATCCTTAAAGCACCAAAATATTTGCTTTCTTAGTCAGATTGTTCGATATGGTGAGATTCCAGCTGAATTAAGGGCGGCGGCCACTGACCACCGGCAGGAGCTAATTGAATGTGTTGCCAATTCAGATGAACAGCTTGGTGAGATGTTTCTGGAAGAAAAAATCCCCTCGATTTCTGATTTAAAGGCAAGTGCTTTCAAAATAAGTCTTATGTTAACAACAAAAAGAAGTCGTTTGTTTTTTGTAGGGAGGGGACATGATGCTTTTATGTATGGGCTTTATTAATGAAATCTCAATACATTTATTTAACATAATTGGCTTCCTCAAAAAATACTTGACATGGTATACTTTTTTTTAAGTGAGTTATGTAATAACTTCAAATGAGAAAAGTTATTGAGGACCCTTAAATTATTGGGGACCTGATTTTAGTCTCTATTAGAGCCAGCACTCCAAAGAGTGTCAGTTCATTTTATTCATTTGTTGGTTGTGGCCACAGCACTATTGTTGGCCTCTTCCAGCTGCTAGAGCTAAAGCTCCACTACGTATTCTCTAAGGCCTGCTCAGCCAGCAGGACACATTGATGGTGTTTGCACTAAGGGCTGGGGCAGGACCTGGAGCTGCTACTGTCATGACCTGTAATTTATGAGAGATTTGTACTGTTTGGCTTCCTGTGTGTATGTTCTTTACAAAAAGAAAAAGATAAGTTAAATGTTTCGTAATAGAGCATACGTTCATATGGTTTAAATATTTAAAAGGTATACAAAGGTAAACAGTAAACACCCTTTTATTTTTTTCTTCCATCTGCCCAGTTCTCTTCCCTGTCCCTGAAACAGGTTACCAGTTAATAGCTTCTGGTGTACCATTCCATAGGCTTTTGGTTTTGCGTATATATTACTTTTTCCTCTATTTTGTACAATTGTAGCGTACTGTTTGCAGTGTTCTATTAGTGTGTCTATTTTCTATGTGTATATGTATTTTTTTTTAGCAAATTGAAAATTAGTGAGAATTAGTGATTCCAAGAGTGTCGAAAGCAGTTGTATAGTAAATCACTTCCCAGCCCTGAAGAAGAAAGTGATTTTTTTCTTTGTATTTTGACCTTAAGTTCATTGGAGACCTGATTTTAGTCTCTATTAGAGTCAGCACTCCAAAGAGTAGAGTATCAGTTCATTTTATTCATTTGTTTGTAGTTGACTTGAAGCACAACATGTAATTTTAACATTAACTACCATTAAATTGTTTTCTTTTGTAGCTAGCAATTCGAAGAGCTACTCTGAAAAGATCATTTACTCCTGTATTTTTGGGAAGCGCCTTGAAGAACAAAGGAGTTCAGCCTCTTTTAGATGCTGTTTTAGAATACCTCCCAAATCCATCTGAAGTCCAGAACTATGCTATTCTCAATAAAGAGGAGTAAGTCTTGAAAATTGAATCTTAGTTTATGCAGAAATACTTTCGTATTTATGCACTGTGAAGGAATTTAAGGATAGTTCTTTTAATTATGTCTGTGATTTTTTTTCATAATTTACAATCATGGTTTTTATTTGGGTAACAATTTTGACGTATAGAAAAATATTTATTATACTAGTTCCTATATCATATTCTGTTTTGAGTTGGAAGTATGATTTGTTTTACTCTCTCTCAAGGTTTACATCATTAGAAAATTTTCTCATTTGGGACTAGCTGTTTTCAGACATACTGTTAAAAAAAAAAAAGTTTTAAGAAACAAACTTCTGCCAGGCGCAGTGGCTCACGCTTGTAATTCCAGCACTTTGGGAGGCCAAGGCGGGCGGATCACCTGAGGTTGGGAGTTTGAGACCAGCCTGACCAACATGGAGAAACCCCGTCTCTACTAAAAATACGGAAATTAGCCGGGTGTGGTGGTGTGCACCTATAATCCCAGCTACCCAGGAGGCTGAGGCAGGAGAATCACTGGAACCTGGCGGGGCAGAGGCTGCAGTGAGCTGAGATTGCACCACTGCACTCCAGCCTGCCTGGGTGACAGAATAAGATTCCAAAAAAAAAAGAAACAAACTGCAAAAGAAACTCATTGGTTATGTTTTCTTTTCTTTCCCTATGAGACCATTTCTGTGTTTTTTAGTGTACTTTTGTCCTATCACTATGTAGTAACTAAGCTAAGCTCTAAAGACCTTTTTTTTTTTTTTTTTTTTTTTTGTTGAGACAAAGTCTTGCTCGGTTTCTAGGCTGGAGTGCAGTGGTGCAGTAATAGCTCACCACAGCCTCGAACTCCTGAGCTCAAGTGATCCTCTCACTTCTGTTTCCCAAAGTGTGGGCATTATAGGCATGAGCCACTATGCCCAGCTGAGAACTTATTTCTATTGATCTCTTTCAGTGAAATTTTACTTATGTGTGACAGCAGTAATATCCCACACACGTGCTTTTTCTCAGATAATACTTCCTGATGAAATAAATTGATATAAAAGAAATATCATATATTACATCTCATAGATTTATATTTCTTTTATTTTAAGTGACTCAAAAGAGAAAACCAAAATCCTAATGAACTCCAGTAGAGACAATTCCCACCCATTTGTAGGCCTGGCTTTTAAACTGGAGGTAAGTTGCTTTCTAATGTATTTAACTGCTATCTGTAGAATGTTTTTACTTCTAGGCTTTATTCCTATTACAGAATGACTCTGACTTTTATGAAAGATTTGGAAAATAGGAAAGTAGAAAGAGCAGGTAGAGAATTTCCAAAGCTCTGACATGATAGTTCTTTTGTTATTAGGTGCATTTCTTTCTAGTCTCTTCTCTTTGCCTGAAGAGTGTAAATTTTTACCTAAATCATACTACCTGTATAGTTTTGTCCTGCTCTTTTTATTTAATGTCACAGTAGATAATGGTCCATGTTTCTATAAATAGTTTAAGCATTTTAAATAGTAGCATAACAGTGCATCAAGTAGATACACCAAAATTTGCTTAAAATTTCCTAATTGTTAGATGTTTATATTGTTTCCAGGTTTCTACTGTTATAAATAACATTGGGTCCATTTCTAGAAATATGTCCTAAGGAACTAATGAAGGGTAGCGAATTAATGTTAGCTTCAGCTCACCTTATAAAACCAAAATCTCGCAAACAATTGAAAATGCCCAGCCAGTCGCAGTGGTTCACACCTGTAATCCCAGCACTTTGGGAGGCTGAGGCGGGCAGATCAGAAGGTCAGGAGTGGGAGGCCAAGGCGGGCGGATCACAAGGTCAGGAGTTCGAGACCAGCCTAGCCAACATGGTGAAACCCTGTCTATACTAAAAGTACAAAAATTAGCTGAGTATGGTGGCGGACACCTGTAATCCCAGCTACTCAGGACGCTGAGGCAGGAGAATTGCTTGAACCTGGGAGGTGGAGGTTGCAGTGAGCCGAGATCGCACCACTGCACTCCAGCCTGGGCGACAGAGCAAGACTTCATCTCGGAAAAAAAAAAAAAGAAAATGCCCAGTAATTACAATTTGATAAATAAACTGAGGTACATTCTTATAGTACAACATTATTCAGACTTTAAAAATTATGTTGAAATGCCTATTTTTGACATGAAAAGATGTTTATGATTTAAAAAGAAACAAACTTACTTATTTTAGAATATTTTAAAGAAAAGTTATGAAGATAGTCCAGAGAATTCCTGTATATCCTGCACCCAGTTTCCTCTATTGTTAATACACACTGTCACAACTAATGGGCCAATACTGATATATTATTATTAACTAAAATCCTTACTTCATTTGAATTTCTTTAGTTTTTGTCTAGGTCCTTTTTCCGTCTCACTAGACAGAAGGACCACAGAAGGCCCATCCAGAGGACCACGTTATATTTGATTGTCATGTCTCCTTATGATCTCCTAGGCTGTAATAGTTTCTTAGACTTTCCTTGTTTCTCACGAGATTGATATTTTTGAGAAGTATTGGTCAGCTCTTTTGTAGAGTGTCCCTCAATTTGGGTTTATTATTTGATGCTTTTCACATGATTAGATTGGAGTCATGTGTTTTTAGGAGGACTGCCATCGAGGTGAAGTGTTATTCTTGTCACATCATATCCAAGGTACAGACTTGCAGCATGATTTATCATTGTTTTTGTTTTTTTTTGTTTTTATTTTTATTTTTTTGAGATGAGATTTCGCTCTTGTTGCCCAGGCTGGAGTGCAATGGCACAATCTCGGCTCGCTGCAGCCTCCACCTCCCAGGTTCAAGCGAGTCTCCTGCCTCAGCCTCCCAAGTAGCTGGGATTACAGGCATGCGCCACCACGCCCAGCTAATTTTGTATTTTTAGTAGAGACATAGTTTCTCCCTGTTGGTCAGGCCGGTCTCGAACTCCTGACCTCAGGTGATCCGAGTGTCTTGGCCTCCCAAAGTGCTGGGATTACAGGCATGAGCCACCGCACCCGGCTGATTTATCATTGTTAATGCTAACCTCAATCACCACACCTGGCTGAGATAGTGTTTGACAGGTTTCTCTGCTGTAAAGTTACTGTACTCTTTTTATTCCCCTTTTCATAGTGTACTTTTTAGAAGGAAGTCACTTGGCTCAGCCAACACTTGAGGGGGGAATTATGTTCCACCCCCTTGAAGGGGGCACTATCTACATAAGTTATTTGGAATTCTTCTGAAAGGGAGATTTGTCTTTCTTCCCTGCTTATTTATCTATTTGGACAATCACTTATTTAATATCAGCGTGGACTCACGTATATGTATTTTGAACTTTGAGTTATAACTATGACTTTGAGTATGTCATTTGTTGTTCAGATTGGCTGGGTTTGGCGATTGGGAACTCTCAGTTGGCTCCTGTGTTCCTTTAACATCTTCCAATGTTTTGCCTTTTTGAATACTTCCTTACTTGCTGGCACTACAAGACGCCTCAGGCTTATCTTGTATATTCCATGCCCTAACCCTAGAATCAGCCGTTCTCCAAGGAGCACTGGTTCCTTTTTAAGTAAAATGGTATTAGAAACCAAGATTTGGGGACTGGATGGGCTTTTTGTTGAAATGCTGTTGCTTCTGTACATAATATTTTAAGTGGGGAAAAATGGTAGATAAGTTGGAAGTGTTAAGAGTGGTTATTTCTGGGATGGGATTATATTTTGGGGGCTTTTTCTTACTTTAAAAATATTTTACAGTATATTTATTACCTCCAAAATGAGGGGAAAATTTTTTTAATTAAAAAGTGGAAATAACATTACAGTAAAAGTATTTACACATAAAGCTTTTAAAAATACATATATAAGAATATTTTCTTAGGATTCCCAGAATAGTGATTATTGAGTTAAAGGCATAGAATGTTTTCATAGTTAATGGTTTATATTGCCAGATTGCGTTCATACTCTCCAAATTAATGTATTGGATTATTTCAATGAATATCATCATTGAGTATTGTTTAAAAATCATTACTGATTTAACAAATGAAGAATTCTATTGTAATCTTTTATCTTGATGAAATAAATTTTGATTTTTAAAAGCAATCAGTGCTTTAAAGTTTGTATAGTCGAATATGTCAGTCTTTCTGTTTAGTCATTCATTAATTTTTAACCTTAGCAACCTTTTATTTGTATATATTTTGTTAATATTTACTTTCGTTCCTTCTACTTCTTTATGTTTTTTTTCTTTCCCCATCATTAATTCAACTGGAATTTGTTTTAGTGGGTAGGATCTAAATGTATCTCCTCTGCCTCCAAATAGAGTATCAGTTGTCCAGTTAGTACTTTATGCACAATCCTTTCTTCCTTTTCCATTGATTTGTCATGTTTCTTTATCATCTATTGACAAATATATTTTATACTTTAGATTTTTATACTGTACTCTGTGGGGTGTTTAGTCTAATTTGTGCTGGTTCTGAATTTTCTGAGTTTCAAGCATTTTAATATGTTTTTATATCTGTCAGGGTTAGTTTTATCTTATTACCATAGTTTTTGAAAAATTTCTGTTTTTACCTATTTATTCCTCTGAATGAATTTTAAAATCACTAATCATGTTTAAAATTTCCTGTTGGGATTTCGATTGCTATTTTGTTAAGCCTATAATTAACATGGTAAGAACTGGGAACTGTTAAATATATGTTAATTGGTCACTGCTAGTATATTCAATCACTTCACAGAACTCTTTTTTTTTTTTTTTTTTTTTTTGAGACAGAGTCTCACCTATTCTGTTGCCCAGGTTGGAGTGCAGTGGTGCGATCTCGGCTCACTGCAACCTCCGCCTCCTGGGTTTAAGCAATTTTCCTGCCTCAGCTTCCCGAGTAGCTGGGATTATAGGTGTGCCACCACGTCTGGCTGATTTTTGTATTTTTAGTAGAGGTGGGGTTTTGCCATGTTGGCCAGGCTGGTCTTGAACTCCTGACCTCAGGTGATCCGCTCGCCTCTGCCTCCCAGAGTGCTGGGATTACAGGCCTGAGCGACCAGCCCAGCCACAGAACTCTTACTCACATAATTTTCCACGTGATTGTCAGAGATTGTGTTTTAGATGTATAGCACACACCTACTGTTTCTAATAGTATCTTTGTTGTTTTTCCAAGTATACCTTTTTTTTGTTTTATATCTTATTGTATTAAACTTATGAAATGTTAGAAGGCAAAAGATACTTCCTTATTATGTAAACAACTTAAAAATTTTGTTCTAATGTAATAGCTTATTTCAAAGGAAACAGAAATGTCTTAGATTGTGATACCAAAAGGATTGATGAATAACAGCCATTTATCTTATCTGTGTTCAAAGCTAGTATTAGTTTATGACAATAAACTGAAATATGTAAGATAGATTACTAAAATTGGTAGAGAATACTTGGAGGGAGTTATGAAGCTTTCCTCAATACTTTGATTATTATGTTTCTTTTTATTCTTCCTGCCCTTACCCAATCTTGACTTCTAGGTAGGTCGATTTGGACAATTAACTTATGTTCGCAGTTATCAGGGAGAGCTAAAGAAGGGTGACACCATCTATAACACAAGGACAAGAAAGAAAGTACGGTTGCAACGGCTGGCTCGCATGCATGCCGACATGATGGAGGCAAGTACAGAGTCATTGTGAGATTAGAAATTCCTCTGATGTGGGTGAAATAGACCCTTCTTGGTATCCTGAGCCCCACTAGAAAATTAATTCTGGTTAAATATATGTTTCTAGTTTCTTTCTACTTAAATGTGTTGTAGCTCTGATCTAGCACTTTGCTATAGGATAAATTAGCAGTTGTTAACTCATTTTTTTTAATACCGCTAGTTGTGAATTAGCTATATTTTCTCAAGGGCCAAGGTTAAGGAAAGAGACAGTTCCCCAACACTCAGAATACAAGATTCAGCACTTTCCTCAAGAACTATTATTACAAAAAATGTAATAGGCATTTAAGACTGTGGAACTGTGATTCTTAAAGATAAGAGAATAATAAATTTACACAGTTTTCCACATTGTTTTATTTACCTTCTGAAATACGGCAGGCACAAAAGCCCTGTTTAACCCTAGAGCTTCTATTCCTGTTGTAGAACCCACTGCAGGACCATATTGGGGCCAGAATCCACCTGAAGATTTAAAAGCTTCAAGGGCTGATCTGGGAGATAAACTTTGACTTACGCCTTGAATTCTTGAGCTGGCTTGGAATCTGCTGTAGCCTTCTGTAGTCCTTATGGTTAGGCCTTGGAAGGAATACTGAGTGCCTGAATTTGTCCCCTACCCCCACCCTCTCCCAATCCATCTATATATTCCTGGAGAAATTTATCAGTTGAAGCAAAATCTTAACGAATTTTTTGGTAGCCATAACTTTTGTTTCTTCTAGAAGAGGAATTGTCAGTCTGAAAACCCGACAGCGTTGCTGTTTTGTGAGATAGGCAGCAGGGGGCAGGCTAAGTGATTGTCATAGCTGTTTCATGGACCAGAAGCTGGAAGATTTGTACAGCTGTGTCACCATTAAAGAAAGACATGCTTACTCACAGCCACAGCTGTTGTGAATGAACTGTCAATGTAAAACGACAAAAACTAGGAAGCTTGGAGGCACCAATGCTTTGTTCTTAGATTTCCTGTGTTTTCTTGACTGCTTGCATCTGTGAGAAATTAAAATTATTTTTAGTACAGTGGGCTCCATTCTCCTACCTTTGTTTTCAAAACTTCCTTTACAGGTTTCCTGTAAAGGAAGAGTATGTATGACAGAGTAGATCTCTGTCATACACAATCTCATTGTCTAACTGCGGCAACATATATAGTACATGCCTTTTTTTTTTTTTTTGAGATGGAGTTTTGCTCTTGTCTCCCAGGCTGGAGTGCAGTGGCGCGATCTCGGCTCACTGCAACCTCCGCCTCCTGGGTTCAAGCGACTCTGCTGCCTCAGCCTCCCTTGTAGCTGGGATTACAGGCACCCACCACCATCCCTGGCTAATTTTTTGTATTTTCAGTAGAGACAGGGTTTCACCATGTTGGACAGGCTGGTCTTGAACTCCTGACCTCAGGTGATCCACTCGCCTCGGCCTCCCAAAGTGCTGTGATTACAGGCATGAGACACCATGCCCCGCCAGTACATGCCTTTTAATTCCATAGAAATAACTTTAGAACCTTGAGGCACTGTGTTGTTAGTACTGCAGCTCCTTCAAGTAATGAGTTTTCTGTTTAAAGTAAAATCTTGTCTATTGATATATGGTTTAAATGAAGGCCTTTTAAAAATACGTCTTAGCATGGTTGATTATTGTATTGGTTCTAGCTAATTCACTATAGAATTCAAGCAGAGAGATTCTGCCACGCTTTTTTATATACAATGTGTGTACTGTACAGTTTACTTTTTAGTTACCACATCTTTATTTGTATTACTTGCAAATATAATTTTGTGTTATTTGTTTTTTTAGGATGTTGAGGAAGTATATGCCGGAGACATCTGTGCATTGTTTGGCATTGACTGTGCTAGTGGAGACACATTCACAGACAAAGCCAACAGCGGCCTTTCTATGGTAAGCCATTTAATTTCAAAGCTACTTATCACTAGAATTTTAAAAGTCTGTGTTTTTATGTAGTGCATTTAATACTTCAGAAAAACAACCACAGAAGTTTTCGTTGAGTACCACAGTCATCAAGTTAGTTGTGGCTCTTTGAATGTTGGTTATAGCTCTTTGAATGTCAATTAGACAAGTGCTCTGTAAGCTAACTTACCTGGTTTTTCATAGTAAAAAGGAAAACTTGGAGGATCCACAATCCTCCCAAGTTTAGCAAGGAGGAAATATCTCCACCAGATGGTACCTGGACAGTGTGGCTCTGATTCCTCCACCCTGAGACCTGCTTCCACACTTGGGGTGCATTTCTAATTGTTACCACTAACATCAAGCTAGTTTCAGTGGAGTGCTACTTCCTTATTAACTCAGTAGCCAGAAAGTATACTGTTCCCTCAATCCCTTTTGAGACCAGACTGTAACATTTAGACTAGACTTGGGATAACAGAACATAACCAGGCTCAGAAGGCAATAGGCAATATGCAACTACAGAGTCTGACTTATATAAATAGCCTGCCCTTTGGAACTCAGAAGTCCCTTTTTATCATTGAGGGATTCTGAGGGAAGAGCATGCACAGGTAGCTCCTGCCTTTGAATTCCCTTCACTCACTCACCTTTTTTGCCTCTGTAGGAGAGCAAACTCTCTTACATTATGACCATCTGTTTATGAGAGTGATCTCTTTTATGAATTCAGTAAAGAAAGAGTATGATGAGTACATAGGGTGACAGGTAATTTGCAGTGGGTCATTTACATAAGTACTGACCCAACTCTAACAGAATAGCACTGTAATACTTCCTGCTATCTAATGATGAATTCATGATTTTATAGTTTAGTTTTTTTATCTGTAGTATCCTCTAATGTGTATATTATTACCTGTTGATTTAAGACACTACAAAAAAAACATAAATCTATACAATTTTTGTTTGAGATCTAGATAAAAGGAATGTTTTCTAAGTATTATTGATAAGGCCTTCTCTAAGTACTGGTCATTAGCAACATGAAGTGATTGGTAGTTGTGGGAAGTGCTTACCAAGGCATTGAAACAAACAGGCCTTGGTTAGAGTCTCACCTTTGCCCTATACTACCTACTGGCCCTTAGCCAATTTGTTTTACCTTATTTCCAAGCCTTTAGTGACTGCATTCGTAAAATGGGGATAATACCTGCTTCTCAGAGTTGTAATTCATTAAATGAGGTGTCATGGGTATGAAGAATTTGGTGCCCTTTCTCTGTTTGCCTTATCAGTAATTGTATTATATTTTGATTAAATAAAATAACTTAGAAGATTGCAACAGCCACCAAGCAATAAGAATTTCACATCTCAGTATTTGGATTAATTGTAGTGATTATGTTAAACAGGGCAATAAATACATTCATTAATTTTATTTTGGGAAGGAGGAACCTATATAAGTAGATAGCTTTATTTATTTATTAATATGTTGTATTAATGTACTTATTTAATGCAAAACAGATCAAGATATATGTTGTCTAGCCTAAAGACATAGGCTACTATTTATCCTTTGTTCTGTTGTAAAGTGGCACATTAAAATTAATCTATCCCTGACCCATATGGGTCTGTTTTTTAATTCTTCTGTTTTCTTTTAAAAAATATTTTAGGAGTCAATTCATGTTCCTGATCCTGTCATTTCAATAGCAATGAAGCCTTCTAACAAGGTAGGAGTTTGATTTAAAGCTCAGTATATCACAATTAAAACTTGAGCTCTTTTTCATCTATCTCTACAATGCACTTGATATCTTGTAATAACCAGCAGTCTTATGGTCTCTATTTCCTCTGTTGGTATTGAGATCTTCTTTTTAAATTTACCAGTCTGTTTCTAATGATAACTCCTCAGTATATTTGAAGAAATGGATGGTATTAAAATATTCACCTGACTGTACTTTATAACTCTTTACTATATTGTTGGCTTCAGAGTGTTAAGTGTAACTTCCCGGATTCAGATCATACACAATTGGAAAAGGGGAATCGGGCACTTCTCCTAAGTTGTAGTAAAACCCCACTATAAAGTACTTTAGAATGTTGAACTGATTAATTGACTCATGGGTTATAAAATAGCTCTAGGTTTTCTGGTAGTTATGAGGTAAATGTCTGAGTATTGCATGGAAAGCCTGTAAATAAGACTTTTTTCCACTTTGAAATATTTTTTAAGATAATTTTATACTTTATAGTTTTATAATTGGGTTTGATGTAATTTAGCTTTTAATAAATCCAAAATTGCATGATTAGGTTTTGCATTTTCATTCTTTGCCATGGGAATTAGTCTGATCTCAAACCATAACTTTTTAGTTCTTAAGTTGCCTTGGCATTCATAACAATCATGTTAATGTGGTATATTGAAATTCACTTATTCATACATTGAGTGAACTTTTTATGATTTGTTATACAGAACTTATTACAAAACATACTCTGATGAATTGTCACGTGTGATAATATCACTAACAGCTGCTACTACTACATCTATTTTGAGGAACCTTGGGATTTTCCAGACCTTTTCTCAATATAGAAAAGAGAAAATTGAGGTGGCAGGAAATATTAAATTTCTCCATTTTCTCAGGAATTTGAGGAAAGGTGAACCTTACATCTTAACCTCAGTAGGATGCCATAGTTTATTCCAAGTACATTGTTAAAATTGCTTGCTTTTCTCTTTGGAAGTATGCAAGGTTAGAACTTATGCTTATGTATTATGCTTCTTCATTCCTAAATTCAGAGTTTATTTAAGGCATTTAACTGTTGATAATTTACAATAAGGAGGGAAATCAATGCTTCAATATCCAGAAGGTTTTTTGTTGTTTTGGGGTTGTGTATGCATTAAAAAGTTTAAAGATGGCTGCTTGCTGGAGTAAGTTAATTTAAATCGAATAATGAAGTCTCCATGAGTCTCAATAGTGGGGGCAGGCATGATGTTTCTAATTTGAGAGTATCTGGCTTGTGCAGAAAAAAGGCAAAAGACCTAGAAAGACTAAACTGGGATTCAGTCCCAGCTTTGCCATGCAATAGCTGTGTGGCCTTGAACAAATCACTTAACCTCTCTGTACCTCATTTCCTCACCTGTAAAATGTGGATAATTCTGCCTTGCAGCATTGTGGTTGGGATTTGAGAAAACATAGGCAAAACACATACCACAGCTCCAGGTATGTGGTAAATGATAGCTGTTAATATTGGTTGTACTGGGCATGTTAGTTTTCTATTGCTGACTTAAGAAGTTACCACAAACGTAGTGGCTTAAAACAACACAAATATATACTTTTATAGTTCTGTGGATCATAGGCTGATAGCTGTTCTCAAAGGGCTAAATTAATCAAGATATTGGTAATGTTGTTTTCCTTTCTGGAGGCTCTATGGGAGAATTTCTCTCCTTCTTACTCAGGTTATTGGCAGTATTCAATTCCTTGTGGTTGTAGGATGGGGGTTCCCCATTTCTTTGAAGACTGTTACCTGAGGGCTGTTCCTAGCTTCTAGAGGCTACCCACCTTCCTTGGCTTGTGGCCCCCTGCCTCCATCTTCAGTGCCGTCAACAGCTGGTTAAGTCCCTTTCTTGCTTCAGATATCTCCTGCCACTTCTTCCTTCATGGAATCCCTCTGACCCCCCCTTCTAGCTTCCTCCTCCATGTTTGAAAGGCACACATGATTATGTTGTATCCACCTAGATAATTGATAACAATCTCCCCATCTCCAGGTCTGTAACCTTAGTTACATTTGCAAAGTCCCCTTTACTATGTAAGGCAGCGTATTGTCAGATTTGGGAGGATTAGGGTATCTTTGGAGGGCCATTAATCTGCTTACCACGCGGGATTACATGGCATCTAAGGAGAAAAAGGGTACATCATACCACATCCAAGCAGATTGTTTTGAAAGGGACAAGTCTCATCGTGGTATTTGCCTATTTGTTGGTCTTAAGTATCCTGCTTGGATCTACAGTAGTGTCTTGGTAAACATGCTGATTCCTTTGATTATGTATAGGATTTCTAAAATGTAACACAGATTCCAATTTCTGCTTTATGGGCAATTTTCACAAAAGGACAGTGTGTCAATGTAAGAGGACAGGGCATAGAGTTAAGTCTTGGACTCTTGTTTTCTATCTTGGTGTGGAAAGAAAATTCTGTTCAGTGAGCTATTCCCTGCTGTCTTGGCTGTGTGGTATCCAAGCTCACATTGTTTTTAAAAATGGTGTGGAGTAGAACTAGATATGTATCATTTTTATTTCTTAACTGCTGATGTATTTTATTTCATTCAGTAAAGTTTTTTCTAAAATCCCATTGCTTATCATGCTCAGTAAAACATATAGTGACTTTCTTCTTCTTTTAAAGAACGATCTGGAAAAATTTTCAAAAGGTATTGGCAGGTTTACAAGAGAAGATCCCACATTTAAAGTATACTTTGACACTGAGAACAAAGAGACAGTTATATCTGGAATGGGAGAATTACACCTGGAAATCTATGCTCAGGTAATGAATAATAAGGAAGTTAAGTTGAAATCAATTTATTACTGTCTGTTTCATTAAAAGTCAATAATTCTCAATCTAATGTCTGTAACTAACTCTGGTTCTTCATGCGTCACTCTGGTTTGTATCCAGATGTGGTCTACTGCTTCCTCTACTATGTGTTACAAAATAATTATTTTCGATCTCTAAATCTTTTTATTTGTAAAACGTTCTGGACTCCTAGAATCAAGGCTCAGGGGATTTGCAACAAGAATATCTGTCCATCCCCAGGTCATGGGTAACTGGGTCAAGTAAATCCTGGTCCAAGCCTTAGGGAGACAACCTGCGGTTGTACCAACTTTTCAGGCCATTTCTTCTCAAGTCATTACTTGAAGATCATTATAATATAGATAAAAGGAAGGGAAGATGGGGCCTATACCTTCCCAGGAAAGGTCTTGTATGTATTGATATATAAGTAAAAACCAAAGATATGTGATTAGAAATTTTGGTGAGATCTTATCTTTGAAGTTGAGATAGAAAATCCTGACAACAGATTTATATATTATTCCAGTGAATATGTAATAATATTCAACAATGGTGACGTTTTAGTGGTTAGATTAATTGGAGGTAAATATAAATTAATCAATGTAACTTAGAATTCATTTATATAAAATCTGTAAAAGCAGTTTGTATTAAGTATCACATACCTAATCCTTATAAGATACTAAAATGATTTAAGATTTGTTTATCTATTATATTTAAGTGAATGCTACTAAGATATATAAGATGCTTAGGAGGTTTTCTTTCGGTTTATTTTTTTAAATTTAAATAATATTTTCCCCACTCTTTTTAGAGGCTGGAAAGAGAGTATGGCTGTCCTTGTATCACAGGAAAGCCAAAAGTTGCCTTTCGAGAGACCATTACTGCCCCTGTCCCGTAAGTATGCAACGTAATTAAACATTATGAGGCTGAAATTGAAGCTTTTTATTTTGGATATACATACCACTATTACTGTTTTAAAGACATTTTTATGTAGTGATACTTTGTATTATGGACTCTATAAAGTTCTATACTGTAATCAAGACATTTATATAAAGTGACACTTTGGGATTATTTGGCCTCATAAGCTAGATGCCAGTGAAATTGGCATACACATCAATAGACATGTTTACACTTCCAGTGTTAGGGTTTTTGTTTATTCCAGTTGTACTTCCTTTGGCAGACGGCTATTATGTTTTACTTTAGTGCCGTATTGTGGATGCCAGAGAACTTGCATTTGCCAGGGAATAATCTCCTGCAAGTGAAGAAAATTAATGCCATGATAAAATTCAGAAAACATTTAGGAAAACGTAGTTGGGTTTATGTTTTGTTAGAGATAAAACAGTCTTCACAAAGAATAGTACTTTTGTTAAATTGCTGCAATTATAATATACTTAAATCTGGTGCCTATCTGGATTTACATGAATTCTGATTTAGAGTCAAAATTAATAAAGCATACTGTGGCTATACAAGGAGTCTCAGTTTTCAGAATGGCATCAAATAAAGGTAAATTATACTTTACCTGAGATGCTATATTATGAAGTAGAATGGTGTAGTCTAATTCAATAAAGTCATCATTTCTTTGCTATGACAAAAAATAAAAACGTGTTGTTTAAAACTTAATATCTTTGGCAAAAATTACATTTAATTTTGAAAATCATCTTTGATTAGATGAATATAATATTTCCATTTAGGTAAAAATAAAAATTGAATGTCATAATTTCAATTTAATGTGACAAAATCTATTCTCTTACACTAAATAAAGTGTTCTTTCAAGATGCATTTTAAAATCATGATCTTATATTTGTTCCCCAAGAAATGTTTACCTGTTTTTAGTTTCCAAGTTGTGGTGGCTACTTAAGAGAATTAGCAAGTGTAGCTTGTTATTTAAGAATGCTCTGTGTTTCCATTGTACAGAAAAGCATAATTTATGGGATAAGCTATAGCAATGGGTGTTTACATTGAAAGAATCCAATTTTATAACAGAAATTCTCTTTTTGAAAACTGAAAATAAGGCCGAGCACAGTGGCTCACACCTATAATCCGAGCACTTTGCGGGGCTGAGGTAGGCAACTTGCCTGAGCCTAGGAGTTCAAGACCAGTCTGGGCAACACAGTGAAACCATGTCTCTATGAGAATAAACAAAAAATTAGCCAGGCATGCCTGTGTGTGCCTGTACTCCCAGCCACCTGGGAGGCTGAGGTGGGAGGACCGCCTGAGCCTGGGAGATTGAGGCTGCAGCGAGCCATGATCACACTAATGCACTCCAGCCTGGGCAACAGAGTGAAACCCTGTCTCAAAAACAGGCAAACAAACAAAAAAACCAGAACACCTGAGAATAGTAAAATGTAGTGAGTGTAGTTGTGTGATTGTGTAATTAAAGCTTTTTTCTGTACTGTACAGTAGAGGGAAAAAACAGATAGTTTCAGTATGGCATGACTATAGTAATTTGAACACAAAACTTAGATTGCTAAGGGAAATAATCTGTATTAAGCTGAGCACAAAAGCTAAATGTTGGATTATAACTCAAGACTTCACTCTTCTGAAAGCACAGCTTTGCTTGTGACTGCCATAAAAAGTGGCCCTGAGGATCTCTATAGAGCAGATTAAAGGTGAGGAGAGTCATTACAATTGTCCCTTAGTATCCATGGAGGATTGGTTCCAAGATTCCCCTCAGATACCAAAATGCACGGATGCCCAAGTCTCTGACATAAAACAGTGTAGTATTTGCGTATAACCTATGCATACCTTCTCATATACTTTAAATCATCTCTAGATTACTTATAATACCAAATACAATCTAAATGTTATATAAATAGTTGTTATATTACTTAGGGAATCATGACGAGAAAAAAATCTGTGCATGTTCAGTACAGATGCTACCATCCATTTTTTTCCCCCAAATATTTTTGATTCTCGGTTGTTTGTATCCATAGATGCAGAACCCATGGAGAGGCCTGACTGTATATTGTACACCTGGGATTCTGTCTTGCTGCTACTAATAAAACTCTCTCAACCTTTTTGTTCTAGAAGAGGGTTTGAGGAAAGTATCATAGTTAAATCTGACTTGACTAACCCGAAAGATTAAGAGCTATGATTACCGTGATGCTTTTTGAAAGTGCAGTCTAGATACTGTGTATTAACAGGAAGTGTTTCACTGAAATCCTTGGCTTTGCCTTGCTTTTGTTATGCTTCCTAGTCTCTATGTTCCCAGAGCATGCAACTAACAAAGCACAGTTATTAGGCAAGTTTGAGGCAAAGGAGGCCTGTGGTTTGCATCTCTCAGCCAAATCAAACAACTTTTTAGACCAGTTACTGTTGCTTTGGACTCTTCCTACAATTCTTCACCTTCTCTAATCTTGATTGTACCTGACCTCCCCTTTGAAATCCCAGGTTTGCTATTAAATACAAAATGACTATAGGAATACTGTTAATCCAATTATGAATTACAATACTTTCGATAAATATTAACCCCATTAATAGTGTATTTTATAGAAACTACTTACCACTTGCTTGACAGTTTGAATTTTTACCATTTTATACCATGTGTCTTCAGTAGAATTTTGCCATATTATATAACCACAGGCAACCCAGGCTAAATGTAGAACGAGCGTCATTTCTGGAGATACATTTCCAAAATTGTCTGGTAGGAGACACATTTATATGATAATCATATATATAGTATTAACCTTTTAAAACAAAATCTAAATTCTAAATCATGTCTTAGTTTCCTTCGAATGTTGTGCAAAAAATAATTTAATTAAGCTATGGATCTATAAAATTTCTGAGGCCTCTTTTTTGTTGGATTGGATTAGAAATGAGTATTTTTGCAAAAGCCTGTAAGTTTCTAACATACTTAGCAACTAACAATTTTAAGCACAGATAATTGAGATTGATTTTAAGTTTGAATCAAACAAATGGTTTTCATGCCATATTTATATACCTGGAATATTTTGTGCTTCTAGCGGTTCCTTCATGGACTTAAGTCTTTGATAAAATGTGTTGTCTTCTTCATCTGGATTCTTTCCAGTTTCTCCTTCAAATGTGAAGTTGACTTCTGGTGCAGTTTCTTGTCCCGTTGAAGGGTAAAGTACTTCAGCTGTGCAGTTCACCTTAACTTGCTGTTTGAAATTTAGCAAAATATCCTTATATACAGAAGGCTATTCATTATTAATTATCATCTTTGAGATATGATTTAAAGCATAGGCTCCTAATGGTGTTGTTTTAGACTAGACTTCAAAGTGCTTGTTTTCAGAGGTATCTAATTGGGCCTGGCCTATTAAATTCTAGACTTATCATGTGAATACCCTAAAATAGATAACTTACTTTATAAATGATATGGTGTCATAATCTTATGAATTCTAGTCTTAAAACTTTCAGTATATTTCAGTATTAATGGGGTGTCCATTTGCAAGGCCAGATTTTAATCTGACTTTATATACCAACTCAAGACTGGTTACTTTTAAAGTTTTTCCATTACTCTTACTCTTTGCTCCTGAAATAACAAAGTTTTTGAAATGCAGATGCAGCAGTCTGTGTCTGGATATAAAATTAGAAGATTATGGCATTGGGTTATGCTTTGTAAAGATGGCTGTCTAGCAGCTCAGATGCCTTTTAATGAATCTCTTTATGAATTATGCTCAACAGAAAGGCAAGCTTTTTAAAATTTCAAGATGGCTGTGGTACAGATTGCAGTTCCTTTCTTTTAAGTTTGTCTCATTAATAATTTGACAGTTGTGTATAATCTTTAAAATTTCCCTTCCCCATTACTGAAAGATCTTCATCTGAATGGTGGTATCAGCTGGCATTCTATTGCTTCTGAATATCTAAGAGCACGTTCTTTCTCTAAAAACCCAGTGAAAAATAGAATGAGAAAAGCAGACGTTAAGAAGATGATTGATTGGGGAATAAATTACTTCACTCATTTATATTAGGCATAAGTTCAGACTGCCCTAAGAGTATGTAACTTCTTAAGAAATTCATTTGAACTGAAGTGTATAGTCTTTTTTTGTGTAGTTTGGTAGAAATAATTCATATACCTAGGAATACCCAAAGATAGTAAAGAACTGATCCTTGTAAACTTTGCCCATATGGTCAGTGTTTTTCAGAGGCAGGTATTTCACAACAACTTTTTAAAAAGAGGTAAAACTAATCAATCTTACAGATTTGATCAGCAAAGATGATCTGGAATATTTAGAATTAAATTTGTTTAATAAGAACATTTTGGCTGGGCTTGGTAGCTCATGCTTGTAATCCTAGCACTTTGGGAGGCAGAGGCAGGAGGATCACAAAAATTAGCCAGGTGTAGTGGCATGCACCTGTGGTCCCAGCTATTTGGGGAGGCTGAGGTGGGAAGATGGCCTGAGCCCGGGAAGTTGAGGCTGCAGTGAGCCATGTTCTGCCACTGCACTTCAGCCTGGGTGATAGAGTGAGACCCTGTCTCAAAGAAAAAAGAAATTTAACTTACTTTTTGTATAATTTCTTCAACAGCAAATTTAAGGTGATACTTATGTCCTCTTCCTGGAATATCCTAAAATTAAGAAAATGTAGTGGAGACAAGAAAATATTATAACAACATTATACTTGCATTGTTAGAAGTATGCATCTCATTTGGTTGGAGGGGCTGGCTGAAGGGGAATGGTGAAAGCCTTAGGTCTTGAAAAAGGCATGTCACCATGAATGTAACATCTAATTTAGCAAGTCCCCTATCAAGTTTATTTTGGATGAAAACAAAAGAGTAGGATAAAAGCATACAAATTGGGCACAATTCACTTTCAATCATCAAAAGACTTTATTTAACCCCTGGATCTGTGATCTTAAAGTCTCTACATAAGAAAGTTTGAAACAGCGTTTAATTCTAAAGATGACAATATCACCTTTGAAAAGATTTTTTCATAAAGCTCAGTGTACCCTCCAAATAATGTTCAATGAATGTGAATTTCATTTTGAGGCAGATTACTGCAAAGCAATTGGAGACTTAATACAATTAAGTATTGTTTTTACTTATACATTAGTGAAACTGCAAAATGATTAACAAATTATATAAGACTAAGAAATGGTATTTCACTTTTAAATCAAGATACAGATTGAAAATTTATACCTAATTCTGTTATCTGGTACAGTTTCAAAATAAGATCTACTGTGTCACCTCTAAAAGACTGTTAGCAGTTAAAATTCTGTCAGATAAATAAGGGATAATCTCAAATCCAGTAGATTTTCGTAAAATGAAAACAAACCTCGTTAGTGATTGCTGAGGCCTTAAACATTTAATTCAAGCCTTTAGCAGAGGGTGCACATCATTTAAGGCAGTCATGTGGTAGCGGTGTTTGGGTGGCTAAAGGCCAGCGTCAGCCCACAGTGCTTTTATTCTTTGACTTTGATTGTCAGTTTCTCTTGCTGTTTGTTTCCCCCTTCATTTTGGTCAAAGGGTCTGATAAGGATTTGTCTTAAAATGTAGGCAATAGAGTCTTGGAAGATGGGAGCTTTTGTTGGTCCAGATCAGAGTAGCAGATGAGAAACGTGGCAGCCTTAGTAGTCTTTTGAATGGTTTCTACAGTTTACACTTAAGGAAAGTGCTGCCCCTTACCTAGAGCGTGTTCCCGTTTTCTTGTAACTGTGTGCGTAAAAACTTTGTCTCTGCCTTAAGGTGAAAACAGTCCCGGGCTGTCTCCAGAGACTGGAGTATAGACATTCCCCCAGAAACCTTAATATCTCAAGACCAGATACCAGCAGTGTGTCCTAAAACAGAAGGTGGGTAGGGGGTGGCACGGAGTGTCTGCACCCAAAGGCTGAGACCGCGGGTGAGTGGAGGGAGCGCAATCCTGAAGCCTCTGCTGTCCACCACCCCCTGCTAAACTCACCTCCATGCTGGCTTGTTTGACCTTCTGCACCTCAAACACCCTGTGCGGGGTCCCCTGCTGGTAGTTGATGTAGTTCTGTGCCACCAAGGCCGCCCTGGAGGCTGGGTAGTTGGTCGGCGGGATTTCCATTCCGGATGAGCAGTGACTTCAGGGCTTGGGCTACTCTGGCTTAACGGGACCAGTAGCAGAGCGCCGCCCGTCCTGCTTGCTGCTGGGTCCGGTTGCCGAGGCGGAAAAGTCGCAAGCTCCTTCAGTCAGTCTTCTTCCTCAGCTCCTTCCGACTCCGGAAGCTGCTGTTTGGGCCCAGGCTCCCTGCATCCGAGAGCCCTGGGCTGACTGCTTCTGAGGCCCCGCCCCACTACTGCCTGCAGCGGGCTTCCTTACTCCGCCTGCTGGTTCCTACTGGAGGAGAGGCCAGCATGCTTGTCAGGCACCAGCAGGTGGAGGTGTGGGGAGGGAGTCAGTGGGCTAGGTTCGCTGGGATTGCATCTTTCGTTTCATTAACCTTTATAGAAGTGCAGGGTGGGGCTTTCGCTGATATAGGACATCTCTGAAGACTCTAGTTTCCTGTCCATGGGAAAAAAGTCTGGTTGCTTCGCTTGCATACTGGAGCACAACTTCCTTATACACCGCATGCAGCGTCCCTGGCAGGGCAAGGTACACAGTACTCCAGGTAGTGATTCGATTCCTTCATTTCCCTTCCCCTTATGAGAGTCCAGGAAGAGGCTTGCTCATCCTCAGCTTTTTGTGGGTTTGGACCAGTTCTGCCCAAATCAAAGTATGAGAATCTGCAAACTATAGTATTAAATTGGGAGATTATGTAATTTGGATCAGGAGAAATAAAAAAATGCACCTGTACCCCTCTCCTTTACTAATCTTAAAATGATAAGTTTTGATGTAACGCCATGCTTCCAACTTGAGTCATTTTGAATATTTTACTTCAAGGATTAAAATAAACTTAAAAACTGAACTTATACAAAGCACTCTCTCTGGTATGTGGTCTACCTCATTGCAATGGGCCTATAAACCTGACTTTGTAGAAGTACAGGTTTATCCTTGGTGGTCTTAGGTTAATTGGGCTAGGATAACTTGGAGATTCTACCAAAGTTTGGCCAAGGTCTTCGCTGCCTGGATTGAGACCTTTTTTTCTTTTCTTTTCTTTTTTTTTTTTTTTTTTTTGAGATGGAATTTCACTCTTGTTGCCTAGGCTGGAGTGCAATGGTGCTATCTCGGCTCACTGCAACGTCCGCCTCCTGGGTTCAAGCAGTTCTCCTGCCTCAGCCTCCAGAGTAGCTGGGATTACAGGTGCCCACCACAATGCCCGGCTAGTTTTTTGTATTTTTAGTAGAGACGGGTTTAGGCTAGGCTGGTCTCAAACTCCTGACCTCAGGTGATCCACCCACCTTAGCCTCCCAAAGTGCTGGGATTACAGGCATAAGCCACCATGCCTGGCCAGGACCTTTAACTTGGTAGTAATGCACACACCCAAGACTCTTGAGGTGTATCTCTTTCTGATTATGTAGATTCTGCAGTAAATCTGGATTCTGGACTTTGGCCTCAGTTTCATGCTTATTATTGTCTCCTGGGATTTGGGGGTTCTGATTGACTTTGCCTTTAAATACCATCTGTCTGCTTGCCCATCATCTTGTATCAAATGTCAATGAAACTTTTCTCAGTCTTGTCCGTGTATGAGAAATTTGCTTTGCGAGACACTGTCTTTCACACATGACCTTTTTTTTTTTTTTTTTGGAGACAGAGTTTCGCTCTGTTGCCTAGGCTGCAGTGCAGTGGCGTGATCTCGGCTCACTGCAACCTCCACCTCCCAGGTTCAAGCATTTCTCCTGCCTCAGCCTCCCTAGTATCTGGGACTACAGGTGCACTTCACCACACCTGGCTAATTTTTTTGTATTTTAGTAGAGATGGGGTTTCACCATGTTGAGTTCAGGCAATCCTCCCTCCTCTGCCTCCCAAAGTGTTAGGATTACAGGCATGAGCCACCGTGCCTGGCCTCTCCACGTTTCTTAGTTCAGCATTTGTTAAACCCTGACCCACCCATGGCAATATTTTTGCAAATACAGAATATCAGCCAATTTTCGATGGGGTTGTCAGATACGAACTTACACTGTCTCCTGGGATAAATTTACCAAAGAATTGGTGAAATTTGGGGAACTTTGACATGAAGAAGACTGTTCATTTGAGAGACACTTTAGAAGAACACCAGAAATAAAAAAATAAGACTTTCGGAGAACAGTATTTGTCTTATTTGTCTAAGAGCATTTTAAGTAGAAGACTGCCCATATTTTATTTCCATACTTCAAGGTTTTTTATTAATAACATGGCTTATATTTAAGCTTTTTCCTCTCTCCTTGAAAAGAAAAGATAATTAGCGTTTTACAGTGATAATTTCATATTTGTCTAAAACTGGCTGTAGCTCACCTTTTCCTGTTTCTCATTTTCTTTCATTAAAAATTTGAAAGATGATTCATGAGACTAAGTCATTCTGTCATTATATGTGCAGTCCAGGAATATCTAGTCCAAATAAACAGCCAAAAATGTCTAAGAAAAAAATCATTGTGCTTTAAAAAATGTGTAAAAATTAATGTGGTCAAATGAACTTAAATAGCCTTTATTATTATGTTTATAAGGAGCAAGTTTACGGCCGGGAGCAGTGGCTCACGCCTGTAATCCCAGCACTTTGGGAGGCCAACGCAGGTGGGTCACGAGGTCAAGAGTTCAAGACCAGCCTGGCCAATATGGTGAAACCCCGTCTCTACTTAAAATACAAAAATTAGCCGGGCGTGGCGGCGGGCGCCTGTAATCCCAGCTACTCGGGAGGCTGAGGCAGGGAACTGCTTGAACCCAGGAGGCGGAGGTTGCAGTGAGTGGAGATCATGCCACTGCACTCCAGCCTGGGTGACAGAGTGAGACTCCATCTCAAAAAAAAAAAAAAAAAAAAAAAAACAAGTTTTCAAGATAAAAGAGGAGCTCTTAAACATGATTTAATGATTTTTGAATATAAAGTTTATAAATTATATTTTTAAAAATGTATAAAATATTTCTGATTAATAGATGAATTTGGGTGAGCTGTAACAAAATAATATTTATTTAAAGTTGATTATATGTCTTCCAGGTTTTATTACATAATGATAAAATATTCCAAGTTCATATAAAACTGAATTTGATCTTTTCATGATCTAAACTTTCTAAATTTTATATATTGATCAAATGGGCCAAACAAGTTACTGATTCAATCAGTTGTATAAGATTACAAAATATAAAATGGTGTTTAAATAAAATTTTAATACAGATGTCTTTTAAAGGAGTTTTAATCTTATAAAATTATGCTTCTATTATAAAGACCAAATGTGTTAACTAAAATTATAATTTTTCAGATCTCCAGTTAACTTTCAGGCCCTTACATAATGTTCAATTAGTCCTGGGATAATTGGACAATTTCTGACTAATACATGATACAGAGCTTTGGTTACTAAAGAGAGTTTCAGTTTACCTTTATTCTTATACATTATAAAATGATTATGAATTAACACAATGTGCAGATACTTTGGTTGTTATATATGTGTTGTTTTGCCACCTTAAAATTATAGAAGTAATCTAAAATTTGTATTTATAAAAATTTAGCTAACCAGGTGCAGTGGCTCACACCTGTAATCCTAGCACTTTGTGAGGCTGAGGTGGGAAGATCGCTTGGGCCCAGGAGGTTGAGACTAGTCTGAGCAACATGGCGAAGCCCTGTCTGTAAACTACACAAATTAGCCAGATGTGATAGCATGTGCCTGTAGTTCCAGCTACTCGGGAGGCTGAGGTGGGTGGCTCACTTGAGCACAGGGAGGAGGTTGCGATGAGCCGAGATTGCACCAGTGCACTCTAGCTTGGATGAAAGAACCAGACCCTGTCTCAAAAAAAAATTTTAGCTTGACATTTCTTGGTTTTCTGTCTTCTGGTTTTCTCTTTGGGAAAGCAAAAGTTGATTACTTTGGTTAAAAGTGGTGATTAATAAGAATAAGAATATACTTGGTATAATAACTACAGAAAAACATGAAAATAAATATATATGTACACACAAGATATGAATTTTATTAGTTTGTTAGAATGGTAATTTCAATGTGATATATATACTGTTTTATTTAATATACTGATAAAGTGAGTTGTCAGAATATTACATTAAATATGAAATTTAAAATTAAAAACCTTAATTATATTTTCCATTTTTAAACAGACATACCTCATTTTATTCAACTTTATTGTGTTTCACAGATAGTATGTTTTTTACAAATTGAGGGTTTGTGATAACCCCATGTGGAACAAGTCTATCAGCTCCATTTTTCTTTTTCTTTTTTTTTTTTTTTGAGACAGAGTCTCACTCTTATCACCCAGGCTGGAGTGCAGTGGTGCAATCTCAGCTAACTGCAACCTCCGCCTCCCAGGTTCAAGCAATTCTCCTGCCTCAGCTTCCCGAGTAGCTAGGATTACAGGTGCCCGCCACCATGCCCGGCTAATTTTTGTATTTTTAGTAGAGACAGGGTTTCACCGTATTGGCCAGGCTGGTCTCGAACTCCTGACCTCAAGTGATCCACCCGCCTCGGCTTCCCAAAGTGCTGGGATTACAGGCATGAGCCGCCACGCCCGGCCTCACCTCCATTTTTCTAATAGCATATTCTAACTTCACATCTCTGTGTCACATTTTGGTAATTCTTGTAATATTTCAAACTTTTTCATTATTATTATATCTGTTATGGTGATCTGTGATTGGTGATTTCTGATGTTATTGTAATTTATTTTGAGGTACCATGAAACCTGCCCATATAAGATAGCAAACTTCATCCATATAATTGTATATGTTTTGACTGCTCTACCTACCAGTTGTGCTTGCACATTCTCTCTCTCTCTGTCAAAGCTTAATCCAGAGGAAGGCTCTAACTCTGTTCAATTTTATGAAGGCTGAGAGAGGTGAGAAAGTTGCAGAAGAAAAGTTTGAAGCTAGCAGATGTTGGTTCATGAGGTTTAAGGAAAGAAGCCATTTCTAACGTAAAAGTGAAAGGTGAAGCAGCAAGTGCTGATGTGGAAGCTGCAGCAATGATCAGTGGTCTCCTAAGATCGTTGATGATGTTGGCTACACAGAACAACAGATTTTCTTTTTTCTTTTTTTTTGAAATGGAGTTTCACTCTGTCGTCCAGGCTGGAGTGCAGTGGCACGATCTCGGCTCACTACAGTGAGCCTCTGCTTCCTGGGTTCAAGCAGTTTTCCTGCCTCAGCCTCCCAGGTAGCTGGGATTACAGGCATCTGCCACCATGCCCGACTAAGTTTTGTATTTTTAGTAGAAACAGAGTTTCACATGTCGGTCAAGCTGGTCTCAAACTCCTGACCTCGTGATCCACCTGCCTCGGCCTCCCAAAGTGCTGGGATTACAGGCATGAGCCACCATGCCTGGCCAAACAACAGAGATTTTCAGTGTAGATGAAACATCCTTCTTTTGGAAGAAGATGCCATCTGTGACTTTCATAGCTGGAGAGAAGTCAGTGCCTGGCTTCAAATCTTCAAAAGACAGGCTGTGACTCTCTTGTTAGGGGCTAATGCAGCTGGTGACTAAGTTTGAAGACAGTGCCCCTTTCTCATTGTCAAAATCCTAGGGCCCATAATAATTATGCTAAATCTACTCTGCTTGTATTCTGCAAATGGAATAACAAAGCCTGGATGACAGCATGTCTGTTTACAGCATGGCTTACTGAATGTTTAAAATCCATTGCTTAGAAAAAAATGATTCTTTCAAAAGATTACTGCTCATTGACAATTAACCTGTCACACAAGAGCTCTGATGGAGATGTACAAAGAGATTAATGTTGTTTCCATGCCCGCCAATACAACATTCATTCTGCAATCCCTGGATCAAAGAGTAATTTTGACTTTCAAGTCTTATTATTTAAGAAATACATTTTGTAAGGCGATCGCTGCCATAGGTTGATTCCTCTGATGGATCTGGACGAAGTAAATTGAAAACCTTCTAGAAAGGCTTCACCATTCTAGATGCCATTAAGAACATTTGTGATTCCTGGGAGGAGGTCAAAATAACATTACCAGGAGTTTGGAAGAAGTTGATTCCAACCCTCATGGATGACTCTGAGGAGTTTAAGACTTCAGTGGGTGAAGTAACAGTGAATGTATTGGCAATAGCAGGAGAATTAGAAGTGGAACCTGAAGATGTGACTGAAGTCCTACAATTTCATGTTCAAACTTGAACAGATGAGGAGATCCTTCTTCTATGGATAAGCAAAGAAAGTAGTTTCTTGAGATGGGATCTACTCCTGTTGAAAACGCTGCAAACATTGTTATTACAACAAAGGGTAAAACCTGGTTGATAAAGCAGTGGCAAGGTTTGAAAGGATTGACTCCAGTTTTGAAAGAAGTTCTACTATGGATATAATGCTATCAAACAGCGTCACATACAACAGAGAAGTCTTGTGAAAGGGAAAGTCAATCGATGTGGCCAACTTCATTGTTGTCTTAAGAAATTGTCATGTGACTGGGTGAAGTGGTTCACACCTTTAATTCCAGCTACTTGGGAGTCTGAGGCAGGAAGATCACTTGAGACCAGGATTTTGAGACCAGCCCTGGGCAACATAGTGAGACCCATCTCTAAAAAACATTTTAAAAGAAATTGCCACAGCCACCTCAACCTGCAGCAGCCATCACCTTGATCAGTCAGTAGCTATCAGCATCAAGCTAAGACCCTCTAGGCTCCTAGACCTTCAGTCTCCACTTCTAGTTCTGATGCTGATGTTTCAGCTGATTGTTAGCATGTTTTAGCAATACAGTATTTTTAAATTAAGGTATGTATGGTGGGATTTTTGTTTAGACATAATGCTATTGCATACTTAATAGACTACAGTATCGTGTAAACATATAGCTTTTATAAGCACTAGGAAAACAATTTGTGTGACTTGCTTTATTGCGATATTAGCTTCATTGCAGTGGTCTGTTACTGAACCCACAATGCCTCCAAGATATGCCTGTATGTTTTGATGCTTTGAAAAAGAAAATGAACAAAAATGTATTTGTAATGTACTATCTTCCTCAAACTGTTTTAATTTATTTATAAATACAGTGTTTCTTTGGACTAAGTAGCTTTTAAAAAAATTAATAGCAATACAGCATTTCTCATCTTTTCTAGTTATATTAGCCAGCAACTATAAAGCAACTAAAGGATGAAATGGTTAGTTCTCCTCTTAAGGCTTTTTCTAAGAAGTTGGAGGAATTTTTTTCTCTAAATTTTTTTTTCCTTTTGATGAGTCATTTATCTGTGAGCCAGCCTCTTAGGTTGTCGTTGTGCATGTGAGTTTTTTTGAATAGGTCCTCTGTTGATAGTGTCCAGGAAAGTGGCTGAGTACATTCTGATAACTCAGAGCTTTTTGCTGATAATGAAATTTTGAGTTTCACAAATTGCTAGTTAATATCTCCTGTGTTACCACCAGTAGTGAGAAATACAATATGTGAGCTTCCTCAAGTCACCATTTTGAAGCCTTATGAATGCAGTCACCATCTCTGTATATCAAAGCTAGTAACATAGGTTATGAGATAATAGGCATTTAAAAGTACACATACCAATTTAGGCTGTCTTAAAAACATAATTAGTAGAAATGCCCATTGCTTGCAACTTTGTTATGACTCTAAAGTCAAAACAAATCTGCAAATTTGAGGTAAACAGCAAAGCCAACACAATTCTTACATATATGTATATATATTTTTCGTTGTTGAAAACAATGTGGCCCTGACATAATTTTTCTTTTTCAATTAAAAAAAATAGATTTAGTGGGTACAGGTGTAGTTTTGTTATATGGATATATTGGGTAGTGGTGAAGTCTGGGCTTTTAGTGTAATCGTCTGCCAAATAGTATTCATTGTACCCAATAGGTGAGTTCTCATCCCTCAACCTCTCCCCACCCAACAATTCTAATGAACGTTCATTTTAATGTGACAGATGTTTTGCCAAAATGAAATTGTCTTTCATAATGTGACATTTCTTTCACCTTCAGCATTTCTATTTAGCTGCCTGTCAAGCAGTCTTAGTTCTTCTACCTGTTCTTTTTCTAAACCACTGCAAAATCTGTCTTCTTGTAGCACCTTCGGTTAGCTTTTGAAGTGAATAAACTAACCCCAGCATTTGTAAGTTAGTTTATATCTTTTTTGTATTAGCCTTCTAGAAGAATGTTTAAGATGCTTGGTTTTAGAGCAAATCCTGACCCTACCACTTAATGCTCTGTCACATTGGGCAAGTTACTTAGTCTCTCTGTCCCTCAGGTTTCTCATGTGTAAAATGGTGATAAAAGTAATACCTATTTCATGGGTTTGTGGTAAAGAACAAGTAAGACAATCCATATAAGGTGCTTAACATAAGCCTGGCACATAAGTATTCTGTTGTTTGGCACGCTCTCGATTATAAATTCAGATATGGTTCCTGAAACTGTGTGGAATTACTTGTTTGCGATTTGGTCCTTTAGAGCAGTGCTGCCCAATAGAACTTGGTGCAGTGATGGAAATCTTTTAATTTAAATGTAAACAGCCATGGTTAGTTATTACCATATAGACATCACAGATCTAGAGTATGTTTGTATAGATGTTATACTGTTGACAAATGGAAAACATGATTTAAAATGTCTCATAGAGAACGTTGTGTATACTTGAGAATATGTCAGCGTTCCACAGTTTTGGAAATTTGCCTGTTGTAAGCTAGCATCTCCTACCAGCTTAGAACAGGCAAATATTGATATTTGCTTCTTCCAAACCACTCTCAGATTTGTATGCAGGAATGTGCAGTCATTAATGTCTATTTTCTTATGTGCTAATAATTTTGAAAGCAGCTGGCCTCTTCCATCTTGTGGTCTTGAGGAAGATTTCAATTTAAAGGAAGAAATGCCTTGCAAACAGTAGATACTCATGAAATGATTTTCCAGTGAAACAGTAGCCTGTGTTTACATATCTTTAGTATATATGTAAAGTGCTTATTCTATCATATTAATGTTGCCATTAGTGGTTTGAAGTAAACAGTGAACTGTGTTTATACATCTTTCTGTGTCTTTTGAATGACTTACTTATGTTAGTCTCTATCGTTTTGCCACCGATCATTTTCAGATATTAATTATTTCACTTGGAAATCCCTTTTCTTGTATTGCCTGAGTCTATAATGCCCAAGGAATAAAATCAAATAGGAACTATCTGAATAAATTAACTGTAGCCATCAAAGGTCCTATTTTCAAGTAGTTGTCTTTGGTTACAGAGATGTAAGGAAAGAACACTGTGTTCCAGGGAAATGGGCAAGGTTTTTGGAATACAGGTTATTAGAACAAGAACCTTAGACTGACCTTTTTCTTTTAATTACTCGACTTTTACTTTTTTATTTGTGAAATTTATCTGTATATTACCTTGGGTAGTATACCCCACCCTCACTTCAAGTAAGAACAGAAAACAGAGGGTTCTTTTTAAAATAAATTCTACAATAAACTTTTATAGCAAGACCATCATATTCAAATGAAAAAGTAAAAATAATCAAATGTGTTCTTTTAAATTAATAGGAGTTATTTTATTTTGTAATTACATAATGCTCCATTTTTTTTTTCCTAAATCACTTTCAGGTTTGACTTTACACATAAAAAACAATCAGGTGGTGCAGGCCAGTATGGAAAAGTAATAGGTGTCCTGGAGCCTCTGGACCCAGAGGACTACACTAAATTGGAATTTTCAGATGAAACATTCGGATCAAATATTCCAAAGCAGTTTGTGCCTGCTGTAGAAAAGGTAAATTTTTAAAAAAGTGTTTTTGCATTTTTACTTACTAAAAACAGTTTATCAGGTATTAAATCATACTTTGTCTTCCATCATGTTGTCTATCACAGTTTGTTTTAGTTACAGTCCTGTTTCTCTGATTGTTAAGCTTTCCATCTGATTTAGAATCTCTAATTCATTAAGCAGAAGAGCTGTAAATCCATGCTGTGACAATGATGGGAAATTATTATGTTTCTGAATCATAGTTATATTTTTCTTAATAAATTGAAACTACTGTATTGATTGTAATCAATTTGTAGTAGTTCTTAGGGATTTATAAGAGTTTTATGTGTACTATTGCAGCAGAATGATCATTCTTTAGATTCCCAACACCTGGGTGCTACTGTCTCATGTCTACTACTGATTAATATGCTTTGTTAAATCAGTATTCAGAACTGTTTCTTCATTTGTAAACTGAGAGAAAATACTTAAACCTGCACCCCTCACAAAATTGAGGATCAGATAAGACTATGTGACATTTCCTTGGAGAAGTGCTTTGCACATATGAGGGGTTAGTGTTTTGTTTGCTTTCCAGTCATTTGCTTTATGACTGTCATAGGCCGGGCATGATGGTTCATGCCTGTAATCCTAACATTTTGGGAGGCCGAGGCGGGCAGATCACTTGAGCCCAGGAGTTTGAGACCAGCGTGGGCAACATGCTGAAACCCTGTCTCTACAGAAAAATAAAAATAGAAAAAAAATTAGCCCGGTGTAGTGGCACACACCTGTAGTCCCAGCTGCTCTGGAGGCTGAGATGGGAGGATTGCTTGAGCCCAGAAGATGGAGACTGTGGTGAGCTGTGCACCACTGCCCTCCAGCCTGGGCGACAGTAAGACCCTGTCTCCAAAATGGAAAAAAAAAAAAAAAAACTGTTGTAAACCCTTAATTAATTCATATAGACTGTGGTTTTTGTTTTTAACCTTTTAACTTAGAAGATCTTATTAACAGGTTATAATTTTGGTTTCAGTGGTGGAGCATTTTTTTGTCATTAATGTATTCTATTTCAAGACAATATTTTGTGATTCACACACTTTAAATTCTTATATCCACTAAGATTAATGTAGATGAAGGAGAACTTAGACATTTTACAGCATATATAACTTACAGTTTTGAAATGTCAAGAAATATTTTGTGCTATCTGCGCAGCCATGTTATTGTGTTGCCAGGAAAAACTAACTTAAGTGGTAGGAGCTCCACAAGTATTTGTTAAGTGACTGAATTAATAAAAATTGCAAGCTCATCAAATGGTACTCTTTAAATATGTGCAGTTTATTGTATATCAATTATACTTCAACAAAGCTATTCTTTTAAAATAATTAGATTTGAAAAAATGGTGAATTACTCTTTAATTCTAGTTCTTACTGACGTTTTGTAACACTAGAGCTATAATGTAGTGATCTGCCAATGAGGCAAAGCAGTTAGAGGTATGCAGTAGGGGCTCAAGACACAGCTAGTGAATAAACACCAATTTTGGTGGGGGTTTTCTTTTAAGGAGTTTCTTAGTTTTGCCTTTCCGCTGCTTCCTCATTGTAAAATTAAGATCATGCTGTCTCTATGATGGGTTATGAGTAATTGAGTTGAGTTGAGTAATTCCTGAAGATGAGGTTATGAGAAAGTGATTGTTAGCATTCTAAGCATTGCTTTCAAACCAGCTTACGCCCTTAACTAATATGCTTTTCCAAGGAATTGTTCATCTAAATGCCACGATAATAAAACTTAAATAGTAAAGTTGTACTATTTACAATAGCAAAGATATGTAATCAACCTAAATGCTCATCAATGATAGACTGGATAAAGAAAATGTGGTACAAACACACCAATACTATGCAGCCATAAAAAAGAACAATATCATGTCCTTTGCAGGGAGGGGCATGGATGGAGCTAGAGGCCATTATCTTTAGCAAACTAACACAGGAATAAAAAACCAAATACCACATGTTCTCGCTTATAAATGAGAGCTAAATTGTGAGAACATATGGACACATAGAGGGGAACAACACACACTGGAGCCTATTAGAGGGTGAAGGATGAGAAGGAGAGGATCAGAAAAAAATAACTAATGGGTACCAGGCTTAATACCTGAGAGATGAAATAATTTATACAACAAACCCCCATGACATAAGTTTACCTATGTAACAAAACTATACATGTACCCCTGAACTTAAAAGTTAAAAAAAAAATAGTAAAGTTGTTAAACATTTTTAAAAAATTATTTTTGAGGGGTGAAATACAGCACACATAAAAACGTACACTTCTGAACACAAATATTTTGGGGTTCTTGATAATGTATCTGCAAGTAAAATCCACTCACTCCAGAAGTTGTGTTCATTCATTAACAGGGGTTTTTAGATGCCTGCGAGAAGGGCCCTCTTTCTGGTCACAAGCTCTCTGGGCTCCGGTTTGTCCTGCAAGATGGAGCACACCACATGGTTGATTCTAATGAAATCTCTTTCATCCGAGCAGGAGAAGGTGCTCTTAAACAAGGTATGCTGGGTCCGGGCACCTTAGCCTGTCTGTTTTCCTGATAGATCATCATAGCCTCAGAAGGCAACACTGTTTTCAGTCTTCTTCACCCAGAGCACTAGGCTCCACAGGGAATATTGTAGGTAGTGGGCAAATCTTTATGGACTTGAGATCAAGGTAGATTATTATGTTCTCTTTCTTGCAAAGCTAAAAGACTACTGTATTCTCCTACATTCTCTGGGGCTTTCTTTCATGTATTTGAATTCATAGATAATTTATAAGTTCTGTTTTTAATAGGGAAGACTGAAATGTTCAGAATTCTAGGAAATTTTTAAAAGGTATCTTAACTACAGTCTTATTTCTAGTGACTTATTGAAATGTCAAGAAATCCATAAATTTGTAAGTAATCTCTTCATTATGACATTGTATGCTTTTAGGCATTTTGAGGATGGCAAAGTATTTTCAAAGAATTTGGTAAACCTTATTCACAATGCAGATTTCTTGCAAAACTGCTAAAATTGTCAACATTTCTCACAGAGTAATATTTGTATTTAAATGCTGATGAACTAGAACCTTATGCAGTTGCAAACATATCTGATTCTTCGCTTTTAAGAGAAAAAAAACTAGTGACAATGTAGCAGTTTCACATCAGGATTATTCAAGAAAGGAACTTCAAAGCCATTTCCTGAAGCCAGAAAATTCCATTCTCTTTGTCATCTTTTCCATGTCCTTTATGTGAAAATACATTAGTAATGTCCACCGGTGTCTTTACACAGTAGAATTATGATTCACAAAACATTTCAGAAATATCTTTATCAAAGAGGATTAAAGTGGACAGTAGAAACTTTAATCATAATATTTCCTAAACATTCTGTAGATCAGGATTTATTGATTCTGTATGAATTTGAACTTTGTGGTGTTTTTGGTCACACTTCGCATCTGTGATCAGGTATGGGGCAGTGGTTGGGGAGGGTTGCTGATTCCTTATTTTACTTATGTTTCAGTTTCTCAGTTATGATAGGGAGATTTCCTTTATATCAGCTCTCTATTAAAAATGCAGTTGAAATTTATGATGTAGAAATCTTGTCACAGTCTGAAGATTGTGTAAATAGGAAACAGGTAAGTAAAATGACAAAGAAAATGAGACTTTATTAGGCATCACTCACATTAAAATACTTGTCTTTTTACCTCTGTGTGTTTACCACTTTAGTATGTCTTAAACTGACAAATTAGTTATAATCACTTTATATACTTTTTAGAAGTACAGTTAAAACAAATTAGAAAGTACTGATTGTTCTATGCTGGTTCTTTACTGGAAATTGGTAGCTTTCCTGGAAATAGAGGTTACATAAAGCCAGATAATTGATATGGTTATCAATTAACAAGGAGCTTCATCCTTTTTAACTGCTCCTACATTTAAATATGAGTAAATACAGATCTATGTGGCCATATATATACATAGATAAATAATGTGGCCATATACATTTTCCCACAGGATATATATAATATGTTATATATTATATGTGTATATATATTTATAGATGTATTTGTATAAAATACATATATAAAGTATATATGCATATATATGTGTATTATATAATATATGATATATAAAGTATAAAATATATATAAACCATATAAAGTATATATATAAATATATAATATGTATAATATACTGTGGGAAAAAGATACATATATAAAATATATAAATATGTTCTGTGGAAAAAATGTATATGGCCATTTTATATATAAAAAAATAAAATGTGTATATATATAATATATCTTTTAGGACTTGGATGCAATGCACCATCCAAAAATGGCAGGGTGAGTCAGGTTTGGAGCTTTGTCTCTTGTTCTAGGGTTAGAGGAAAGCATGTGTAATGGTAAGATTCATTTGGAGCTAATATATTAATATGTATTTCCTGTGGAAAAAATGTATATGAATATTAACTAAACAGTTGAATATGTACCATTTAGTTTTTTATTATTTAGGTATAGTATATATATTATTAAGTATAATTAATTGCCTATTAAATATACAGGGGAAAAACACTAGATTATAATTGAATTGAGGTTTTTTTTTTTTTTTTTTTTTTTGAGACAGAGTCTGACTCTGTTACCCAGGCTGGAGCTGGAGTGCGGTGGTGCAATCTTGGCTCAATGCAACCTCCACCTCATGGTTTCAAGCAATTCTTATGCCTCAGCCTCCCAAGTAGCTGAGATTATAGGCATGCACCACCATGCCCAGCTAATTTTTGTATTTTTAGTAGAGACAAGGGTTCACCATGTTGACCAGGGTGGTCTTGAACTCCCGACATCAAGTAATCCACCCACCTTGGCCTTCCAAAGTGCTGGGATTACTTTTCTATTTTTGAGACAGGTTCTTGCTCTGTCACCCAGGCTGGAGTGCAGTGTTATGATCTTGACTTACTGCAACCTCGAATTCCTGGGCTCAAAGTGATTCTCCATCTCAGCCTCCTGAGTAGCTGGGAGTACAGGGGCATGCCACCATGCCTGGCTAATTTTTTATTATTATTATTTTTTGTAGAGGTGGGGTATTGCTTTGTTGCCCAGGCTGGTCTCAAACTCCTGGGCTCAAGCGATCCTCCTGCCTCAGCTTCCCAAAGTGTTGGGATTATAGGTGTGAGCCACCATGGCTGGTTGAGTAGTTTTATTTTTTACAAAATATACTATGCACACAAGCAGGATGCTAGCATGAGAAATAAGTTACATTGCTGTTTCTTCATCTGATTTTTATTTCTCCATGATTGAAAGAAGTCCTCAAAACATCACACTGTATCCCCCAAATATATACAATTATTATTAGTATTATTATTTGAGATGGAGTCTCACTCTGTTGCCCAGGCTGGAGTGCAGTTGCACGATCTCAGCTCACTGCAACCTCCGCCTCCTGGGTTCAAGCAATTCTCCTGCCTCAGCCTCCCAAGTAGCTGAGATTACAGGTGCGTGCCACCACACCCAGCTAATTTTTGTATTTTTAGTAGAGACAGGGTCTTACCATGTTGGCCAAGCTGGTCTTGAACTCCTGACCTCTAATGATCCACCTGCCTCCGCCTCCCAAAGTGCTGAGATTACAGGCGTGAGCCACCACTGCGCCTGGCCTATATAATTATTATTTGTCAATTAAAAATTAAAACTTTTAGAAAACATTAGATTTGAAGTAAAAATAAAAATTAGCTTTTTCTATCCTGATTAAAAAAAGACAAAAATATAAAAGTCAGGTGAAAGGAAGTTCTTGCCACACTCAGCAAGAAAATCAACTTTTTTTTTACATACACCTCTGTTGAATGCCACATTAGAGTTTTACAGTGAAAATGTTGGTAAATGAGCTTAGTATAAGAATAGCTTATAACTGTAAGATATTATAGTTATTATAATAGTATACTATTATTATATGTTATATCTTGTCAAAATTGGAAGAACAATAGTTCAAATTCTCCCATATTCTTGATTTAAAAAATGAACACTAGAATTCATTTGAGCCTAATTTTAAATGTTTTCATGATACTGATCAGTGAGGTAACCTAAAACTGAAATGTAAAATTGACTACAGATCTGCTGGAGGAAAAATTTCTTTTAGGACTTGGATGCAATGTGGCTATTGAAAAATGGCAGGCGAGTTGGCTTTGGAATCTTATCTTATGGTATAGGATTAGAGGAAGGCATGTGTAAGGGTAAGATTCATTTGGAACTAAATCAGGGAGTAGATTTAGTGAGTTACAAGGAAGAGAGCAGGGTAAGGGGATGTGAAACAGAACCAGAAAGGCTGTCCTCAGTAATTGAGTGATGGACACCATATACTTGCCTCTTTCCTTCCCTTTACCCTTTCACAATCTAGATGTTTTACATTACTATCCTATTGAGAACATTAGATAATGTGTAACTAAATCTAGCTATATCTGCTCACATATCTCCTTCTGGGTGCTTTTTTTCATATTAATTACATTTCTTTAGAGCCAAGGAAGCTCTCCTGTTGTAAAGAAGTTATGCAAGGAATAGAACTTTTTCTATACTCTAAAATTGTTAGTGTGATTTAGATGTCCATGTAGGTTTCTGCAGGGCTTAGCCAGTGAAGCATAGGAGTCTGCAGTATCTCTTTGAGTTCAGTTATTTCTCTTTCAGAACAAAATTCACTCATTAGAACTAATTAGTCGAGGAGGGTAGGTGTGAGCTAGGATATGATTTAAATTTAAAATATTTCTAATTACATTCCTGTTGTCATAATTATTGCACTTAAGCTATACTGTCTCTAGAAGAAGCACTGAGTAAATATATAAGAAAAATTGTTAGTTTTGGTTTATTATAAACAAATTGATGCTTCTGGAAAACCTGTGATTATATTTAAACAAAATATTACCCTTGTCATCATTTCTGTGTTTTGCTGAAAGCCTTTATTTGGAGATAATGTAACAAACCTGAGGCGGAAGTATTTGTCACTATCACAACTTCCAAATTAAATGTAAATGTTTGACGTTTTATTATATTCTCTCCATATTGTTACATTTAAACATTAGCACTTTAGCAGAAAGAAGTGTTTTGGTTATGTATTAAATGGGATAAAAATAAATACAGACACACTGAGTTTTAGTGTTTAAATGGCCCAATCTAGTCCGGAATCCTTATTTTGTAGATGAAAAAATTTGAGACCTGGACAAATTGTGTTTTTCCAGAAGGCATATAGCTTCTTTGAGGTAGAGCAAAAACTAGAAACTTGATCTTCTCATTCTCAATCAGGTGATGAAATTGTTCAGACTAGAAAAGGAAAGACAGATCGTAGGCGTGGCTTGATTCTTGCTTCTGAGTATAGGAAGGGTACCCTCCACGTCCCCTCCTGCCCTGTGACAAAAATTATTTTCTTATAATTAAAAATAACTGCCTGCCAGGGACCACAAGAAAGAATGGGTTTATCCAGCCTGGCCAACATGTCGAAAGCCTGTGTCTACTAAAAATACAAAAATTAGTGGTAGCAGATACCTGTAATCCCAGCTACTCGGAGGCTGAGGCAGGAGAATTGCTTGAACCTGGGAGACAGAGTTGCATTGAGCCGAGATTGCCCCATTGTAATCTAGCTTGGGTGACAAAAAAAAAAAAAAAAGAAAGAATGGGTTTACCTTGGTCAAATTTGTAACAGTTATTATCTTTAACCCTGACGATTTTCAGAGAGAATAAATAACTCAGCTGGATAATTTAGATGGTAAAGGACTTCATCAGATGTTGTTTTAAGACCCTTTTGTATTATTCTCTGCTATTTAATGAGTTTTAAGGATAAAAATATGATAATGGAAATACCAATATTAAAATTAAATGTTGGAATTTCCATTTAGAAGAGTGACTGTTATTACTACAGGAAAAATGAGTCTAGGTCGAATATTTTAACCTTGCCGTTTGTGTTTGTACCTTTGGGAAAGCATCATTTTTCTCCCTTTTTTATATCTGGACAGAAGAGTTGTAGTTTGTATGAAGACTAATGAACTTTTTTTTTTTTTTAACCCAGCCTTGGCAAATGCAACATTATGTATTCTTGAACCTATTATGGCTGTGGAAGTTGTAGCTCCAAATGAATTTCAGGGACAAGTAATTGCAGGAATTAACCGACGCCATGGGGTAATCACTGGGCAAGATGGAGTTGAGGACTATTTTACACTGTATGCAGATGTAAGTAGTCTTGGTCATTGGCAGTCCTGCTTTTATTAACCATAGAAGGAAATCCAGGTTAGCTTTTGTTTTTGCAAATGGACACATTTCCTTGCTGAATTTGTGGCTTTATACATGTGGCATTTTCTGTAATTTGCTATTAAAGCAACTCTTAAGTGCAGAAGTTAAAAATAAGATTTATTTTATCTTGACCTTTTGTGAATGTGTCATTTTCTTAGATGTATATTATCTCTCTTTCTTGAATAAGCACAGATGGACAAATTAAAAAGAAAAGGAAAAATAAAATAAGATGTATATTATCTCTCTCATTTTAGCTTTATTTGCATAATTACTTTATTGTTATCTTTAATTTATCCCTCTTAATTACCTTGCCTGTACCTTTCTTGACTTAAATCTCAAGGGAGAAGGTGTTTATTACATTTCATAAGGCCTCCTGGAAAACACTACTCTCAGCATATCATTAAGGTGTCCAAAGGAAAGTCGTATTCACATTTTCTCAGAAGAAGCACTTCTGAGTGCTTGAGCTGGGGCTACAGAGCGGAGTGGGGATGAGGAGGGAAGGCTGTCAATGGTGTTCACTCCACGAAGTGGAAAGATTTGGTTTCTGGTTGCGACTGTCAAATGAAATAATTTTCAAATAGGATTTCCACTTGGAATAAAACAGAAATGTTTCTCTTTGGCTTTTAATTATTTTAAACTAAGAGTAGTGAGCAGAAATCTTAATCTAAAGGAATTAAATGGCTAAAATGCGTCTGTATTTTTCTCAAATATTTTCCAATAAGCAGTGCTAAAATATCTACTATGTTTGTTTTCAGGTCCCTCTAAATGATATGTTTGGTTATTCCACTGAACTTAGGTCATGCACAGAGGTAGGCAAATTTAAACTTACCCTTCAAAAGACCACCCTACAGAATGATCATATTATAAAATCTTGACCTTGTATGACTTTTACTTGATAGTTTAAAAAACAAACAAACAAACAAAAAACCCTCTCTTTTTTTTAAATCCCTAGGGAAAGGGAGAATACACAATGGAGTATAGCAGGTATCAGCCATGTTTACCATCCACACAAGAAGACGTCATTAATAAGTATTTGGAAGCTACAGGTCAACTTCCTGTTAAAAAAGGAAAAGCCAAGAACTAACTTTGCTTACTGTGAGTTGACTGACTCTAATTGAATCTGCGTGGTTTTGATACTTTGATGGATTCCAGTGGAATAAATTCAGGCTGCTGAAACAAGAAATTCTGAGCCCAGGAAGCGGGCTCTTCTTTCTTCAAAAGAAGCCCTTCTTGTTCATATTCAGGAGCTTCTGTTATATTCAAAGGTAATTCTATGTCTATCTCAACTCTATTGATTGGTTTTATAGTTCATTGAAAATCCTCAAATAAAATATAATTATTACTGAAATATGTTTAATATTTAAGGGGAAAAGAGACTAATTTCAGTTATACTTTTAAGCTTAGAATGTATGTTCATTTCCAAATTTTGTATCATAAGAGTTTTCAACATAGAGAAAAGCTGAAAAAATGCAAAGAATAACCACATACTTTCCATCTACCTTCCTTTGTTAACGGGTTGTTTATCATATAATAATTTGTTTTGTCATATTTGCTTTCACTGTCTATTATCTGTTTAAGTCTCATAACTCTATTTTTAGTTTGCTGAAGACTTGAAAGTGAATCGCATATATCATGACACTTCTTGGAGTGTCATTAATGGGCAGGCTTTTCTGTTGAAGAGTGGATTCCGTATGTTCTTCATAGAGAGTGTTTTTCAGATTCTTCATTGGGATATTAAAATATTAGCCAAATTTCTCTCTGTTTTATATATGTCTGTTTATTTCAGTTTGTGGTTTCTGCAAATTTGTAACTGCCTCTGTTTTAGGAGTATAAGTATTACTTCCTTGTGGTCTATTGTGAAGTAAAAAGTAGACCCTTGCATATACTATTCTTGTTTGTGTTCATCTTAATGTTTTTGTACAGCTAAATCAAATGTAATTTATAGAGTTAGTTTCATCAACCTAATGAATGCTAGTTAAATTTGAATTCCTTGGAATTTATCGTATATTGTATTCACTGAGATTATGAAGGGACAAATGTTAATCTTTTGTTTCCAGAAAAAGTTGGGCTTTCCCAAGCAGTTCTATTACCCGGTTCAGAATTGCTTCATCCAAAAATCATCTGATGGTATAGATGGATCCTAGTCCTTTTCATTACCTGATGGTAGAAATAAAATAATTGATTTTAAATTCCTTTGCTTTTCTTGACTTATAGACGTGGCTTTATACTTTAAGGTTTCTAGGGGAAAAAGATCTTTAAAAAGTATTGAGCACATGTTTTCAAGGCATTTGCTAAATACTTTTTTTTTTTTAATTTTTATTTTTTTGTGGTAGGGTCTCACTCTATCCCCCAGGCTGGAATGCAGAGGGACTATCTCTGCTCACTACAACCTCTGCTTCCTGGGTTCAAGCAATTATCCCATCTCAGCTGCCTAAGTAGGTGGGACTACAGGTGTGCGCCACCACTCCCTGCTAATTTTTTGCATTTTTTGAAGAGATAGGGTTTTGCCATATTGCCCAGGCTGGTCTCAAACTCCTGGGCTCAAGCTCTCTGCCTGCCCCAGCCTCCCAAAGTGCTGGGATTATGGGCATGAACCACCATGCCTGGCTGCTAAATACTTTAAATGCATTGTATAATTTCATTCTCACAACCCCGAGAGTAAGTACTATTATTATGTCCATTTTGTAATAGAAGAAGCACAGATAAGGTAAATAACTTTAATGAGACCACAAAACCTAAGTTTTTTAATTGATACTTTAATTACAATTATTCACCAAGTGCATTTCCCCCATGAATGTCTGTTGCTACAGTAGCATCAGGTCTGAAAAAATGTGGTTGCTTTGGCATTTCCTCAGCATCTTGTGACATTCACAATAACTTTGAATATTGTTCCTAATGAGGAAATACATTCTGTGTACCTTCATGGAATTTAGCATGATTCCTATGGCTATTGAGAATAGTCACAACTACTGGAACTAAACTGGATAAATAAGTAAAAAACTTACTTATTTTTAATTTGTAAAACATCCTGGTTATAATGTTACAGTGTTAGAAAAGGTCCTAGATATTTAATCCAACACCAGCATTTCATAGGTAATGATTCAGGCCTAGCTGGTGGGAGTAATTAGAATAGGTTCACAAATGGACAGATCAGGACTAGAACCCACATCTCTTTCTAAGTCATTAGTTATAGTTGGCAAAGATCACATACCAACCAAAGTCTGTAGCATGGAAAAAAATTAATGAGAATATTCATAGGTGAGGGTTGTTTATACTACTATCAAGAAGGATAATTGTTGGCTAATTCAAATATTACATCCTTGTATTGGACAACAGTAGCAGCACTAGGTAGTATTGTACTGATTCCCAACCCTCACTGTACTTTAAAAATCACTGGGGGAGCCTTAAAAAGAAATACCTAGGCCTACACCCAGATATTTAGATTATTTGGCTGGATCAAGATAAAAACTTTTTTGGGTGATTCTAATATGCAGACAAAGTTAAAGACCGCTGAAATATTGCCTGCACTGCGCTTAAGCCCAAGACATGAAATGAAAAATCTGTGAAATTCAGGAGTGTCATATTGTATTCTTTTGTGTGATATTAGAGTTTGGTTTTTTTGTTTAACAACTGTTTTTTTTTTTAAGAGATGGGGTCTTCTAAGACAAAAACCATCTGACTCAGCAATACCATTACTATATACCCAAAGGAACGTAAATCATTCTATTATAAAGACACATGCATGCACACATTCATTGCAGAACTGTTCATAATGGCAAAGATATGGAATCAACCTAAATGCCTATCACTGATAGACTGGATAAAGAAAATGTGGTACATACACATTGTGGAATACTATGCAGCCATAAAAAAAGAATGAGATCAAGTCCTTTGCAGGGACATAGATGGAGCTGGAAGCCATTATCCTCATCAAACTAACATAGGAAAAGAAAACCAAATACTGCATGTTCTCACTTATAAGTGGGAGCTAAATAATGAGAACACATGGACACACAGAGGGGAACAACACACACTGGGGCCTATTGGAGGATGGAGGGTGGGTGGAGGGAGAGGATCAGGAAAAATAACTAATGGGTACTAGGCTTAATACCTTGATGATGAAATAATCTGTACAACAAACCCCCAGGACACAAGTTTAGCTATGTAACAAGCCTGCACATCAACCCCTGAACTTAAAGAGATGGGGTCTCGCTGTGTTTCCCAGGCTGCTCACAAATTCATGAGCTCAAGCAGTCCTCTGGCCTCAGCCTCTGGAGTAGCTGGGACAAGAGGCACACACCACCATGCCTGGCTTGATAACTTTACCTTAAAAAAAAAAGTGTTCCTATTTATATAAGCTTCCAACTGACTTTCAAAAGAACTTGTTCAACTTCTAAAAATTCGTAATTCAGGTAGGAAGAAAATGAAAGTATGAATAAAATAAAATGGAATGTAGACAAAATCCCTGGTATTATTTTATATGTCTTAAGAAAGTTCTAAAGGTATTAGGAAAATGAATGTCAAGCTGTATGTAATTGTAATTAGCTAAGAGTGATTCAGAATAATTTAGACTGTTAATGAAAAGAGGACATAGGGAATAGTTTTTCATTTTATGCCAAGTGATTTTTCTGTTTTATTAGCTAGTGAAACCAATGTTGGTAAAATTAAGTTAACAATTTTAGAGTTTGTGCTAGAAAAGATATTCTGAGGCCGGATGTGGTGGCTCACGCCTGTAATTCCAGCACTTTGGGAGGCCAAGGTGGGTGGATAACCTGAGGTCAGGAGTTCGAGACCACCCTGGCCAACACGGTGAAACCCCGTCTCTACTATAAATACAAAAATCGTCCGGGCGGGGTGGCTCACGCCTGTAGCCCCAGCTGCTCAGGAGGCTGAGGCAGGAGGGTCGCTTGAACCCGGAAGGCGGAGGCTATAGTGAGCTGAGATGGCACCACTGCACTCCAGCACTCCAGCACTCCAGCCTAGGCAACAGAGTGAGACTCTGTCTCAAAAAAAAAAGAAAAAAAAGAAAAGATGTTCTGATGGTGATACTGATAAATTTTTAGTTGGTTTAACTTTTTGGGTTTTGTAAATTAATAAATTAGGTAATTGTGTTTGTATATTATTTGTATGTATAGAATTCCCCCTCATAATCTATTGTACTGTAATAAATCTGCTAAAAGGTTACCTTAGAAACATTACCTGGTTGGATTATGGATGTGTTTGTGAGCCTAATCTCAGTAATGAAAAATGCCTTTAGTGGCTCATGCCTGTAATTCCAACACTTTGGGAGGCCGAGGTGGGAGGATCCCTTTAGCCTAGGAGTTTGAGACCAGCCTGGGCAACATAATCAGCTGGTGTGGGACATCCTGGGATAGATAACCATTTCCTTCCAAAGTCAAGATAGCTGCCCAGTGAAGATCAAACAAACAAACAAAAAAAGGAAAAAAGAAAAATGCATTTATGGGGATGAGGACTTTGAGAAAGCTCCGACTCTAGAAAGCTGAAACACCAAGTAAATGCCCTTTTCTAGTCCTTAATGTGACGCTAAAAGATTGATTAAATATCATAGGACATTGAATATACTGTTGTAATGCTCTTAGGACTTTTTTTGAAGATCATTTGGGGAACTTCAGTTACAGAAATTTATCACTTGATTTTGGCATAATTTAATCATTGTGGATTATTTCTGATAATTTACAAGGAGTATCTCTTCATTATCACATAGGTGGGAGAGCTGATGTGTCTTTTAAATGATTGTTTGCAATGCTTCCAAATACCTACAACTCTTTATTTTTATATATATATATATGTATTTTTTTAAATTAAGACTGGATTTCACTATGCTGCCCAGGCCGATCTTGAACTCCTGGGCTTAAGTGATCCTCCTGCCTTTGGCCTCCCAAAATGCAGGAATGAGCCACCACACCCAGCCACAAATCTTTAAATCATTAAACTTTTTTAAAGAGATGGAGTCTCACTATGTTGTCCAGGCTAGTCATGAACTCCTGGGCTCAAGTGATCCTCCTACCTCAGCCTCCCAAAGTGCTGAGATTACAGGCGTGAGCCATCACGCCCAGCCGTTTTTTTTTTTTTAATTAAAAAAATTTTTTTTAATTGTAAATCAGCTGGATTTTGGGAAGATAAATGCAAAGCATAGGGTTTTAAGTAGAAAAATATATAAACTAGATCAGCTTATTTTATTTTATATGAGTTCATGCCTTCTTTAGTGTAAACTTTTCTGATTGTCTAACAGTGCACACTTAGAAGTAATGTTTTGGTATGTTTTAAGGCTGATATTTCCTAATCAGTTACTGGCTACAGAACCTGGCTCAAGGTTTTTACACACCGACATAAACATTCCATTAAGTGATACTAATTTTGAGAGGCAAATGATGACAACATTTCCTGGATCAATGCCTCCTGCCTTAAGGAGGTACTCCACTGAATTTGATTATTGTACATACTGTGTTTGCCTTTATAAATTACTTAGGCCAACACTCAGTCCAAGTTGTCCTTGTAAATGAAAATTGTAAATATTTAATATACTTTCAGTTACATCAGTGTTTCTTTTGATGCATGTTTGCAGACAGCTTTATCTGGTGAGACAGACGTTCTATTATTTGTAAAATTTAAGTTAAGCAATATTACCATTTCATTTAATTCCAGTTTAGCACAAATTTTTCCTTTGTATACAAATCTTCACGAGAACATTCAACACATTTCATTATTTAGAAATGTAAACATTTATTTAAAAGTAGGTAGCAAGTTAAAAATGAATACTTGCCTGAAATCATAAAACATAATCAAGTTCTTTTTAAAACAGTTAATTTTTTTCCTATAATTTACTTTCATCGAAAGTATATTATCTTTGTTTAACATGCTAGATAGAAGCAATTTAGCAACATAAAATATATTAGCTATAGTATGTTCAAAAGAATGAGAAATATAAATTCAGAGATGAGACCATCATTTTTTGCAGTTAAAAAAAAAATGCTGATTCTGGTGCAACATACACTGATTATCCAGGTTTTACATTTTAGGGCTGAAACCCTGAGGAACCTGCTGGTGACTGTTTAGCACTGAGCAGAGTTCAGTGTGCATGCGCTTCCAGAGTTAAAAGCTAAAGCAGACTGAGAAACAAAAAACCAACATCTTTGCATTTCTGAGTTTTTACTTGTAATCATAGGTTTTCCCAAATTATTAGAATGTCTATACCTTAGCTGTTTTACTAGAAGAATGATTTATGCTAGTATAGTCACTTGTTTAGAAGTCGGAAAAAGATCATTTTTTCTTTTTAGAAATTACTAAGCTCTGTTGGTACTACAGCTGATCCTTCTTCAGTTCCGGAGGCTTCTTCTGGTGTCTGTAGCTCTTGACAGTGGTACTTCACTTTAAGAGGTTTGCCAGGGTACCAGACCAAGTGAATGCGACAGGGAATTATTTCCTAGGAAATAGAGTTATAAAATATTATAATCTGCAAAAACTTATGGTAAAAACAATTCTACATACAATGTTATGTTTTACCTGTGTTGATAATTCATGAAGTAGAACAGTATAATCAAAATCAATTGTATCATCATTAGTTTTCTAGAGGGAGAAAAAAGAGTTAGTGTAATAAATATGGTGGTATTTAGTGTAATAACTATACAATACATTCTTGTTTTGAATGGGTGCCTTGTGTCTCCTACTGCCTTTTCGATTTCAGCCTCACGGTTTTTGGTGGTATTTTGCTTCAAGATATGGAAGTCATGGATCCTCATTTTTGTCTTGTCACTGAGTTATATGAAAGTCTGGTTGAATGTCTGTCACTTTTTCTGATGGAGACCAAAGTCTGTGGGAATAGGGAGATTCTTTTAACAACCTTAAGGATCTAGATACTGTATATATACCTCAAGCTGATATATTAGCCCTGATATGACAGGCAATAAGACAAGGGGAGGGGCAATCAGTAATTCTAGAAGGTCCACCATGGGCTGGGTTCTGTGCTAGGCACCTTCTACATGTTCTCATCTAATTCTCCTTTACAATCTGTGTATTATGAGCCTGGTTTTACAGGAGAGGTAATTTGAGATTACAGCTAGGAAGGGACAAATGGGAATTCCAACCCAGATCTACTGACTCCAACACCCACATTCTTCATATATACCACATGAAGCTATACACGCTGTTTCTAAAACCAGTGCATTGGATATTTTTCAGTAGGCAGGCAGTTGTCTTCATCTCTTTTATTCACATCGTTTCTGTACATTTTACTAGTGACTAAACCAACTCCATATTTTCTTTCTGACATTTCCTTTTTTTTTTTGCAAGAGTGCTTATCTGTTCACTAGTAAAAATGGAAGAAAGAACATTTTTTAAAAATACCTTAATTTGGATTATAATTTGAGTCTTTTCCTACTATAACTGAGTACTCCATTTTTCTAAGAGAAAGAGAATGAGTTACTTAAAAAACAATTTTTTTCTTTTCTCTTTCAGCCTTTTTCCCTGTTCTCTACTTCCTGCTTAGCTCTTTAGAAATGGAATCATAACTTTTACCTTCCCTTTTACCAGACACTCCCTGCATGGCAAGCTTATGTATGTGCTCACTTCAATGCTTGAGAGCTGGGACTCTCTCCCACCAGGAGAAGGCCTTAAGAGACAACAGTCAATTTACAACCTCAGTTAGGCCCATGAGGGAACTCTGTCCAAGTGTCTTGAAACAATGGCCATTTTACAATCTAGCTCTGCCCACAATGGCGTCAGCTTGACCATCGGGTAGATAAGGCACCCAAGAAGTCACATAGACCGTGCACCTGCTTGCACCCTCTTCTGCATGCCATTTATGCCAAGTCCCCCTGTAAAAGCCCTTGTTTTTTGTCCCAGAAGGGAAACAGTACCTTAAAGGCAGGAGCCTATACTTCTTCCCCTAAGCTAGCTTTGGAATAAAGTCACTTTCTTCGTACCAGACCTCACTCTTGTGAATTGGATTCTGCAAGCAGCAAGTGATTAAACTTGTATTTTCGTTACATTACCAGGTTTCTATTAAGAATACTAAAGAATACAAAAAAGCAACCCCCCCCCCACCAAAAAAGTTTAGACTCCCCTTTGCCTACATTGATGGAGATTTTTACCAGCCGTGAAATGGCCAGTAGGTGAAGTCTGGAGGGAAGATACAGGCTGGAATCCTAGTATTTGTTTTAAGCTCTGCCTCTTCTTTGCCTCGCTGAAGACTGCCATGATTTCCTTCAGAAATGCCTGAAGGAAAGGAGGCATTTCCTTCCCCAGAGGGCCTGGATAAATCAGAAATCAACTGCATTTTCTATGATTCTTCTTGGCAATAGTCAGTAGGTTTCCCTCGTCTCTCACAGTGTACCCACGAATGTTCAAAGCAAACATCTGAGGCACAAGCTGGAAAGTCAGAGAATTCATGAGAGAAAATTCAGTGTCTCTTTCTTAAGGGAACAGTTACTGGAGGTTCCAGTGATCAGTCTGGCATTGTCGCTTTGAGGGTGTGTTTAGCCTTGTTAGACCTTCATTTGGTGGCTGTCTTGACCTTGGAAGGACATGATTATCTATCCCAAGATGTCCCACACCAGCTGGATATTTGTCTCAGACTTTTGTGCTGTCTGCACTATTTTTCAAGTCTTGACTGTTTACCATGTATTTTTATAATTTAAAAATTGGTTTTAGGCTGGACATGGTGGCTCATGCCTGTAATCCCAGCACTTTGGGAGGCCAAAGTGGGAGGATCACTTGAGCCCAGGAGTTCGAGACCAGCATGGGCAATATTATTATTTTTTAATAGAGACCACCTCGTCTTTATTTAAAAAATAATAATAAGTGTGTGTGTGTGTGTGTGTGTATATATATATATATAAATTGGTTTTACTTATACACTTAAAATGTTTTTTTGAGAACAATGCCTTATTCTGCGTTTGAAAATGGCATTTCTGAAGGAAATCATGGCAGTCTCCATTGAGGCAAAAAAGAGGCAGAGCTTAAAACAAATGTTAGGATTCCAGCCCCATTTGACAGACTATTTTGGTAAAAGCACAAAGAGTGTTACCCATTTTTAAATACAAAATGTGAGTCGTGATAATGCTGGTAAAACCCTCTATCATTTGATTGAGAACTTCCTCAATAAAGTTATCGAAACATCCCCTTACATTTTTGTTTTTATAGATTCCTCCTCCTTTAGGAGGAACCACCTTTAAACCAAACCAAAAAGCACAGCTTATTTAAAAAAATGCAGAAGAGGACATTGCACATCCCAGCCTGGCAAAGGATGCCAAGATTGGACTGCCCTCCCCATGTCAAGCTCTGCCAAGAAGTCATTATTTTTAATATTATTCAGAAATTATCTTTTTGGCTTCAATTCAGATCATCACAAGTGCCAAATCTTGTAGCCCAAATGGATGATGATTTGTTGTTACATTTCCTGGTAACTCAGCACTTAATCTTGTTGCAGACAGACTGGAAGTGTTTTGTTTGTTCCCTTTTACTTGGTCATAACCCAACCCACCCCATGCCCCTCCACCCTGCTTCCCCCAAAAGGGAGCAAAGGATCTCTAACAGAACTAGGGTGGTTTTAGTAGAGAAGAATTAGATTTGTTAGTAATAGAAGTTATCAAAAGTAGATTTCAGCATAATAGATAAGGTAGATAGGATGGTTTCTATATGTAGCTTTGGCTAATGGAGACTTCTACTTAATGTGAAGATGAGCTGACTGATAGTGATGTGCTGCAGGTTAGATAGTTTGGGGTGCTTACAAACCTGGTACTGATTGATAAGAGTTAGAACAATACTCAGCTTGACGTTTCTCAATTCATATTAAAGGCTAAAGGTACGGGCTTATCCATTTTTTTCCCTAGCCAGCATATATCCCGTGTTCTTGGCACTGTCCTCATAGTATTGGGAATGACATCTATTCTTCAGTTCTAAGGAAAGAGTTGTGCCAGTAAGATGTGTCTTACTTTATATTTGCATTTCAGTCTTTCTTTTTTTTTTTTGCACACTCTTCCCTCAGGCCTTGTTCATTTGGGGCTGTGAGTTTATAAGCTTGTACTTCTTTACACAATTGCATTAAAAGGTGAAATTAGCCCTGAGTATCAAGATAGTAATTCCCAGAAAGTTTTTGGAAAAATTATAATCTTCATACTTTTTTTGAGCTACCTTGGGCCAAGAGCACCTCCAGTCACTTCCTGCCTCCGTGCCATACTGGCTTTCTCAGCCCTAGTGTCCTGTTGCTAGTCTCTCAGAACAGTATTTAGACCTTCTGCTCATAGTGTCTTTTTAAAAATCATTGCTTGTTGCTTGTGTTGCTTCTTTTGATGAAGGGTCACAGGAGACCTTAGTGGCCACTGAATAGCAGAATTTGAAAATCTTTGTGGATATGTGCATACTTTTCTTTAAAAGAACTCTAAGCTGAAATGCGTGTCAGCCTTGAAACCAAATATCCTAATTGCTCCAGGGATTTAAATTTGTATTAGTTTAACTTCAATCCGTTTGTGAGTCCTCATTTAATAGGCCCTAAGAGATGAAATGATTTGCCTTGGATGACTCAGCTGCATATTCAACTATTATTTATCTAACACCCAGACATCGCAGGGGGAAAAAAAAATCTAAAACTCTTAGTCAATGACCATTCTCCCTCTGCATTTGTTTTTGTTTGTTTTGTTTTGTTTTGTTTTTTTGAGACAGAGTCTTGCTCTGTCGCCCAGGCTGGAGTGCACTAGCACGATCTCACCTCACTGCAACCTCCGCCTCCCGGGTTCAAGCGATTCTCCTACCTCAGCCTCCCGAGTAGCTGGGACTACAGGTGCATGCCACCATGCCTGGCTAATTTTTTTGTATTTTTAGTAGAGACAGGGTTTCACAGTGTTAGCCAGTATGGTCTCCATCTCCTGACCTCATGATCCGCCTGCCTCAGCCTCCCAAAGTGCTGGGATTACAGGCATGAGCCACTGCACCCAGCCTGCATTTCTGCTTTTTAACTTTCTAGTTACTTGTATGTCCTCGCTTTCGTACGTGCAGTTTGGTTGAGAGATGTTAGTGGACAGATGATGGACATGAAAGACGGGTTAGAATGGGAGGGAAATACACCTGCTATTTTTGTACCCTAGTATGTCCTAGTGGTAAAAATGTGTCATATGCAACTGCAAAAGAAAGGGGAACATGTTAAATGTCCTAGTTTTTTCTGTTATCTCAATGTGTTGCTCTATTCCTATTAAGTTTTCCTCTCACATTTACTACAATTAGTTCTATATTATCTTGACACCATTTTCTACGCTTAAAACAACCTCTTCCCCCTAACTTTAAAATCAGGTACAGTAAAAGCCTCTTGTTGAGGATGTGGTTATCTTGGTAGATGAGAGTGTGTCAGAAACAGGTAGAAACTTACCTAGCAAAAGAACTAGTACTGTATCTTGACTTGTTATATGGCAACAATCAATTAGATGATAATTTCTATTTAAAAGCATTCTATATGGGGAAAGACATGTTCATTTTGATAAGTAAAGACAAAATCTAGGTTTTTAGTTGATGTGTGTTGTACATGTGGTCTTTGGAAAGCAAACCAAACTATGTATTATTGACATTAAAAATGATGACTTAATGCTGGGTAAATCCTGTACTCAGAAGATACTCACTGATGATCCATCCCTGGGTAAACCTATGAACAAAACGAATTTTTTAAATTGGTGCTTATGATTAGTTCAGCTTGCCTCTCTAATAATCCCAACACCTTTGCTCTCATCCTGCTCTCAGCTTATTACTTTGCCTCGTTTTTCACTGAGAAGACAGAAGCAGTTAGAATAGAGCTTCCACAAGCTCCTACTTTGATATCTGCCCTCCTAGCACTGGGGCCACTGTTTCCTGCTTTCCCTCTATGTGAACTCTCCGTGTTTCTAATATCATCTGGATTAATCACATCCTCTCTGGCCTACTCAAAGATAGTAACTCTAACAACTTTTCCCTCTCTTTCATGCAATTCCTACTTTGCCTCTCTCTGCTGGACTTTTTCTCATCGACATATAAACATGCTGTTATGTCTCCCAACCAAAAAAAATGCAAAAACCCTTTCAGCCCTATGCTCACCCATCATCCAGCTGTAGTCCTCTTCCTTCCTTTTACTCTCCTTTATTATAGCTAAATTTCTTGAAAGGATGGAATGTCCACTTCCTCTCCTCCCATCCTTTCCTGAACCTACCCCAATCTGCCTTTTGTCCCCACTGTGCCAGTGAGAGGGCTCTTGATAAGCTCTCCCTTCATTGACTTCCAGTTGCTCAATGAAATGGGCAGTTCTCAGTCCTCATCTTACTTGACTTTCCAGCAGCATTTAGTACTACCAGCCAGTCCTCATCCTTGAAATACTTTCTTTTCCCATATCTCTAACTGCTTAAGTCAGAAGTGTTCCATGATCCAGTCCTTACATAACTTACCTTCTTTGTCTACACTCATTATCTGTGATCTCATCCAGTCTTGTGGCTTTAAATACTATATGGTGACAACTACAGCCGAGACCTCTCCCCTGAACTTCAGACTCTTCTGTCCAGAAGATTATACAAATTCTCTGTTTGGTTATAGAATTTAGAATGCCCCAAATCAAGATAATTCTCCCTCAATTCTGTTCCTCCTATAAGCTTCCCCAATCGGTAAATGAAAACTGTGTCCTTCTAGTTAATCATACCAAAATCCTAAAAATCATCCTTAACTCCTCTCATCTCTGATATCCATATCCAACCCATGAGCAAATACTGTCAATCTGCCAGAATCCAAACATCTCTCCAGCCCCATTGCCACCACCCTGGTCCAAGCCACCACCAGGCCTTGCCTAGAATATTGCAATACTTTTTTTTTTTTTTTTTTTTTTTTTTTTTTTTTTGAGACAGAGATGGCATCTCACTCTGTTGCCCAGGATGGAGTACAGTAGCTCAATCATAGCTTATTACAACCTCCAACTCCTGGATCAAGCAATCCTCCCAACTCTGCGTCCCGAGTACCTGGGACTATAGGCATGTGCCACTACATCTGGCTAATTTTTAATTTTTTTGTAGAGATAGGGCCTTGCTATGCTACCCAGGCTGGTCTCAAACTCCTGACCTCAAGTGATCCTTCCACCTTGGCTACTTAATTTTTTTCATAGCATTTACCATCATATGATACATATTTATTTATTAGCTCACTGTCTCTTTTTATCTTCTCTCACTAGAATTAATCTCAATGAGGGCAGCAACATTGTGTCTTTGTTCACGACTGTATCCCCAGCCCCTGAAACAATACTTGGCCCATTGCAGGAACTCACATATTTATTGAAATAAATGTGATTACAACTCTTGATATGAAATTAGAAGTTCGCATGAATTCAGTCTAAGGAGACCACTTTGATTGTAACTCTTGTGGCACAAGTTAATTTTCAGGTTTTTCTTACCCACTGCCTCACACTAGTGAGCTGTGCCAAGTAGTAGTGTGACACCTGTGTTGTCATTTCCCACATCACGTAAGAGCTTCCAAGGAAAGCCAAATCCCAGATGAGTCTCAGAGAGGGATCAATATGTCCATGATTATCTGAGAGAGACAAAAAAAGCACATTTGTATTAATGCATTTTTGAGACAAAATCTCAGAAGTTGCAGAAATGAAATAGGGTTTAAACTTAGTCATACCAGTCATCTCTCTCACAGCAAGACCTTGAGCCATATATGTGATTTGTTTGTATCTGTTTCTATGTTAGTATGTAGATTTATATTCTTCAACTTGCCAAACTGAGTAAATCTATTATAAATCAATGGCCATTTGCTGTACTGTATACACGCAAAGTAAGAGCTATGAAGCCTACGTTGTATCAAGCCTATGTCCACAAAGTATCTTGGACCCATCTTGTCTTCTCCGAACCCACTGCCACCACCCTTCAGGCCTGAGCTGCTTCTCCCTGAGACCACAGCCACAGTCTGCTACCAAATCTCTCAGATTTCAGTCTCCTTCTTCCAACTGTCGCACACCTAGCAGCTAAAGTGACTTTTCCATACTCATTACTGAATACTCAAAGATGACATTCAATTTAACTTAGTCTTGTTAGTTAAGAAGCTTTTTTTTTTTAAGAGACAGGGTCTTGCTTTATTGCCCAGGCTAGAATGCAGTGCCACAATTACTCTTCACAGTAGCCTTGAATTCCTGGGCTCAAGTGATCCTCCTGCCATGGCCTCCCAAAGTGCTGAGATTACAGGTGAAGGCCACTGTGCTGGCCAAGAAGCATTTTTAATTAGGTTCAAAAGTCTGTCACTGATATTCTTCACCTTACCTTCTGGTTTAGGTCTACAGTCAATGTGATGGTGGTCTTTGCTTCCCAGTCTGCCAGAATATCTTTGTGCTTCTCTAATCATTGGCTTTAAAGCTAATCAATGTGTTGGCAGCATCTCTGTCACTCTTGTTTAACACGTGAAGAAATCAGGTAGATTTTTTTCTGTGGCATTGTTTTCGGACCTAAAATCTTTTAAATTTGGCAAACATCTTTCTTAAAACTTAAACAATATTAGACACTGTGAGAGGTTAGGGATACAATGACTAATAAATTATTGTTTGTGACTTTTAGGAGCTCAAATTTTATGAGGTGACTGTTCATGAACCATCATTTTATGCAGTTTTGTAGGGATACTATATTAAGGCCTAATAATAGCACAGTACATGAGGAATACTAACAAACTTATTAGGAAACTAATCCTTCTGGGTAAAGTAATCCTTAGCATAAATTCTATTCTGTATTGGTAGAACTTGGCTAGTTTATACTCAGAGGTAATTCAAACAGCATTCATTGATTTCTTGGGATCTGTGAAGGATACCAAGATGGGTCCCCACCCTCCACATGTTGACATGGTGGGGTTATAGTTGATACATTCCTTAAGAGAGGGAGGATCAGAAAGCTGAGGGACAGCAGGGAAGGGACAGGTTTCTTTGGGCTTTGGGCTGGAGAGGGTTAGGGGAAACTTCACAGAGATGAGATTTTGGCTGCGCCTTGAATTGCTGTCATTTGTGTGGGGGTCTGAGTGAGAAAGTGAGCACGTGAAGGTAGGAAGGCACCAGGCAGGGGCAGCCTCAGTGACTGTTCTTGATAGAATATACAGTATACTGGCAGCAGATTTTGAAAGGCCTTGTTTCCAGCGCTGCCAGAGTGGGTATGAACTGCAGTTGAGTAGTAAGTGTGGAAGATGACTTTGACTGCTGGGTGCGGTGGTCTCAGGGAGAAGAATCCCAGGCATGAAGGATGGTGACAGTGGATTTGGAGATGAAAAGATTAGTCCAAAATACTTTGTGAATGCAGGCTTGATAGGAAATGGCAAGTTATTAAATGTTAGTAGATTAGTTGATAATGACCAAAGTTTCTAGCCAACTCTAGGAGAATAGTAATACCATTAAATGTAGGACAGAAAGTGGGAACGTTTTGGGTGAAAACAAGTTGAGTTTGTTATTAGGTGTATTAAATACAGTGTCAAGAAAGTCATGAAGGTGGATGATGTAAAGTGCTGCAGATAGGCCGGGCATGGTGGCTCACGCCTGTAATCCCAGCACTTTGGGAGGCCAAGGGGGGTGGATCACCGGAGGTCAGGAGTTGAAGACCAGCCTGGACAACATGGTGAAACCCCATCTCTATTAAAAATATAAAAATTAGCTGGGTGTGGTGGCACACGCCTGTAATCTCAGATACTCTGGAGGCTGAAGCAGGAGAATCGCTTGAACCCAGGAGACAGACGTTGCAGTGAACCAAGATTGCACCACCACACACTGGACAGAGGGAGACTCTGTCTCAAAAAAACAAACAAACAAACAAAAAAACTACAGATAAATCAAGAAGGATAAGAAGCAAGATCTGGTTAGGGTTTTTGGTGATCTGGGTGGTCCCTTTATGTACATAGAGTAGAAGCCAAATAGGAAGAGTTGGAGGTTGAGGCAATGTGTATAGAATCTACTTTTGAAAAGTAGACAGAATAAGGAAAAAGAGGGGGTGATGGGTCTATGAAGAAACTGGTCAACAGAACTCTGATCTTGACGATCTTTATAGGACAAGAGAAGGAACTGGTTGACGGAGATTCTCAAGGTGGGAAGGATACTGATGGGGCAAAATTATGAAAGAACCAGATAAACTAGAACCAAGGGTATAAAAGGAGTCTTAGAATTAAAGAGAGGGTTGGGGAAGATGTAGCGACTTTGTGAGGTGGGAAGAAATGACAGAATCAAATGTCTCAGTCTCAGTAAAGCAGGAGGCAAGACCGTCTCCTGAAAGTGCATGAGGCTGGGATGTGGGCCTTGAAAAAATGGAAAAGCTTCAACACAGCTGTCATGTGGAGTGCAGTAAGATGTTAGAAATAAATAGCAGCATTGAAGACTCAGCACTTGGAGAAATCTTTTAGAAGAAAATACCTGTTGAGAATAAAGCAAAAGGTATTTGTTGCCCTTCATTGTCATCATATCACCCTTATGTGACATGTATAAGTTTTTTGGTTCCATAATGCTTTCCTGTTAATATCGAAGTGCCTTCATATTTGGAACTGAGGATTTCCAGTACTCTTCACTGGCTTTTCTGTGTAATTTCTTTAACCTGGTAATGTCATTTTTTCCTGTCATCATATGATAAGTAATCAATAGGGAGCTGTGACTATTTTTACAGATGTTATTGTAGAAAGTATGTTTCGGACTTCTACTTCCTGACAAGAATATCAGCATTTCACGAATGAATTTTTTTTTCCTCATTGCTATGAGCAGCTGAACCATAAGAACTTCAGAACATTATGTAATACAAGACTCTGAATTCAATATCTTGGATATAAACTTTTTTGCTTATTTTGCTTTTAAGAGGTTTCCCATCATTCCTGTCTTCATTGACTGAAAACTTCCTTGATCCAGCTCATCATCACGTGTTCTATCTTATGGTGCTGCTGTGAGTTCAGATTTGTGAGATCAAAACCCATCACCCTAGAAGATAAACCAGTTATACTAAATACCATGAATAGTAAGAACATTTGAAAGGGTAAGTGCTGGCAACAGTGCTATAGAACCACTTGGGCAGACACAACTTTAGCTGGTTATTCCCAGGTCTTCAATCTTTCCCTCTGTATGTAGTGTACTTGGATTCATTGCTAGGAAGTTTGTAAATTCATTAGAAGTGAAACTTTCACTCATAAAAAACAGACAACTTAAGGGGAAAAAACAATGTGGAGCAAGGATATTCCAAAATGGATTAGATCTTCTCACTTACCCATTGTACTACAACAGTCCAATGCCTTGGATCCATTAAATACTGAATAGGAATCTGCTGAGATTTTTTTTTTTTGAGACGGAGTTTCGCTCTGTTGCCCAGGCTGGAGTGCAGTGGCGCAATCTTGGCTCACTGCAACCTCTGACTCCCTGGTTCAAGCGCGATTCTTTTGCCTCAGCCTCCCAAGTAGCTGGGACTACAGGCGCATGCCACCATGCCTGGCTATTTTTCAGTAGAGATGGGGTTTCACCGTGTTAGCCAGGATGGTCTCGATCTCCTGACCTCGTGATCCGCCCGCCTCGGCCTCCCAAAGTGCTGGGATTGCAGGCATGAGCCACCGCGCCTGGCCCCCCTGAGATTTTAACTGGGTAAAATTTACCTTATCTAAAACCAAACCTTTTTGGTTTTAAGTAGATAATTTTACATACACAGACAAGCTATAGATAGCACCATTAAATGTCTCTGCTGAATTTACTATGACAGCAAAACTTACAAGTTTTTCGATGAAAAGTTGCCCTCTATTAAAGAAGTTTTTTGAAGTTTCACAGTAGCTACATTAAGTTAGATTATTATAGAATGGTCCCTATGGATATACAGGACTTATTAACTAAACATACAGTTAGCCTGCACTATTAAAGAGTGTCTAAAGTCTCGTGACCCTGTGGCAAATATTCAAAGAAAAGATCCAATACAATTTCTAAAATTTGTGTTTTAAGGAGTACAGATAAGCCCTATTTTCCCAACTAAAGGAAAACAATTCCTAAATAAGTGTAGATTTATAAGTATCAGTCATCAGGTCATTTATTTCAAGCAATACTCAATATAAACAAATTCTGCTACAACATGAGATTTTAATTGCTCCCCTTGATTGCTTGGCACAGGATTTGATCTGAGTTGTCAGAGAACTATCATGTGAGAATCATTCAGGGTTCAGAATTTTAGAAATGGAAGAAGCAGTATTCCACTTCGAGGTTTTTAAGGACATTTAGTCTCAGTAAATCGATGGGGAGCAGAGACATTCAGGAATGGAGACTACAGAGCCTCCAGTGTTGACATGGGTTTGCCACAGAATCTGGGCAAATGAGTGAACTGTGGGAGAGGGTGGGACCATGAATGCTGTAGCGGTCAGACATCAAGCTTAATACCCAAGAGATGACTTTCGTGGTTTTGAAAATTGGATTTGCCAGTAAATTTGCTGAGTCTCAACTGCTCTCCACACATTCTGGTGAGTGCAGGAACGCATGAGCTCTGCTTCCCTTCAGCTGAGTCACTTCAGAGGGCAGGGCTCCTTTGTTGGAGACAGCACCACTGCCCATTAACCACTGACTTGAAATGAGATAAACATGACTCCCCTGCAGCATCCCAGAGAGGGCTCATCTGGCCTTGGAGTGTAAGGCTGTGATGAGCAGAGTAGTGGCTCTGGAGGCTGTCGCCTAAAGTTTCCAAAGCCACTGCCAAAAATAGAGATGTCACCTCAGCTCCTGGACTCAACCCTGAAAACAGCACCCCTATATGCATATCCTATTTCAAAATCCTGTACCTCTTACCTGGGGGTTCAGTTCTTACTGTGCCCCTCATTCTGGGATGGAAAATGAGGAGTTTTTTTTTTTTTTTTTGGAGATGGAGTTTCATTCTTGTTGTCCAGGCTGGAGTGCAGTGGCACAGTCTCAGCTCACTGCAACCTCCGCCTCCCAGGTTCATGCCATTCTCCTTCCCCAGCCTCCTGAGTAGCTGGGACTACAGGCGCCCACCACCACGCCTGGCTAATTTTTTCTATTTTTTAGTAGAGACGGGGTTTCACCGTGTTAGCCAGGATGGTCTTGATCTCCTGACCTCGTGATCTGCCCACCTCGGCCTCCCAAAGTGCTGGGATTACAGGCATGAGCCACCGCGCCCAGCTGGAAAATGAGATGAAAGGGATACATGCTGTTGGTGGAGTTACTGTGTTGGATTAGAGATGAAGAACAGAAAGATGATACCTCTGAGTTTTGTTTAAATTATGAGGGATACCACAATATTTAGTTGAATGAAAGTGCCACTTTAGGGATAAAAACTTAAATGATCTTTCTTTTAAGGATTTAGTTATTACATACATTCCTGAATATAGAAATTCCAAATGCTGATTCATACCAGGTATGCTGACTATTTCCAAGGGGTTTTTCAGTTGCTTCATTTGCTTGTAAAGCAGGTAATCCTCTTGTTGTCTTTTCTTTTTCTCGATGAGCCGTGTACAAGTTACATTGATGGTTGGTCTGGGTTTCTGATTCTTGAAAAACACTCGAGCAGAACATTTCCCCAAACGTCCCTCACCTTCCTGAAGTAAAGACTGTGGAGTTAAACAGGATACTTTATCACCTCCCACTCACCCCAGTGCACACAAGCACACACAAGATTGAGAAGAGTTCATTGTACAAGGCAGGCAGGCTCTGGCATCAATAGATGTAGTGGGTTTTGGTTTATTGTGGGTTGTGCTCACAGCTGAATACAACAGTCCTTCTCTCTTTGCTATCATTTAAACTCTTGTCTTCTGATTGTGACTTTATAAAATGACATTGGGCATATTTCCAAAGAAATATCATTGACATCCATTGAGCACTGCTTGGCTCAAACCTTTAGAGTAGTGGCCACTTTACTCTTGAATGTGGACCAACATAATACTTAGGTGGACCTCAAAGTTACTAACTTGAACTAAAAGATGGAGCTGGCTCCTATTTACAAAAATAACAACAGCATCTTCATGCTGCCTTATGAATTAGGTCCTCTGATTCCAGTTTGAAAGATTAAGATACTGAGGTTTAAGGAGGTACCTACTCCATGTCGCACAGCTAATAAGCCAGGGCTTGACCTCACTTCTAACACCGAAGCCCAGGCTCTCTGTACTAACTTCATCTCTCTATGCCAAGATCTAATCCAGAAGAAATGGGGGCACTGATCCACTGATCATCCACATGGGATTCATTCAACTACCTGAGTGATGTTTATTTGCATTCATCTTTTTTTTTTTTTTTTTTTTTGAGATGGAGTCCTGCCTGGGTGGGAGTGCAATGGCACGATCTCGGCTTACTGCAACCTCTGCCTCCTGGGTTCACGCGATTCTCCTGCCTCAGCCTCTGAGTAGCTGGGATTACAGGTGCCCACCACCATGCCTGGCTAATTGTGTGTATTTTTAGTAGAGATGGGGTTTCACTATGTTGGCCAGACTGGTCTCGACCTCCTGACCTCGTGATCTGCCTGCCTTGGCTTCCCAAAGTGCTGGGATTACAGGCATGAGCCACCACCCCCAGCATTCATGTTTAAATGTAGATGTTTTGGATATTCTGGGATCTCCCTCACTTATTTTATAATCCAGAAACATCTGGAGCTTCAACTAGACATCAGATGTATGACTCATTTCTAGCATAGTGGTTCTTCCCCCTTTTAAGGAATTCCCCAGATTCCTTAACCAAATAAGAGAAGCCAGGGAACTTATTCCCTGAAAAATGCACAGATCAGCACTGGGCCTAGAATTTGAGGAAGTTCATGGGCCACTAGTCTTGGCCCTGCCCAAATCCAACTCTCGTTGGCTGGTTGCATAGTTGAGGTGATAATCTTCTTTTTACTTTTGTGGTTGTTTAAACTGGGTGAAGTCCCAGTGAAAACAACTACCAAAAATGAAAAAAGTCCATGAGGAAACAAATTGTAATCAAAATTCTCTCTGCGCTTGAGCCCAGGAAGTCAAGGTTGCAGTGAGCCATGATCATCGCACTTCCCTCCAGCCAGGAGAGCAAGACCCTGCCTCAAAAAGAATAAATAAATAAAAATTAAAAATAAAAAAATTGGATCTGCTTAATAAGCCTATTTCTAAAACTACCTCAAAAAACTGAGAAACACTTTCCAGTAGGCAATTTTTCCTCCTGTGAGTGCTGGTTTTGAGTGAGAGGGAATTTCAGTACTGCTTTAAGATGTTAATTATTGGTGCAACATAGAAAAAAGGTGAAGGAAGCATTCAGGAAGAGGCTTATGAAAGGGCAGAAGGAACCTAGTACATGGCCTCCTCTGTTGTCAAAGTCATTTCCAGAGAAGAGAAAAAGAACCAGGTACTGCCCCCTTTCATTTTCCTTTTCATTTCCCCCTCAAAACATCTCCATGGAATCAAAGCCGTTGCCTGAGGATAAAAGAACTGCTCTTCACCCCCTGAAATGGAAGGTTTCAATTAGCTCACTCTGTTCTTAATGCATCTACAGGATCAAATCCAGGGAAGCATATTGTTGGTGAAAATAATCTAGTAATTGTATTCCCTCTAGCTTAACACTTTCAGTTTGCAACACTAACAATCAAAGGCATCTTTCGTACACTTTAAGGAAATTTTAATTCATAGGTTAATAAGCAAAGAGCATACTGCTGTCATGTTGGATACTTGTTGGAACTTGAGTACTGGTGAGCATTCTTCCAGAAGCATGGGGTTGGGGGAGTCATGCCTTCAACTCCCGAAACTCTGCCACCCTGGAACACTTTAATCCTGGATGCTGCCTGCTCCAGGCTGCTTCTCAGCACAAGACAAAGAGCATTTGAGCTGGTCTCCTCTCCGCCCATGCTCTGATTGCCGCCTTTCAGCTTGGCCTAGCACAAGGAAGTTCATCTGGCTCTAATTTCTATACGAGTTTTCTCTTTACTCTCTTCTTGAAAACAGGGAACAGGAAACTTGGCAAAACATGGTCCGCTTGGTCAAAGCTGTAGTGAGGCTGATAACGGCTGGAGCACGTGCTCGTGTTTTACAGAGTGCCTCTGTGTACGTTAGCTCATGGGGTTGGTCTCACGCTGTGCTGGCCTGCTAACCAGAAATGTCACCCTCTGACAGGAAGAGAGTAAGTTGGCATTTGAAAGTGAGTCATTCTGAGGACTCTGAGGAGCTAGGAGGGATACCAGAGGGAGCTGTGAAATTCTCTCCCAGGGGTCCCAAGGAAGAGGGAGGTGATCGCTTATATGGATTGTTTTAAATGCAACCCTGCGTTAAGACCATGAAGTTGAAGTAGTTAAATATTGAGCTCTTGCCTAGTTCTGTTCTTTAGTTCTTGATAACAAATAGGAAACAGATCAGGAAAAAACAAAAGCAAACCTCCAGATCACTATATATTAAGATTCTCACTTTTTTACAAAGCCATATTTATAGCAGTTGCTAATAGGATACTTTGCCAATTGTGGCAGCTTACCTCTGGGTTGTAGCGCTCTGTGCTGAAGACCACGTGAACTTTACATCCCTCTTTTGGATTAATCTGGAACACAGAAACTGAATCTTAGTATAGTAGAAGCTCCCTTAAACATCCTCATATCCAGGAATCACACTCTTAGGATAACATGGCATGCAAATGGTGGCTGTAGCATTTATACCTGAATAAAATTGGTGATGGCTTAGAAGAAAGATCTCAAATTTTGTTCTGATTGTGCCATTCTGCTTGCTAGTTTGACACCTACTCACAAAGAGGGAGACTGAGAAAGGGAAATGGTTGCGTTCTGACTGGAGTGACTTTGTGAGAGCAGCTAAAGGAGAAAAGAACAGGAGTGTGCAGGGAGCTGGAGGGAATTCCTTCATCCCCAACTCCTCAGTGCCTGCTCCACGCCCTGTCCTGGGGCCACATCAGCGAGCAGGACTGACGAGGACTTGCCCTCCTGCCACCCATAGCCCAATGGGGGATGCTGGCAACAAACGCACAACAAGTAATAATTATGCTTTCAGGGGCTGATGAATGAAGAAAGACAGTGGTGGTGTAGGAAGGTGCTTGCTTGGCACGAGGCGATCTCAAAGATGAGACCAGCAGGACAGGAAGGAAGCAGCCATCCCAGATCTAGGTGGGGGACACCCGGTACAGGCAGAGGGGACCCACAAGCACAGGCGTGAGGTGGAACTTCAGTCTGCAACAGGATGAATCACCAACACTGAAGAAGTCTTCCAATGCTATGCTCTTTCTTTCGTTTGCAGTTTTTATAGGCAAGCATACTTTTAAACTTCAGAAATGTTAATGTTTAGCCTTTAAAACTGTTGAATTGATTTCAATGCATATTTTAGAATATACATATCTATGTCATTGCAATTTAAACTGTTTAGAAGAAGTTCTTATTGTTTGCCATCTTTTTTTTAAGAGAGCAAAATGATAAATCAGTAAAAGAAATATTTCCTAGAGAGGAAAGGGAACTTGCTGTTGTATAGAGCTGAAGTTATTTCACATAGCATTGATTAAGGTTGGACTCTGGAAACACCAGTTTCCTTTGCATCTTAGCGTAGCAATTCAATAAACAAACAGCATTATTTTATTTTAAATAGACCAGATAGCATCCATTCCTATTATAGATTCTTAAAAAATGCTGGGAAACTGGAGAAGGGAAGGAAAGGATTCCTTGGTGGTTATTTATGTAGGGAATATTTAAGCTTGTACATGTACAGATGTTGCTGGGGAAGGAGAGAGAATTCCCGAGAGCACTGCACACAGAGCAGTTTGCTGAGGGCTCATCGTCAGTCTTCAAACGAGTTCTGTTGTAAGCTGAGGCACTAATTTTGGTTTACACAACGCACACACACAAGTCTGTCTATTCACTCATTCGCTGTTAATCACCTACTATGCCAGGCCTTGGGGAGATATAAAGAAATATGATGTCCAGCCCGGCCTTTCCAGAAACCTGCTTCTATCTTGGAAACAGTTTTGTAGTGTAGCTGATCAGTGTGGCAGATCGCAGCCTGCGGGAGGCTTTCTAGAGTGGGTGAGGCCTAAACTAACTCTTTGAGGAGCCAGTGTTAGACAAAGGTGTGGGAGTGGGATGTAGGGGTTGGAATTCCAGGGGACAGTGAAGCTGGAGAAAAGGTGTCTGGGGAGGTGGGTGCAAGGGCATGGAAAGCCTCACTTTTTTGAGATGACTTGGAACTTGATCCCAAAGTCTGGAAGAGTAACATTAAACATATCCACAATACACAGGGCGTTGTGAACAGTAGGATAAGGCATAAACAGGGTTTAGGACAGTGCCTGGGTCAGCATAAAATTCAATGTCTGTTTACTATTTTTATTATTACTAAAATCTATAGGCATGAGAAAGCAGAAGAACTGGGCTAAACACAAGAGACTGACCCAAGTTCAAGGATAGGGGATGTTATATAACATGGTCTCCCATCAGGGTTACTCCTGAAACACCCAATGAGTAGTGGAAGGATATAAATGAGACATGCCTGACAGTGGCTGGACAAGGCTCCCATGACCTCTTATCTCAAAGATTCCTGAAGTTCAGCATCCTTAGTACCTGCCAATGTGGGAGGAACACAGGGCTGTGGCTTGCTGCCTCTCACACTCCCAGCCACATGGGCACCCGCAAACAACTAACACTCAGAAGGCGACACTTCAGCTTGCCAGTGGGTTCTAAGCCTTGAATGGGTCGCTGCACCCCGCACCTGCTATGTGCACCGCAGCACCTGGGAGTCTGCCTGTCCTGTTGAGTAGGGGCTTCCTGGGTACAGCCTCCTGCAGAGGAGTCAGCGACACCCTCAGGTTTCTAGCTGTGAGGTGGGCAGGGGTGGGTGCGGAGGCCATTCATGAGATGAGGAAGAAGCTGAGTTGGGAGGGTTCATTCTCTGGCACATGGGGAAATTTGAGATGTCTCGGAAAATGCTGAGGGTTATAGAAGTAGGATCAGCAGAGGTAGTGGTGAAAGCCATAGAATTTGATGTAGTCCCCCAGGGAAGATGTGTAGAATAAGAATCCTGAGGAACATCAGCCTTCACGCCAGTGATACATTCGGGCATGGTTATATGCTATGCAAAAAGATTCACTAAAGTCTTCCTTATTCTTGATATAATTGTGCATATTTTAAATACAGGACTTAAGATATGATTTGACGCAACAGTGCTCTGGAAACACATGGAGGCAAAGTGAGAAGGGCTCTGAGCTGGTGTGGAGTCTGTCCTTTTAAAGAGTTATTTTCTTTGCTGATTTGATTTATTTTGTTTTAAGGAAGCACTCTTTTTTTTTTTTTTGGAGGCAGAGTCTTGTTCTGTCACCCAGGCTGGAGTGCAGTGGCACGATCTCGGCTCACTGCAACCTCCGCCTCCTGGGTTCAAGCAATTCTCCTGCCTCAGCCTGCTGCATAGCTGAGACTACAGGTGCACGCTGCCACACCTGGCTAATTTTTTGTATTTTAGTAGAGACAGGTTTTCACCGTGTTGCCCAGGCTGGTTTCGAACTCCTCAGCTCAGGCAATCCGCCTGCCTCGGCCTCCCAAAGTGCTAGGATTATAGGCGTGACTCACTGCGCCTGGTTAACAAGCACTCTTAAAAGTGTCCACATTTCATCCAAAATAAAATGTTTATATTTTTGGTTGTACTTTATCATGTATCAAGACACAGTGCTTTTATCTCTCACAAAGGCCTCTCCCTTCTCCCTTCCTCTGAGTCACAAGAGCCCCGTGCTGTTTTGCTCTGGTGAGATGAGCCGCACAGCCACAGGCCTGTGTGTGGAGTGGGCGGGAGCCAGGCCACCTTCCTCTGGATGCAGTGTCTGCACTTGCTCTCCAGTGGTTTTAGGACTGTGTTGAACTTTGGCTGTCCTTGATTTAAAATGTTCTGTGATAAAGGGGTCGTTGATGTTCAACAACATCACTCCATGATTTCAGCTCCTACCTTATTCCAAGTACTGTGCTGGGTGCAGGAAAGACAGAGCAAAACAGCAGCAGCCACTCTCCGGGCAGTCTAGCGGGAGAGGGCCTTAAATAGAGCATTGTAGGATTGATTATTTGATTGTGGCTGACTTAAGAGCTATGAGAGGATGGCTAGAGAATTGGTCTAGTCTAGGGATCAGGGAAGCGACATTTGAGCTGAACTCTGAAGATGAAGAAGGAATTGGTCTTGGTGTGGGGAGGAGAGCTGGCAAGGGCCTGAGGAGCAGCCATGGGGCCCCAGGGCAGAAAGACTGGAGCTGGAGCTGGGACCCGGTAAGAGGCTGACTGGGTGGCAAGGGCCACACCTGCAGGCTACAAAGAGGATTTTGTCCTGAGAGAAATGGAAAGCCAGGGACCAGAAGGAGGGATTTTGAAAAGATCCCTCTAGCTGGAGTGTGGAGAATGATGCTGGAGTGAGGAGTTGTGCAGAGTTAATGTAGACAGAGCAGGAGGCTGGCTGAGGGGGCGGGGAGAGGGAGCAGGGCTTGGAGCCAAGGTGAGGACAGTGGAAATGGAGAGAAGCATATGGTGGACCAAGTATGCCAGGTTGCCCCCCAGCCAGGCTGCGGCAGGCCACCCTCCCACCAGCCATGTGAGAGCAGTCATAAACCACCAAACCCCAAGTCCTATCAGAAAGTAAAAAATAAGCAGGTAATTCAAGATCAGAAATCATCACTAGAATACATTTTATATTAAGACAATTTTTTTTTTTTTTTGAGACAGAGTCTTGCTCTGTCGCCCAGGCTGGAGCACAGTTGCATGATCTCAGCTCACTGCAACCTCCGCCTCCTGGGTTCAAGAAATTCTCCTGCCTCAGTCTCCCGAGTAGCTGGGACTACAGGCACATGCCACCAGGCCCAGCTAATTTTTTGTATTTTTAGTAGAGATGGAGTTTCACCATGTTAGCCAGGATGGTCTTGATCTCCTGACCTCATGATCCACCCGCCTCGGCCTCCCAAAGTGCTGGGATTACAGGTGTGAGCCACTGTGCCTGGCCTTAAAACAACATTTTTAACATTGTGTCATTTAAAAGATGCTTGTGTGTACAGAATAATGCAAGTAGCCCAATAATTGGGCCAATTGCCTGGTACTGTTCTAAGCACCCTACATGTATTAAGTATGCTAACAAAGCTCTGAAGGCCTACTCAAACTCATTAGTAATTACAGAAATACAAAAATGCAAATTAAATAAGCAATGAGTTAATACAGTACCACTAGTAGACTGGCAATCAAGAAAGTGGACAGGGCCCATTGCTGGGTGGGGTTTGGGGCTTTACGACTGCAGTCTGGCATATGCAATCTGGCGTATGTGGTCAAATCAAGCTTATGTGTGAATGCCCTATGACCTAGAAATACCACTCTGGGCATGCATCCCAGAGAAATAGTGATGGAGGTCTGTGAAGAAACTGACTCATATAAGGATGTTCCCTGAGGCACCCTGTGGGGAGGTGGGGCTTTAGAGGCACTCACCTTATAAAGACCTCTGGTCTTGCCCAGGGATGCTCCCTCTGGGACTTACACAGCAGGTTGCTACAGCCACATGGTGTAAAGCTAATCCATTAAATTCAAAGCCGTGAAAAAAGTAAGTAGACTTTTTTGAAACAGCCAAATCTGACACGAGGAAAGGTGACCAACAATTCTAGCTTTCCTGAGGAAAGAAGGATTCCTGTAATATAGATTACAGTGATTTCATTCCTTTCCCCAACACACTGCCAGAACTGCCCATCTGTGAAACAGATCAGGAAACTTGACATCCCTTTCTTTAAACACAGTCAAAGGCAGAGCACATTGTTCCAATATTTTTCCGAAAAGGGCTATTTAATAAGAAAAAGCAAGCAAATGACCATATGACTGTATAACCTGAAGGAATAAATTAGTAGCTCTTCACTGTAGATTTTTAAAAAATTATGTATAAAAGACTTGTGTACTACAGCCTGGAACTAAATTCTTCATAATCATGGGCCACTAATAACATGGTTTATGCTCTAATTTTTTTTTTTTTTTTTTTTGAGACAGAGTCTCACTCTGTCACCCAGGCTGGAGTGCAATGGTGCAATCTCAGCTCACTGCACCCTCCACCTCCCGGGTTCAAGCGATTGTCCTGCCTCAGCCTCCCGAGTAGCTGGGATTACAGGCTTTTGCCACCACACCCGGCTAATTTTTGTATTTTTATCAGAGATGGGATTTTACCATGTTGGCCAGGCTGGTCTCAAACTCCTGACCTCAGGTGATCCACCTGTCTTGGCCTCCCAAAGTGTTGGGATTACAGGCTTGAGCCACTGCACCCGGCCCTTACTTTTTGTGTGTTTATTTTATAGATGATTTTTGGCCCCACTGGACAGTGAAAAGAGGCAGTCCCATCCCCTTCCCCATATACCTTCCACCTCCCCTTCCTCATATGCCATACCATCATGTACTCTTTAGTGACTGATCAGCACTTTGATTTTGGTTTGATTTGCAATCAGTTTGGAGGGAAACAGGCCACTTTCAAAGACCTGTTCGAGAGAATGTACAATGGAATGCTTTCAAAGACCTGAACTCATCACACTAGATTTTATTTATTTATGTTTTGGTAAATGATCCTCAAATCCTTAGCAAATCAATATTAAGCATTCATTCAGTGCTTACATATGAAGCATCATTGGAGGGAATCATGATAAAAGTGATTACGTGTTGTACTCTTACTGTGTGCCTCACCCGACCCAACATAGTACCCATGTACTAACCTATTATATCACTAAAGCCCTTTAGTAGGTATGATTGTTATCACCATTTTAAGGATGAAGAAATGGAGGCACTTGACCAAACTTAAGGAATTGGCCAAAGTCACAACACAGGAAGCAGGAAAACTGGCCTGCAGAGCCCCGTTTTTCCCAAATACCGCACAGGACTGCACAGAAAAATAGAGCCCAGCAACCTCTCTAAGAAAAGGAAGAATAAAAGCTGGCTGCTGGTGTGTGTGTGTGTGTGTGTGTGTGTGTGTGTATGTGTGTGAGAGAGAGAGAGAGAGAGAGAGAGCGCTGGGATGCTCTTGGACTGCTTGTAACCAAGGTCCCTGTGGACAAGAACCACTGCAAACCTTCCTCTGGAAGGGAGACTGCCAGGCATGATGTATGTATTAGTGTGCTAGGGCTCCCGTAACAAAGTACCACAAACTAGGTGGCTTACAACAACAGATATTTATTCTCATACAGTTCTGGAGGCCAGAAGGCCAATCTAAAGGTGTCAGCAGGGCCATGCTTCCTCTGAGACTCTGGGTAGAATCCCTCCTTGCCTCTTCCTAGTTTTAGGTGGTGGCTGTCGATCTTGGCATTCTTTAGTTTACAACTGAATCACTCCAATCTGTGCCTCTATTATTGTTTGTTTGTTTTTGAGATGGGTCTTGCTCTTTTCACCCAGGCTGGAGTGCAGTGGTGCAATCATAGCTCACTGCAGCCTCAAACTCCTGGGCTCAAGGGATTCTCCGGGCCGCCTTTATCTTTAAATGGTGGTCTTCCTCTGAGTCTGTTTGCATATCCACATGGCCTTAATATTATATAAGGACACCAGCCATTGGATTTAGGGCCCATTCTAATCCAGTATGACCTCATCTTAACTTGATTACATCTTCAAAGACTCTGTTTACACTTAAGGTCACATTCTTAGTCACTGAGGGTTAGAACTTTTTGGATATAACATTTCTTTTTAGAAGACACACCTCAACCCGTAACAGATGGAAGTAAAGGTGATCCAAGACTTTAGAAGGAGCCCCTGGATGCAGACCCTTTCAGACAAGGTATAAATGAAAGTATAACCCAGTGCAGGTGGGGACATCTCCAGGAAGGACTAGGATTAGACAAGCCGAGAGAGGGAGAGGGTGCTCTGGAAAGGTAGTGTGTGTGCCAGGGCATGGAAGCGAGCAGACCAGCCTGGGGCAGTTAGCAGATTAAGTCAGGGTAGACTTGGGGTTGAGGTTACAATGGTGGGTGGGGGATCTGATTAGAGATGGTCTCTTACAGGGACTTCATTCTAGAGCAGTGAGTCTCAAATCTGAGTGTGCCATGTAATCCCCTACAGGGCTTGCTAAGACCCAGCATGCTGGATCTACACCGACTTTTGATTCAGGAGGTCTGGGGTGGGGCCTGGGAACTTGCATTTTAACAAGTTCCACATGATGCTGATCCTGTTGGTCCAGGGACCACACTTGGAGAACTCTCTAGCTACTGAGTGGAACCACTGAAGGTCTAAGGGTTGCAGGTAGGAAGTGACATGTAGATCAGATGACAATCACTAGGATACAGCTGACCACTAAATAGGAGATTGACGCCGAGACTATTCTCTTCAAATGCCTGAGAGTATCATCAGGACCAAATGAAATGGAGGAGTGTTCTTTCAAAGTGTGGTGACTTCAGGACCCTGGAGTTTCTGGTGAATCAGGTTATGATACCTTAGAAAGTGCATGTGGCAGGTCTACCCTCTGCTTCTGCAGGTGCAACTGATAAACTCCATGGTGACACAGTATGTGCTATTCTTTGAGAAGGAACACTTGGGCTGGGCATGGTGGCTCATGCCTGTAATCCCAGCACTTTGGGAGGCCGAGGTGGGGCAGATCACCTGAGGTCGAGTGTTCGAGACCAGCCTGACCAACATGGAGAAACCCCATCTCTACTAAAAATACGAAATTAGCTGGGCGTGGTGGCGCACACCTGTAATTCCAGCTACTCGGGAGGCTGAGGCAGAAGAATCACTTGAATCCAGGAGGTGGAGTTTGCGGGTGAGCCGAGATGGCATAATTGCACTCCAGCCTGGGCAACAAGAATGAAACTCAAAAAAAAAAAAAAAAAAAAGAGTATCCAGAAGGAACACGAAGAAGGCAGTTTGGACTAAAATAATTTTTAAAGAAAATTCCCTCCTTGCTTCCTGTTAGATGGATAACTACTTTGTTTTATAATGACATTTGTATATGCACCAAGAAGTTAAAACTGTTCATTCTAATAGCACCTCTACAATGTCATGTCCTGTTTTCAGTGAAAGCTGTTTATACTAAACCACAAAGCTTTGTTTTCATGTTAATGGATCAAAGATTTTTCTTCCAGTAGGTGTCTGCACTATCTTTACATTAGGCACTACCCACTTTTTTTGAAATATTGCATAAAATCACCAAAATTGCATAAAGTCAATTTGAAATATTAAAATATTTAAATATTTTCCAATATTTGAAAGATTGGGTAAAGTCATTGAAATATTGGGTGTGTTAGAAATGAACCCAAGGAACTTGATGAGGGACAGAGAATGGGTATTTATGTATTCTAAGAGCACATTTAAAACATCAAACAATCCTGGCCGGGCGCTGTGGCTCATGCCTGTAATCCCAGCACTTTGGGAGGCCGAAGTGGGCGGATCACGAGGTCAGGAGATTGAGATCATCCTGGCTAACATGGTGAAACCCCATCTCTACTAAAAATACAAAAAATTAGCTGGGCGTGGTGGCGGGCGCCTGTAGTCCCAGCTACTTGGGAGGCTGAGGCAGGAGAATGGCCTGAACCCGGGAGGTGGAGCTTGCAGTGAGCCAAGATCGCGCCACTGCACTCCAGCCTGGGCGACAGAGTGAGACTCCATCTCAAAAAAAAAAAAAAAAAATCTAACATCCCCTTTAAACTCTCTCAAAACACCACAAAAACGTGGAGCAAATAAAAGAGCAGGGATGGTGTCCTGGAGAAACCTCGCTGTGCACCACCCCATGGAGGAGTCTCCAAAGACATGATTCTGCCCAAAGCTTCTCTACAGAAAACACTTCCCATTTTTCCCCCTCTCTGCAGTGTCTGTCATTGGTTGCTAAGCGCTGGTCCTTCCTGTTGTGTTAGTGCCGGTTGTGACAACGTTAATTTCCTGTTCTCAGGCTGGCAGTGGGTGGGTGGGGACGAGCTCACAGGTAATTCCAGTCTCCCTCCACGCATCTTGGGACTCACTGGTCTAACAGACTCAGCTCCTAAATGTCGCCTCCAGCATTCACATTTGATAAGAAAACATAAATGTCAGGCTATTCCAGTAAAAGCAAACTTCGTCATTTTATAAGGTTACTTTTATGAGTCAGGCTTGGTTGGAGATAAGTAAACAACTCATTTGTGCATAGAAATTGCTGTGCTATCCTTATGTTCCAGATGGAGACAGCATCAGTATATTATATTATACCCTGGAATCATTTTATTGCATTTTCCTTCTCTCGGGCAAGGCCAGATAAAGCAAATACAGTTTATGGAACAGAAGTCAGTTACCTTCTGATCAGGCCCAGGCAGTGGGGCCCAAGGAGCTCTTTGCGTGCGAATGCTTTGCTTTCTCAGGCTAAGTAGCAATGGAGAGGAAAGCCAGAATACTGTGTGTCCTCTCTCTCAGCCAACCCTGGGTCCCACGTTCTTGATTTGGGGTAGGAAGCGAGTGGAAGTGGCCAGAGGCAGCTGCCCCCTCCAGGTCCCCTCTGGCCTCAGGTGGGGATAATCAGAAAAGGCTGGTTGAGAGCAGGACATGAGGCTTCAGGTCTCCTTTTCTCCTGCTGGGAGCAATGGGAATGGGCTGGGTCCTGGCCTGTCTCCCTGTTCCAGGTGCCTCAGTGATTTCAGCACCCTTCCAGCTACCTTCATTTAATTTAACAAATATCTAATATTTGTCTCTAGCAGGCCATGTGCTAGTGCAATGAAGGAGATAGAGACATGATATAATACCTTGCGCCCTGTAGAAGCTGACCGTCTCGTTTGGGATAGGCAAGCACATGGGCAGAGTGGAAAGAAAATTGGCTGTTCAGGAGCTTTGACAAAGCAGCCTATGGTCGAGTACTGAGCTAGAGAGGAGAGGGCAGGTGGGTTCACATGTGAGGTTAGCAAGGCTGCAGAGGTCAGCAAGACAGGAGGTGGGAGCAAGAGCTGCATTTTCTGGGTACCGGCATATGTCGGGCAGAATGGTAAATATTTGCAGGAGCTCACAGCCAGCCTGGACACGGGGTGTGGTAGGCTGAATAATGCCCCCCCACAGCCCTTGCCCGAAGATGTCCACTGCCTAATCCCTGGCATCTGTGACTATGTTATTTTACATGGCAAAAAGGATTTTGCCAATGTGATTAAGGATCTTGAGATGGGATTATCCTGGATTATTCCTGTGGGCACAATGTAATCACAAGGGTCCTATGAGAAGCAGACAGTAGTGTCATAATCAGAAGATGCTATGCTGTTTGCTTTGATGGAGGATGGAGTCATGAGCCAAGGAGCACAGGTGGTCTCTAGAAGCCGGAAATGGATTCTCCTCTAGAGCCTCCAGAAGGAACAAAGCCCTGCAGACACCTTAATTTTGGCCCAGGGAGACCCATTTCAGGCTTCTACCCTCCAGAACCATAAGTGAGTAAGTTTGTGTTGTTTTAACTCACTAAATCTGAGGTCATTTGTTATAGCAGCAATAGGACACAATACCAATACAGAATTACTGTGATCCTTAATGTCATGTTCTGTGTGGGCATGTGCCCTTGGGATGACCACGGATCACATACATCCTATACACAGCCATGGTACAAGACTCCCTTTCTTTTTTTTTTTTTTCCAGACAGGGTCTCACTATGTTAGCCCAGTCTGGAAGGCAGTGGTGCAATCAGGGCTCACTGCAGCCTCAACTTTCCCAGGGTCAGGTGATCCTCCCACCTCAGCCTTCCAAGTAGCTGGGACTACAAGTACGTGCCACCACATGTGGCTAACTTATTTTTTGTAGAGATGGGGTCTCATCACGTTGCCCAGGCTGGTCTTGAACTCCTGGGCTCAAGCAGTCCTCCAACCTCGGCCTCCCAAAGTGCTGGGATTACAGGTGTGAGCCAACATGCCCGGCGAAGATTTCCTTTTGTAATTTGATTTTTCTGGCTAGGGACATCCTGAACAACCATAGCAAGTCAGCCAGAGTGGATTTGTTATGGCTACTGTCTCCAGCCACTGTGGGACTATCTCTGTGAAACATTCTTCAACTGAGGCACCATCCAAAAAGGCAAATAAATGCCGAGGTCACATAAGTGTCATACATCTCTGGGGCGATACACTGCTTAACAGCAAGTGAGATCAAGTTTCAGGTTGGATTTGGGCGAGTGTGTGTGTATGTATAACCTTCCATGCCTCACAATGTCAGTCGTTGTGGGCTGATTATTTACATGCAGTCTCCAGCAGAACAACCTAGGTCCTTAAAGGATGAGTCTGCAGCCAAGCCAGACTTCTGGCAGTTAACAGTCATGACCCACCACTGCCGGTCTTGATGTGGGACATTACTAATGCTCTGTGATTACATGCATCCTTGGCTATGACTCCACATGTGGAAAGCCAAGTGGAAAATGTCGTGGGCTGGTAAAAAAAAAATTGTGGTTTAAAAACAATTTATTATAAAATGGTAAAAAAAACATTCCTACTGGCTAGCTCATCCGGGTGTAGTTAGCTTAGGAGATTGAGGCAAAGTGCCAAGGAGGTCAAAGTCAAAGCTTTAACCCCGGGACCTAGTGGCCTTTCTCACCCCATGCTAGACCCAGACTCTGCGATCAGAGTCTGCAGACCGGATGGCTGCTGTGGTGGGTGATGGGGTGGAGACCGTAGGCACATCTGTGCTATTTCAGCACAAACATTGCCTGGAAGGAGAGATTCCTGCCTGTCTCTTCTGTGCTTTCAGAATTGTTATGTTTCATCCTTAGGGCAGTGTGAGGGCACTGAAGAGATCCTAGTTTATCTTGCAAATATCCCCCTCCCTGCTGTTCTTTCCTAATGCCTATAAAAGCCCTTAGGAGCTTTCCTTACATGAAAATTAAGACTAGTTCACTTGAGTATTTTATTACTTATCTTCTCCCTTAGTTCACTTGAGTATTTTATTACTTATCTTCTCCCTCTATGTTCATTGCAGCCTTTTTAATTCTCCAGTTTTTGTTTCAATGGACAATTTAATGTTTTGCTTTCCTAGTCTCCTGAATCACCTCAAAATTATTGACATTAATGGAGAGAAGACCTCAAGAGCAGTAATTAAATTATGTTGTATTAATGTGCTTTATAGATTGAGAAATCACAAAGGAATAAAGGTTTTCATAGTAGAGTAAGTGCTCTCCTAACTGCCTTGTGGCCTAGTGGACAGGGCTCCATGCTTGCTGTCAGACCCACGGTGGACTGAACCCCCGAGCACGGGCTCCTGCCTAGTGGCCTATATGGGCCTGGCCTGATGCTTACCCAAAGCCAGCTGCTTTGCTCCCAAACTTGCATATATCAGATGTACTTAGTACCTCATTACATAAGTAAATATTCTGTAAACTGGTGAAGAGCGGGTACAAACAAAGATGTCATGTCCATGAAGTCAAGTTAAATGCTTTAGAAATTTAGCTGTTGAATTGGTGTTAATAAGCTGAGATTAGGCAAGGAAAAGTAAAAGCAGAGGGTTGTTCAGCATATTCTTTGAGAGCTCATTCCACCATAAGTAAACAAAAATGGAAACCACAAACGATTCCCCATGGGTGTGTTTTCTTGCTAGAAAGACTGTGATATGATTTGGATGTTTGTCCTCTTCAAATCTCATGTTGAAATGTGCTTTCCAATTTGGAGATGAGGGGGCCCTGGTGGGAGGTGACTGGATTATGGAGGTGGGTCCTTCATGAATGGTTTGGCACCCTCCCCTTGGTGATACGTGAATTCTTGCTCTGAGATCTGGTTGTTTGAGGGTGTGGCAGCTCCCCACTTGCTCTCTTGCTCCCGTTCTTGCCATGTGACATGCTGGCTCCCTGTTGCCCTCTGCCATGATTGTAAGCTCCTTGAGGCCTCTCCAGAAGCGGATGCCAGCACCACACTTCCTGGGGAGCCTGCAAAACCATGAGCCAATCAAAGCTCTTTTCTTTATAAATTACCCAGTCTCAGATATTCCTTTATAACAATGTAAGAAATGACCAGTGCAGACTGGAAGGAGCTCCAGTTAAATGGCCTTGGCCCTATATCAAAAGATAGATGATAAATGTACACTTACAGATTTTATTTTAAATAGAAGCAATTAAGATATGGGCATAGCTCCCCTCTCCCCATATGCTTTGATCAAGTGTTTAAAGTATGTTTCCAACCACTGGTCTTGGCCTGGTCAGAGGGTGTTTTGTTTAAGTGGCCAATTCCTAAACAATAGTGGATTCCAGAATGGGTTGACTTTCTTACAGAGTGTGTGCACTTGAAGATTTCAGCTAGTCTCTCAAAATGTTAGTAAAAGGCCGGCCTCTCACCAAATGCTCCACGCAGAGCCAGTGGTCCCAGAACTTGCTGAGTGGCAAGAGGAGACTTGTCTTCAAGTAAGGGACAGCCTTGAATAGTCAGGAGCGGGGCAAACATTGTGGGGATGATCCAGGAAACCCTGGGAAGCATAAGATCGCTCAGCACCATCCAAAATCTCCCACCACTCCAACTGTGGGTCCTGAGCCTATGCCATGTAATACTAGAAAAGTAAAAGCCTCATTGGTTATGGAAAGGTAGTGTAAGGCCAGGTAAGAAAGGCATCAGGTGGGGGCAGTGAGGGAACACAAATCGTGGTCTGTGATTTCGCCTACAATTAGCAACAAAACAAAACAACACTTCCTCCACTCCACTCCACCCACCTCCAGCTAGCACTTAGTTCTTCCTTGAATTTACTACCACAGCTATTGCTGCATTTCACCACCAGAGGGCAACAGTATTTTTAAAATGAAAGATAACTTGACGCGCCAACAGCTCACAGAATCAAAGAATTTCAGCGCGAGAAGAGGTCTTAAACATCATTTAGTCTAAAGGCTTTCAAAACTTTTTAAAGCTGCAGCCCACAGCAAGAACTGAATTTCTCATTATGACCTAGGTCATACATATATATCTGAAACACATTTGGAGACACTACTTACCCTTGCTTTCGCAATACACTCTAATCGTTTGTAGTCTATACTATTTCGTTTAAAAAAAAAAAAAACCGGATCCCACACTAAATTGGCTTTATAACCCTAGTGAGCCCTTAGTTTGAAAAACCCTGACTTCATCTCAGCCTCTCATCTTACAAAGGAATGCAGTGACCCCTAGAATTGGGAGGGATACCCATGAACTACACTTCTCTTCCTTACCTGGCTACCTGCTCGCCCCTCAGGGTCAGTTCTGGATGGATGATAGACATTGTGCAGCAGCTGAGCACTCAGTCCAACAATGCACTGGTTGGGTAGAGTGCAAACCTGAGTTTGGAGGGATCAATCGTGGTTTCTTTTTCTTTCTTTTTTTTTTTTTTTTTTGGTTTTTGAGACAGATTCTCGCTCTGTCACCCAGGCTGGAGTGCAGTGGCATGATCTTTGCTCACTGCAACCTCTGCCTCCCGGGTTCAAGTGATTCTCATGCCTCAGCCTCCTGTGTAGCTGGGATTATAGACACGCACCACCATGCCTGGCTAATTTTTGTACTTTTAGTAGAGATGGGGTTTCACCATGTTGGCCAGGCTGGTCTTGAACTCCTGACCTCAAGTGATCTGCTTGCCTCAACCTCCCAAAGTGCTGGGATTACAGGCGAGAGCCACTGCGCCTGGCCCATGTTTTACTTCTCCCCAGTGCTATGACTGCTCTTATAATGGAGGCAGGAATTTCTTATGACTACACTGAAAGCTCCATGTAGGTGTGTCTACACTCTTCACTCAGGCAGTGGAGTGCTTCAAAACTGAGGGAATCTCAAAGAGGCCTTCCCTAATGACCCTATGCTAAATATGAATTAGGCCACACTTCTAGCCCAGTTCCTGGCACAGAGTAAGCATTCAATACATAGCTAATGGATGAACAGACTACCCCTGAACTCACATTTTTATACTTTCTAATTGGCACTCATATCTTATATGACTCCTTAGACCACCTGACATTGTTGGCAGAACATGAATTATTTCCATTCCAAACAGGGAAATAGCCAGAAAAGACTTAAATAACCTTTCCCAAAGCCATTGGACTAAATGATGTTTAAGACCTCTTTAAGATTTATGTAACTTATATAAAATTCCCAGCCCCTGCATCCTCACTGGAGCAATGCAGGGGCTGGGAATTTTTACTTTATTCACTCGGGTTTTGAGAGCTAGTTTGATTATTTTATGAAGGATGTCAAATATCTTATTTTATTTTCAAGGGGGTGACTAAGTGCATGATAATGCAAGTTATTTTATTATTCCTTTATTTATTTATTTATTTATTTGAGACGGAGTCTCGCTCTGTTGCCCAGGCTGGAGTGCAGTGGCACCATCTTGGCTCACTGCAACCTCTGCCTCCCGGGTTCAAGCAATTCTCTATCTCAGCCTCCCGAGTAGCTGGGATTACAGGTGCCTGCCACCATGCCCGGCTAATTTCTTTTTGTATTTTTAGTAGAGAAGGGGTTTCACTATCTTGGCCAGGCTGGTCTTGAACTCCTGACCTTGTAATCTGCCCACCTCGGCCTCCCAAAGTGCTGAGATTACAGGCGTGAGCCACCGCGCCCAGCCTATTATTCCTTTTTAAAATGGTTTGGAAGGGGAAAAAAAATCTCTGGGATTGAAAACTGGTGTACCTTAGAAATCTGAGTGAGCTTGGTTTTCTGCAGGGAATCCTGCCCCTGGTAACCAGGGAGCAAATCCTTAGACGCCCCTTCTTTAGGCTCTGGGCATTGGCTACTACTCTTCTACCTTGATAGAAAGTTCTCAAGGTCCGTTATCTCACTGCTCTGTTGGACTAGGAAAACTGAACTTTTTTGTATCTCAGACAGCAAGGATTGTTAAGACAGGTGACAAGATGGCCCGGCACGGTGGCTCATGCCTGTAATCCCAGCACTTTGGGAGACCCAGGCGGCCAGATCACGAGGTCAGGAGTTCGAGAACAGCCTGCCCAACATGGTGAAACCCTGTCTCTACTAGAAATAGAAAACTTAGCCAGGCGTGGTGGCACGTGCCTGTAATCCCAGCTACTCAGGAGGCTGAGGCAGGAGAATCGCTTGAACCTGGTAGGCGGAGGTTGCAGTAAGCCGAGATCGCAGCGCTGCACTCCAGCCTGGGCAACAGAGCAAGACTCTGTCTCAAAAAAAAAAAAAAAAAAACAAAGACAGGTGACAAGAATAGGTTGCTCCTTCCTTCCTTCCTTCCTTCCTTCCTTCCTTCCTTCCTTCCTTCCTTCCTCTCTCTCTTTCTCTCTCTTTTTTTTCCCCATAGGGTCTCACTCTGTTGCCTAGGCTGGAGGGCAGTGGCACATTCTCTGCTCACTGCAACCTCCAGGTCCTGGGGTCCTGGGCTCAAGCAATCCTCCCATCTCAGCCTCCTGAGTAGCTGGGACCACAGGCCCACGCCACCACATCGGCTAATTTTTTTTTAATTTTTAATTTTTTTTATTTTTGGCAGAGATGGTACTTTGCCATGTTACCCAGACTGGTCTACAACTCCTGAGCTCAAGCGATTTGCCCACCTCGGCCTCCCAAAGTGCTGAGATTACAGGCGTGAGCCACCATGCCCCAGCAGGTTGCCTTTTTCTTTATTATTTTATTTTATTTTATTTATTTTATTTTGAGAGGGAGTTTTGCTCTTGTTACCCAGGCTGGAGTGCAGTGGCGCAATCTCGGCTCACCGCAACCTCCGCCTCCCAAGTTCAAGCGATTCTCCTGCCTCAGCCTCCCAAGTAGCTGGGATTACAGGCATGCGCCACCACACCCAGCTAATTTTGTATTTTTAGTAGAGACAGGGTTTCTCCATGTTGGTCAGGCTGGTCTCGAACTCCCGACCTCAGGTGATCCACCTGTCTCGGCCTCCCAAAGTGCTGGGATTACAGGCGTGAGCCACCGTGCCTGGCCAGGTTGCCTTTTTCTAGGAACAATTTGATTTAATCATTCAATAAATACAGCCGTGCCGGGTACAGGAATAAGTTTTGAAGAACCGAGGCTGAGCTTCTTGAAGGACTTTCCAATGGTGTTTGCTTCCAGGCGTTTGGCACTGTTAAATGAAAATCCTGCTGCTACACTTTAAAACTCGACCTATTTATTAAATACATGCGATACTCAATTCCAGATTCTTTGAGGCCGTGTGTCTGCAGGCTTTGTGGAATATCTGGAGGTTGTAGAAGGAGCAACTTTGCTTTTGGGACAGACTTAGTGTAGTTCTGTAACTTTTGTAATCTATAGGATGAAGAACGCAAAGTAGCTTCACACATACGAGACAATTCCTACAGTCAATGCCTTGAAATCAGCAACCAAACAACGGGTTGCAAAGTTCTCATTCATTCGGTTCATATAGAACACTGGGCTCGGATTCACTCACTTCTAATTAGATCAAATCAGACGCCAGCATTAGCAGGTTTCTGCCCAGGCCTACGTGTAAATTCCAACCACATTACCCCGAAGCCCTAGCGTGGTGGACTGCAATTAACAAGAGACAGTCGTCCGCGGTATGGTATGGCTACTGGCTTAGATTTTGGAAATCCCGCCCAAAACTTTGGCTGCAGCCACTAGTAGGGCGCAGGCACAGTAAGCACCCCCATAGCAACCAACTCTGGGTACCTCCGGACAAAATTAAATGTTGCCCTTTCAGCCTGTTCCTCAATTTCCCAAAGCATCTCTTTCCCAGGTGTGGGAGCAGTCAAGAGCGCTGCCCTGTGAAAAACCTATGACCTCATAAATGCTGGAAGGAACGAGCCAGATTTCTGCAGACGCTGTGCACCGAAGGGGCCCCTTCCACGCCCTGGGATACTTCAGGGGCGCCAGGCCCAGCTGGGATCTCCCCGGGCGTCGTGCGCACTGCACCTTCCCTGGCGGACCATCCGTTGGGCCGGCAGGCGCGCGTACCCAGGTGTCACCTCCCAGCGCCGTGCGCGGACAGGCAGGCGCGTGCCCCGGCGCGTCGCTCCGCACTCACCCACGCGCGGCCCTCCTGCACCTCGGCCAGCACTCGTAGCGCGCTGGGCGAGCCGGACCGGAAGTTGAAGAAGTGAAGCGCCGCGCGCGCCGCCTGCTGCAGGAGCCTGCGCGGGACCCCAGCATCCTGAGGCTGCCCAGGGTCGTCGGGGTCCCCGGACCCCGCGGGCGCCGCCACCGGGGCGAGCAACAGCAGCAGCGCGAGCAGCGGGGCGGTGGGGCGCGGGCCCCTGGGCCCGGACCAGGGAGCAGGCAGCCGTTGCCGGCGGGGCTGCATGGACGCAGGAAAGTTGGCTCGGCACCCGACAGACACGGGCTCGGAGCGGGCAGTGCCGGCGCTCGCGGAAATAAGGCCGTGGTGGGCCCCTCCCCTCCGCCCCCAGGGCGAAGGTCTGTAGCGAGCCCGGGTCCCCATGGGGCCACTCCTTTTCCACGTTTCCCGCAGCCCCTGGGTTCTCTCTGCCCCTCCCCGCTGCCCGGGCTTAGTGCTAGGATGCGGCATCGCCTCCGCAGCGCAGGGCCGGGTGCTTCTGGCCCAGGCCGCGGCGGGAGAGGGTCGGGGTTGGGGGGACAATGGGGACGCCTCCCCGAGGAATCGCGGCCCGCCCGTGCTACCTCGTACCGCGTCCCTAGCCCAGCTCAGGGACTTGGCGTTTCCCCTGCGGTTTCGCAACCCTGGGGTTTTAGAGGGAAACTGCTTGGATTCTCCAAGCATTAGGGCTGTGATTTCCCAGCAGGTGAAAGGGGACGGCGGAGAAAGGGGCAGGCCGCAGCGGGCATTGATGGGGCTCCTCGTGGCACAGCCACTGTGGAGGTGGGAGAAGTCGCCAGAGGGCTGGGGCTGGGGAGGAGGTGAAGGTGGATGCCGGCAGGGAGCCCGGGACGCCGGAGCCAGGGGCTGGGGACGGGCCTGAACACCTGCCGGTCCTGCCCAGAAGAGGCGCCGAGGAGGGAGGAGTGGGCAGCAAGGCAGGGTAAGATAAGGCCTGAGAGTCCCATTTGTCTCAGAAGCAAGTAGGTCATTGATACATTGATAACCACTGTGCGAGGCAGATTTAAAGGCCGGGGATGGAAGTCGGATTCCAGCGGGGTGAGGCATGGATGGGGCTTCAGGGAATGGAGGCAGCAAGTGTTGGCAACTCTTTTTTTTTTTTTTTTTTTTGAGACCATGTCTTGCTCTGTCTCCCAGGCTGGAGTGCAGTGGCACGATCTTGGCTCACTGCAACCTCCGCCTCCCAGGTTCAAGCAATTCTACCTCAGCCTCCCGAGTAGCTGGGACTACAGCCACCATGCCCGGCTAATTTTTGTATTTTTAGTAAAGACGGGGTTTCACCATGTTGGTCAGGCTGGTCTCAAACTCCTGACCTCGTGAGCCGCCCGCCTGGGCCTCCCAAAGTGCTGGGATTACAGGCGTGAGCCACGGTACCCGGCGGCAACTCTTTTTAGACAGGTGGCAGTGAAGGGCTAAGATAGCCATTGTTTTTAAACCGTAGGCAAGAGAAAAAGTCCTGGAGAACCAGGGCTGAGAGAGGAGAACTGGTACTGCTAGGCACTCCCAACATCCATTTCTCCATCCTGCATTTTGTTCAGGGGTCTACCCCTGCACCAAACGTGGACCCCAGTGCCATTGTGGGGCTAAAGGAAATCTCTTTTTGCCAGTGGGTGGTTGAGAGTGGGCATGTGCCAGTTCTGCATGGTGAGCAAAGCCTGTGGGTTGATGGGCGTGGTGCCATCTCTGGAAAGATCCTGTCTTACTGCACTTCTTCCTCTGGCTGTTGTCTGTCCCTTGTCTGTCTTTCCTTCCTTCTGCAGATAATTGTGAAACACCTGTGCCAGGCCCTGGGGGAATGAGGGTGAACAATCTTAAACATCTCTGCCTTCCTGGAGCACACCTTCTAGGCAAGTGGGGCCCGGACACTCAGTGAGGCCAAGGGAATGTGTGCTATATTGGATGAAGTTACATGCCAGGGAGAAAAATTAAGCCAGAAAAAGAAATGGGGAGTTGGGAGGTGGTTAATCTTAAAAGGTGTGGTCAGGGCAGGCCTCTCTCGGGAGGTAATATTTGGGTGAGGACCTGAAGGAGGCAGAGCCAAGTGGACATGTATGCAAAAGCACTGTAGGCAGAGGGAACGCAAGTGCAGAGGCTAGGGCAGGAGCCTATCTGGCATGTTTGAAGAAAAGCAAGAAAATCCAGCTGGAGGGAGAAGCCAAGGGGGAGAGTGCAGGCCCTCGATAGGCCCCAGTTAGGTCTGGCTGTGCTGCCCAGAAGCATGCCTCTGTCTTGCTGGCTGCCTGAGAATGAAGCCCATTTCAAGAGTGGCAGAGCAGAGAGAGGGGAGGGCCCTGGGTTCCTGATGGCATTGTTGAACACAGGAATCAGCGGATCCTGGAGTTTATTTCTTATTATTTCACTTCCCTGAAGCTGGAGTTGCTGTTTCTTGCCCTCAGAGGCAAGCCTAGCACAGGTAATCACCTCCCAGAACCCAGTCATCTCCCCATAGTTTGTTTTGTGCTGCAATAATAGAATACCTGAGACTGGGTAATTTATAAAGAACAGATATCTGTTTCTCACAGTTCTGGAGGTTGGAAGTCCAAGATCCAGGCACCAACAGGCTTGGTGTCTGGTGGGGTCTTAGCTCTGTCTCTGCTTCCAAAATGGGGCTTTGCGTGCTTCATCCTATGAAGGGGAGGAACGCTGTGTCCTCACATGCTGGAAGAGTGAGAGAGTACCCACTCTTATGACCTAAACACCTCACTCTAGGCCCCACCTCCCAACATTCTTGCACTGGGAATTGAGTTTCAACATGAATTTTGGAGGGGACAAAAACACCCAAACTATAGCACCCTCCAAGAGGTTATAGTAGCAGGCTTTTTGAGAATTGATCACTTCCAGGTGATTTTACTTCAGTGCTTTGTTCCCTGTGAGTATGTTAGATTGCTTTCAACTGTATGTAATGGAAAACCCGATTAACAGTGTGGACCATTTATTGGTTTGGAGTGGGAGATCTCAGTGAGTTTCTGAAAGACCCAGGCTCTCTCCATCCTTCTGCACAGCCATCCTCAGCTGGTTGGCTTTTTGTCCATGCACTTGTAGTTTCCTGGTTATAGAATGGCTGCCACAGCTCCAGACAGCACATCTTCACATGCTGCAGCCAAAGGCAGGTAGCAGGGAATAGGTTGCCAGAGTGGAAAGAGAGCTGGACATTGTGCACCTGTTTGTTTTTTGCATCAGGAAGAAATATCTTTTCCAGAACCTCCTGCCTACACCTTTCTTCCCCCCAAGACCTTCCTTTATACCTCCTCAGCCAGATCTGGGTTACACTGGCAAAGCCTAGCTGCAAGGGAGGCTGGCAAACTGAGTGTCTGTCGTTTTTCAGAGTCAATGGTCTGGTCTGTAAACTAGGATTAAATTTAACTGCATGGAATAAACACCCGAATGACATTGGCTTAAACAGGAGAGGAACTTATTTCTCAAAAGAAGTTGTGGGGTAATGGTGGGATGGTAGACAATCTGCGGTTGGTATTGGCAGATCCATGAGGTTGTTAGAGGTCCAGGCCTTTTCCAGATCTCTGCTCCCACATCCTGAGGATGTACCCCTTGCCCTCAGGGTCCACGATGGACACTAGCCATCAGCAGGACTCCCTTTATGGATTTCCTAGAAGTCTCACAGGGCACTTGTGCCCTGTATCTTATTGGCAAGAACTTGGTTGCAAAGGAAGCTGGGAAATGTAGTTTTTATTCACGGTGGCCATATGCCAAAATAAAACTCAGGATTTTGTTACTGAGGAAGAAGATTGTGTCTTACGTTGGGTTTCCTAGAAGCAGGCCCAGAAACAAAGATTGTTCCTAAAAGAAATGCTCCGAGCAGAATTCAGTAAGGAGCTAGAAGAAGGATAGCCATGCAAGGATCTCAGACAGTTATATGACAGGTAGGTTCAGCCTGACCTGAAGGGGAGCTCTCAACTGTAAACAATGCCTCTGAGATGTCCCTGCCCCAGGCAGGGTATCTGGGCTTCCATTCTTCTATGCCTGTCAGCCACTGGCTAAGAGCCACCCTCGTTGATAACCCAGGTACTTCAGTCTTTCTATAGGTGGGCACAAAAGGGCAGTAGCACAAGAACAGCCCTCCCAGAAGAGCTGCAGGAGCCTTAGGTCAGAAGCAAAAGCATGCCAAGTGGAAGGGGCAGACTCAGAGAAAGGGATCTGGGAATCTGCAGAGCCCCAGTGGGGTCCCTGCAGGGATAATGCCTAGTGGGAAGGAAGTAGCCACCTCTGTCACTGAGGCGAGGAGGGGAAGGGTGGGAATGGCTGATAGTGGCCAACAGGCAGCCTGTGCAGCGTGTGTGCAGTTCCTGCCTATGAGATGAGATGGTGAGAATCATGGAAAGTCATAAGCAAGAGGGAAGACAGAAAAGACCAGGAGACCAAGTGCTGCTGTGTGAGCTCAGGGCACTCTTCCGAGGTTAGCTATTTTAAATAGTGATAACAGTTACAATGGGGGCAAATTGATGCTGATCAGCAATGCATGTAGACATTTAATTATAGTATTTATTTTATAAACAGGGATTTTCTGGAACACAGAGTATTTCCTTTGCAAGAACTGTCCATATTCTTTGTCCACTTACCTGTGGGGTGGTTGGATTTCTGGTTGATTTGTAGAAGCTCTTTCAATACGAGGGAAATCAGGCCTTGGTCTGTCATGGGTATCCCTGTGTTTTTTCTCAGTTCATAGACAGATTTTGTGTGTACACAGATTCTTCTTCCTTGCCACATACTGTGTGGGGGAGTGACATTGCTAACTGTCCACCACGTTCTCCAAAAGACCTGTCATCATATCCCACCCCTGGCCCAGGGCTGCTGGAAGACTGTGCCACATAGGAGGTGAGGAAAGTATCAGCCAGCAGGTTCTGCCCCAGCCTCTGCACAGAAGCAGATGTGTCCCCACAAGGGTGTCCTGATATGTCATGTTCCCTAGTTCCTTAGTCATTGCTCAGGTTATCATGAGCATTTTAGAGAACTTACTTTGTGTTTAAGAAACCTAATGGTATATAAAGCTATAATGACTTTTAATCATATGAAAAGATAGTACAGACGGTGAGAGGGGAAACTGACATGACCTGTTTGGTGGACAATTTGCAATATCTATTGAAATTAGAAATGCACATGGCTCTGACCCAGCAATTCCACCTTGAGAGTTTATAATAACAATACATTCACACATGTACATAAAGAAGTATGTGCAAGGATGTTCATTTCCACATATGGATTGTAAACTCCTCCACGGCAGTGACACTGAATGTCTCATTTTCTACTCTCTATTCCCTAGAACAGTGACTGGCACACAATAGACACGAATACAGATTTTTTTTTTTAAACAATGAAGAGTTAAGGGCTGGGAAAACACCTGTGTTTCATGGTTGACTAATTATAGTACCTCCATAGAATGGAATATTGTACAGTCATGAAGAAGAGGTAGATTGAGGTGTGTGTGATACTGAACCATCTCTAAGGTATAATGTTGTTAACAGCAAGGTGTAGAGTAGGGCAAGTAGTATGCTGCTATTTGTTTAAAAAGAAAAAAATAACATACATAAATGTGGAAATATGCAAAAACTGTCTCTGCAAAGGTTTATAAGAATTGCCAATATAGGATGAGAGAGAAACTCTTCACCATTGGCTCTCTTTTGTGGTGGTTGCTTTTTTCATGTGTGTATAATGTATATTGTCTATTCTAAATAAGTAAATAAATGAGGTGCTGTTTCCGAATGCGCTTCAATCAGTTTCTCCTCCGGTAGGGAAGACCGCCACAGGAGCTTTACAGTGCTGTCGTTCTGCGTAGCCAGAGCCTGCCTGCCTTGCTTGCTTGTTGTGTAGTTCCAGCTTGTCTCCCTTTCTCTGAGTCTTGCCTCGCCACACTCTTTCTTGCCTCGGACCTAGTCATGTTTCCTCACACTGAAACTTCCAGGGAAGGAGCTGCTGAGCAGATTCGTACTGTAGTGTCAGTGGCTGCCACGGCTCACTGCATTGCTCATCTTGGAAGTACTGTTATTTAAATAGGGACCAGGTCTTGAGCCAAGAGACCTAAGTTCTGACTGAGCAGATTGCAGCATTGGCTTCTGTGCCCTATGCTAGGTAGACGTATCCAGCAGCCCCTGAACAGCTGTACTTGCCCCCCTCCTATCCTCTTGACTACATAAAGAGGCCAGAGAGCAGAGAGAGAGGGCTCTGAGAGGCATTGGCTGTTTATTTTCCTTGTCTTAACCAACTTGTTCTGCCATAACAAAATACCACAAACTGGGTGGCTTAAACAACAGAAATGTGTTTTCGATGGATTGGAAGCTGGGAAGTCCAAGATCAAGATGCTGGCTGATTCAGTTCCTGCCGAGGCCCCTCTTCCTGACGTGGCCTGAAACTGCATGCTCACACAGCAGAGAGGGAAGCGGCAAGCCTCTGTGTCTCTTCTTATAAGGACACTAATCCCATCATGGGATTAGTAATTATGGTTAGACTTCATCTAACTGTAATCGCCTCCCAAAGGCCCCACCTCCAAATACCATCACATTGGAGGTTAGGGCTTCAACACATGAACTGGGGGGACACAATTCAGTCTATAGCAAACCCGTCCCAGAGGGCCTGGGATGTGTCTTCGCAGCAGATGAGAGGACTGGGCATGAGGAGACCAGGTGGTTGGCTGCGGAGAAAGAAGGTCATAGTGACACTGCCATCCTGGTTACCTTTGGCCACCCCAGCTTGTGGAATGTAAGAAGGCCCAGGAGCCAGTTCCCAAGCATCTCAGGCCCCAGGTTCTCTTAGCCAAGCCCTGAGAATACATCAAGAACAGGTGAGGGCATGTGGACGCAGGTGTGCGGGGGGCCTCCCAGCAGCTGTCCCCTCTTCCTGCTAATGCTGCTCTGATTTTCACCTTTGCTCACCTCTCTCCAGTGCTGCTGAACACACCTCATTCTGGCAATCTGACTGGAGAGAGACAGTGTCACTGTGGTGGGTTCAGGGATAGGCTCAGGACCCTATTTGGGCAAGTAAGTCAGGAGAAGCGGTTGGTGGAGTCTTGGAGGGAAGTTGTCTTGCTCTTCTGAGAGTGTGTGCTCTCCCTTCCTCTACCGTGCATGTGAGAGGAAGTGTGTGCCCCAGAAGCTGGTGGTGCCATCTTGCCTCCCTCAGGAAAGAGGCTCAGGATGGTGTCGACTCAGTGGAAGGCAGAGATGAAGCCTGGAAAGAAACCAGGCCCTTGGGGGTGTTACTAACCCACTGGACCGTGACCCATCTGAAGCCTGCCCTGTCTCTAGACTCAGAACCAGTAAGTCTATTTCATGGTTAAAGCCAGCCTGAGTGTGGTTTTGTAACGTTGGTTGAAAATTCCTAATGGATTTTCATCCAACAGGCAGTTAGTATTGGCAGGAAACACAGAGATCTAAGGCTGCCTCGTACTGGGGGTGGGAGGTGGGAGGCAGTGGGGAGATAGTGCCGGGTGTGGTGGAAGCCAAACAATCTGGGAACACCACAGCTGCTACCTGCACTGGGACTACCATATCTTCAGAGTCCACCAATTTTGGGATGACCCAGCTGGAGAAGGGACATTTCCTTTCACCAGCAACTCCCAGCCATGGCAGTAGTGCCTTGTCAGCCACAGGGGCCAGGCCAAGCCATGACCCCAGGTCAGAAGTGACTGCTTCCACGCTGGACAATTGTCTGTTCCCATTTGAGCATCGTCTCTGAGCTCCACAAGCCCTGCTGCCCTCTCTAAGGCTGTGAGGGAGAGCAGGGTTGTGGGGAGAGAGGAAAAAAGACCCTGGGGAAGGAGAAGGAATCCCTAAGATAGACGCTTTAACCTACATCATGGCTGAGAGTCACATCAGAGAAGACAGCAGAAACACTGGGGTGGATGGAGTATTTTGCAAAGGTACCCTTCGTTGAGACTATTTTCTCCTCTGTCCTTGCCCCTGCACTCACCAGTGTAAGCACCCAAATAGGGACTTGGAAAGCAAAGTTGATATCAGTTATTAGAAAAGATAAAAACATCTCCTATTTGTGCATGAGTGTGACTGCCCAAGGTGATATCAGAAGCTTCTTCTTTCTAGATGTGCATTTAGAAAGATGTGCACACAGACTGTCTCTGGAAGGACAAATCAGAAATGACTAACAATGGTTAGGGGAACAGAGAGAATGCTTGGGGTCAGAGGGGCTTTCTCTAACTGTTAAGTCTTTGGGTTCTTTTCTGTTATCGTTTGTAGGTTGCACAGTGGCTCAGAGAGTAGACTTGGAGCCAGGCTGCCCGGTTTTATAGCCCTGCTTGACCTGTGTGATCCGAGGTGAGTTATTTCACCTCTCTATGCTTTTGTGGTACCTCTTACCTCATTGAGTTGTTAGTAAGGTGCAAACAACTCACTATCTGTGTATATGTGAAGCATTTAGGACAATGCCTGGCACAAAGTAATGGCTATGTAAGTGACTGCTATTATTATTGTTATTGCCATTAACTTAAAAATTAGATACAATCTTGAAAAAAAGGAAGTCACCTGTGGATTTCTTTTCACAAAAGATGAGAAGGGATAGCAGGGACTGAAACCTGCTGGACCACTAAATAAAATTTCAGCTGTTACTTGTAGCCCCTGTAACCTAATCTTTCATTAGAACTATTTGTAGTTAAGAAAATATGAATCTGTAATCATTTTTGGTCTTCCCCCTTGGCAGAGGTGAGGGTGGGTGAGGTTGGCAAGAAGAATATGGATAATCCAGCCTTGACTATTGAAATCTGATTAACCAAATCTAGGGTGTGACCGAGATGATTGTTATCTCAGAGCTTTGGAACCAGAATGCTGGTGGAGAAAAGGCAGCTGTCCTGGTTCCTTGGGGCTGTATCTTGCATGCTCTGGGGGGAACTCAGCTTTTGTTTAGGTAAAGCCCTGTAAACCTACACATGTACCATGCCATGTTCCTGGGCCCATAATGCCTGTCCTGAAGCCCTTGTAGGAAGGCGCTTAGCTGTCCATAGAAAGAACAGAGCCCCTAATCAATGGAGTGAGCTGTGTTCCCAGAGCATTTGGCTTACTGTTCTCTCCTGTGAAGGTGCTTGGGACTCATTGGGGGAATTCACAGTGTCCTAAATATTGTGCCTATAAGCTACCCGAGGTTTATGTGGCTGTGTTGAGTCCCTAGCGATGGTATTTTGCTTTAGGAGCAAGAGCCAGGGCTTGGAGCCTTCAGCATTATGCCCACAGCCCACCAGACTCTCAGCAGGAAGGCAAAGGTCGCAGTGCAGATGACCCTTGAATCTGGATTTGGGCTGCAATGGAACAGTTAACTAGAGTTTTCTGAATCTATGAGGTTAAAGAAGAAGCCTTTCCAGCTTGAATCTAGTGAGACTGAATTCTTTGGGGATGCGGAACTGGAGATGAGGTTCTTTCTAAAAGAGATGCCACAGAAAACGGGGTGATTGCATTTATTCCTGTCACCAAGGAAAGATTTTACATGGCATAGTTTAGGTAGAAAGATTTCACATGACATAGTTTAGGTAGACACTGACATGGATGTGTTTGGAAGTGTCAACACCCAACGGGATAAGGTAATCAGCCCTGTCTAAGAGAGCTTTCTGATGACAATGATCCATATCTGCACCAGCTACATGTGGCTACCAAGTGCTTAAATTATGGCCAGTGCAGTCTAAGAACAGAATTTTTAATTGTATTTAATTTAAATAGATTTAAATATACATAGCCACATATATTTACATGGTGTCTGATGATAACTGTATCATACAGCACAGTTATAGACAATTGACTTTTCTCTATAGTACTTCGTTTGGGAAGAGAAAGAGCAAGTAACATTTTGTGGAGCTGTGTTTCAGACATGATGCTATATGCTTTCTCTTACAGAATAATCTTGTTTAATCTCCACAAGTTTGAGGACTAAACTGGGTGCCACAGAGAATTAAGTAACTGGTCGAGGTTGTATCAGTAAGAAGGGAGCACGGAACAGATTCAAGCTCAGGTATGGCCCACCCAAGTGCTGCTTGTACATTCCACAATTGGGTAGACTCTGATTTACTTAAGGGTTTCGATTACAGTGGCAAAGTGAATTAAGGGCCAGGAAATGTGGCTTTGTGGTTAGGTAAGTTGAGATTATTTCACTTGAAGAGAAGAATACAGAAGAAGTCACTCAATCTTTAGAACTATATTCAAAGATCATTTCCTTTTTTTTCTTTTTTTTTTCTTGAGATGGAGTCTCACACTGTCACCCGGGCTGGAATGCAGTGGTGTGATCTTGGCTCACCTCCCAGGTTCAAGCGATTCTGCTGCCTCTGCCTCCCGAGCAGCTGGGATTCCAGGTACCCACCACCACACCCAGCTAATTTTTTGTATTTTCAGTAGAGATGGGGTTTCACTATGTTGGCCAGGCTGGTCTTGAACTCCTGACCTCAGGTAATCCGCCTGCCTCGGCCTCCCAAAGTGCTGGGATTACAGGCGTGAGCCATCATGCCTGGCCTCAAAGATCATTTCTTAGAGAAGAACAGCTAGCTGTCTCTGTCACCATTAATGAAAGCTTCATTTTTTTCTGGTTTACCTGGGGGCTATGGAAGAAGTGATAAAGCCTTGTTTCTGACATGGGCATTTCTCCACATCTCAGGGAGCCTGGTTGGACTTCAGGCCCCTGTGAGGCTGACTCTGTAGTCCTGGAGAAACTCAACAGCCAGGAACTTAGGACCATTTGTGTGTGGCATTTGGGCTAACCAGACTGGTGGCTTCTAAAGAAGATGGAAAGCATCACGTTTCCTGTATTTAAATTATTTGGTGATCTCAATACTGGTTGTTAGCCAAAGTACACAATGGAGACAGCCTATTTGCTCTACTACTTTTGATGTAGAAATATTACTAAGCTTGAGCTGATTAATAGAACTGTTACACATTTCTGTGCTCCCCTTACTGGTGGCATGAAATAATTCTTTTAAAACCTGCCATGTGTTCACATTTAAAACTAAAAGTAATTTAGATTACATGGATTTGAGAAGCCCATGTTGACACGTAATTGCCAACAGATGGGCTTTCAAATGTAATGAAGTGAAAATGGTCAGTACCCCATGTGTTGGATTTTGCAATTTTCCAAAGTAAGCTGTCATTTTTGGCATGTCATGCTAGTTAAGAACACAATGTATTTATAGCTCAATTATACATTTTCTGATGAATTTGGCATGGCATTTTGTTTTTCCATCAGTCACTTAAGACAGGACATTTGCCATTCCAAGAATGAATTAACACTCTTCTAAGTGATCTATAAACTGAGATGTAAAATAAATTACAAATTGGGACTGTTTTAGTTTTTCAAGCAAAGGGTGTTTAAATAAAGCTTGAAATCATAAACCTTATTTCCTGTTTGAGAAGATGGTGTATTCATTACAGAGTGAAATAAAGGATTTTAATGTTTTTTTTTTTTTCCGGCAATAATAGTTAGAATCTTACGTTCTTCAAAGAAAATTTCAAAGAAAATTCATAACACTTGTTAATATTTGTATGCCATGAACTTTCTGGAGTGATTGATCTATGCAATTCTGTTTATGACACTGGTGTTCATCAGTGAAATTTGCATAGAGTATGTTATCAAGGCAAACCAAAACCAACTCTTCATACCTCAGGGGAAGGCGTTTTCCCACATGTGGCAGCCTAGATAACAGGACAGTGTGTTAGAAAGCCCTCATTCTATTTTCCCCTCTTCACCATTATTTCTACAGGGTGCACACCAGGGCATATATATAATAGTGAGAGCAAACAGAAGTACTGATAAATCACCTGGCTAATAAATAGACAACACAATCACCTAGATGACTTAGAATACGTGAATACATACAGACAGAGGTTGGTTGATTCCTTGGAGTGTTCTTATGACAGTGCTGATTTGTGTGTGTGGTTAGTTGTTAAAATTTGGTGCTCCTGCAGGGAGGATGATTGGTGCAGGCTTCTGTTCAGCCACCCTGCCCCTAGTTCCATGGAATGTAATGTGCGGTGGGTGGATCTTCAAGTCCAGAAGCAGAAAAGCTGGATTTGTGGGCGTTCAGAAGAGTCAGCAAGTTGTGAGAGCAGCAAGGGGCAGACTGGTCTGGGCAGAAGGTGTGGGCCGAGTGAATGAATTGTAGGGAAGACCAAACAGAACAGCAGTGAACCTGGCTGGAATCATGCCAGTGGCTACTTAGCAGTAAAGGAAAAAGGTGGAAAACCTTGAAGCCCAGCAATGGGCATTTGCTCTTAGAGGGTTCTCTAAAGTCCCTGCACACCTAGCCTTGAAAAGAGCCTACTGTGCACAGGGTGAGTTGGGTTGGATTATTTTTTTGAAACAAATGCCACTGTAAACATGTTTTTCTCTTCACTGGTAAATATCAGAATTATGATGAGGCTTTAGGATAAGGAGATATTATTGTTGGCTAAAATGAAATTCTATCTTGATTCTTAAAGAACTAAGAAGGATGGTACAGGGCAAAGAGCTCTGGTCTGAGAGTCAGAAGGCATGGGGTCTAGTCCCAGCTCAACAACTCAAACTGGCTCAGTCTCTTCTGTGTAAAGTGCTGGGTGTGGGATGAATTACATGGCAAACAGAGGGAACTGCCGGTTTGAAACACTGTAGTTTTATTCTCTTTTACCTGTGCCTACCCGGTGCAGAGAACCTTGCTAAGTTGTCCTTTCTTTGGACACATCTCACTAACGTCTTCCCACCTTCTGAAAGAAGACTTGTGCCTTCTTACTATCATGCAGATATCATGCCTGGCCTTATTACCAGATATTTTAAGTTAAAAAAAAATCCAAACCACCAAAGATCAGAGTTTAATTGATATGCTTATTGCTCTGAGCTAAATGAAACAAATGAATGTCTGGAATTTGGTAAATGAGATGACTCCTATTTTGAATTGTAAGTAAACTGATGTGGCAGTCAGGGTAGTCTAGGATATGCTGCAATAACAAACAATGCCTACATCTCAGGACCTAAGATAAAAAAGGTTTATTTGTTGCTCTCATCACAAGTCCGTTATGGTTTGGCTGGGGGTTTTACCATAGCATTGTCAGTGTTCTTATTCCACAGGGCAGGCTGGTGGAGCAGCTGCTTCTGGAACATTTCTTGTTGCTACAACTGAGGAAAAAGAGAACAGGGTGAATTATGCTTAGGTTCTTAGAGTTTCTGTTCAGGAGTGATACATATTACTTCTGCTCACCTTTTATTGACAAAAGCATGTCGTAGGCGATGCTTAACTTCTTCAGGGGGTGGGAAAGTACAATATCATCATGTTCTCCAGGAGGTGGAGAGCTGGAAGTATGTGGAACAGCACAAATGCTTACCACAACAGTGACTGCTGGGCGAGACCTAACCTCATCATGAGCAGAGTCTTTCATATATTGTATTAGTTTGCTGAGCTGCCATAACTGAATACCACAGACTGGGCAGATCAGACAGCATTTATTTTCTCCCAATTCTGGAGGCTAGAAGTCCAGTGTCATGGTGTAGGCAGGGCTGGTTTCTTCTGAGACCTCTTCCCTTGGCTTCCCCTTCTCTGTGTGTCTTCACATGATCTTCCCTCTGTGTGTGCCTGTGTCCTTGTCTCCTTATAAGGACACCAGTCATGTTGGACTACAGCCCATTCCAATGACCTTACTTTAACGAATTACCTCATTAAAGAGTCTGTTTCCAAATGCTGTAATATTCTGAGGTGCTGGGGGTTAGGGCTTCAATATATGTATGAATTTTGGGGGGACACAATTGAGCCCATAACAGATATCATGTTAACATTAGAACTGGGGCTGTAACAATGGTAATTGTTAATAGCAATTAGTAATTAGCAAAAATTTTGATACATATTATCCCTGTCCCTATACTTGGTATGAAAAAGCTCAATAATTTTTTTTTTGTTTTCTTTTATAGGGTCTTGCTCTGTCACCCAGACTGGAGTGCAGTGGTGCAATCTTGGCTCACTGCACCCTTCACCTCCTGGGCTCAGGTGATCCTCCCCATCAGCCTTCTGAGTAGCTGGGACTACAGGCATGTGCCACCATGCCTGGCTAATTTTTGTGTTTTTAGTAGAGATGGGGTTTCGCCATGTTGCCCAGGCTGATCTTGAACTCCTGGCACAAGCAATCCATCTGCCTTAGCCTCCCAAAGTGCTGGGATTCCACACGTGAGCCCGCACGCCAGGCCACAAGATCTATTTGTGCAAATAGATTATTTCTTGCTATAACATTCATGACAGCTCTAAGATGCTGTGATTAGAGTTTAAAAATTGTAGATTTAATTGCAGACCTATAGAAAGTTTTCATAATACACCTCATACCTTAAACTCTCTTTAAACACATTAGATACTACAGAATCCAGAAGACTGACTTGACTTTTTACTGGTTTTAATATTTCTCCTGTGATATGTGTTAGAAAACCATAGACTTGTTATTTTTACTGAGTATTTCCCTGCTATTAGACATGATTGGCTGGGCACGGTGGTTTGTGCCTATAATCACAGCACTTTGGGAGGCTGATGCAGGCGAATCACCTGAGGTCAGGAGTTTGAGACCAGCCTGGCCAACATGGTGAAACCCCGCCTCTACTAAAAATACAAAAGTTAGCCAGGCATGGTGGCACATGCCTGTAATCCCAGCTACTTGGGAGGTTGAGGCAGGAGAATCACTTGAACCCGGGAGGCGGAGGTTGCAGTGAGCCGAGATCATGCCAGTGCACTCTAACCTGGGTGACAGAGTGAGACTCCATTTCAAAGTAAAAAAAAAAAAAAAGATACGATCTAGGCTGGTGGTTCTGAGACTTGAGCATGAATCATCATCCCCAGGAGGGTTTGTTGAAACAGACGACTGAGCCTCTCCCCCAGAGATTCTCACTCCGTAGGTCTGGGATGGACCCAAGATTCTGCATTTCTGACATGTACCCAGGTGGTGCTGTTGCTGCCAGTCAGACCAGACTGCAAGAAGCACTGGTTTAGGAAATTGCAGGTGAGGTGATGGAAAAACCATCTTTCTGTATTTCCTCATCTCTGGGGCTTGAGGTCCTGGAAGGCAGCCAGGCTAATGTGGGTACATCACTGATACCTTCCAGTCACAGGGAGACAGGGAGTCAGAATTATTAGAATAGTGAATGAGGCACTGTGTAACCAGGACCAGCTCTTTTGTATTTCTTAATCCTTACACAAACCATGTAGTATTACCCACTCTGTGTAAGGCCTACTTCCTCTTGAACCATTCTTCAGTCATTTTGTTTCTGTTTTTAGAACAGAGGGGCTGGTACAACATGCTTTTTAACAGTTAGGCCAATTGCACCAAAGTCTTGAGAAAAAAACACTTAAACCCAGTCATTTTCTGTTTCCAACTGTGCTGCTTTTCATACACACAACTTTCTGGAGCCCAGTGCTAACTGTGACCACTTTTGCTTTGGGAGTCCTAGAGCTCCTTGTCAAGGCTCAGCCCCGTGGCCTGCACTCACCTCTCCTCCTGATGGCCTTAGCCTCCTGATTGAGACTGCACACTCAGACCATGCTGTTAGGACTGAGGGATTTTTAGTCCCCCAAGTACCAATGAGAGCTGGAGAAGTGACAAGTGGATGTGTCCAGAGAAGGAGGCCGAGGCAGACCGTGCTCTCTGTTTCCACAGTATCCCTTCTCCATTTCTCCCTTACTGTGATGGTCTGAGTTTTGTGTTCCCCACAAATTAACATATTTCAGTCCTAACACTCAAAGTGATGGATTAGGAGGTAGGGCCTTTGAGGGGTGATTAGTGGCTGTATGAAAGAGGCCCGAGAGTGGCACCTCATCTTTTCCATCACGCGAGGACACAGCAAAAAGGCCCTGTGAACCATGAAGTGGGTCCTCACCAGAACCTGAATCTGCTGGCACTTTGATCTTGGATTTCCAGCCACCAGAACCGTGAGTGATAAATTTCTGTTGTATAAGCCACCCAAGTCTATGGTATTCTGTTACAGCAGCCCAGATGGACTAAGACACTTACTGACCAGACCCAAGGGTCGTGTAGGGTGGTGATGTGCTCACTAAATACTGTGCCAGTGCCATTGTAGCTAGGGGCAGCTGTGTGACCTGCTTCTGGCTCATGCATGCAAGAGTTCTGTGTGGAGTTTCTGAGAAAACCTTTAAAAGGAGGTCTGGCTCAGCTGGGGTGCTCTTATTGTCCTCTGCCCTTCACCCTTCCCCTTATTCCTTCCTGGAATGCAGATGCTAGGCTTGGAGGTGCAGCAGCCAGGGTGCTACAATGCAGGCTCCATACTGAGCAAGTTGGAGCAGGAGGAGAGCAGGAGCCTGCCTCTCCAGTGGCAACCCCAGCAGCTGCTGAACTCCAGACTTCCTCTCATGTGAGAAAAACCCCCTACTAGACTCTGCCTGTTTGTTAGATTTTTCTGTTACTTGCAAGGGCTCTGCCTCCATCAGCACGGAGTCTGAGAAAGAAGAGAAGTGACTGGGAAGTGACATGTGAGTGTCCCACCACTGATGACAGTGATGAGAATCAGCAGACTAGCAGCCACGCGAACAAACATTTCCTGAGCACTGACTCCAGATCAGGCACGATGCCAAGCCCTCGACGTGGCATTTTACAGATGAGGAATCTAAGGTTCAGAGGGTTTTAGTAACATGCCCAAGTCGCACAGCCAGGAAGGGTAGAGCTGGGATTCACACCCAGGCCTGTCCAACCTCCCTGGCCCTCATCAGGACTCTTGACCTCTCTAGCTCTGGTCCCCAGGCCTCTGTCTTTGGTGTCTAGAGTCAGGCCTTAGGCACCTGTCCACTTTCAAGGCCCTGGCTCTCATGGCTTGTATCCCCACCAACCTCCCCGATCCCTTCCCTGCAAACACAGCTGCTTCTCCATGGCTGGGCTGGGGTTGGAGCCCCCTCTTCTCCTGCTGTGCCCACCCTCTCCTGTCTGGTGACTCCTGCAGGATGGGGCTCCTCTGCCTTCTATTCCCTGTGTTCTCCTCCTTTGCCTTCCTTATCAGAATGAGAACAGGCATGACGCCTCTTCTTAGAGTTTTGATTTTTCAGAGTTGCAAATACGTCTGCTCTTCACATTGTATCTTTATCATTTTGATTGATGTCAGTTTCTAGAACACCTCAGCACTGGAAACAAGTACCAGAGGAAAACAACATACATTACAAAGAAAAATATGTATAGTATTGATAAATGATAGAATCTCAGAGTTGAAAGGAATCTTGGGGCACCATTCAGCCTCACCCTTTCCCCTGAAGCTGAAAACTCAAAAGGTGAGCTGGGTGGGTAGCGGGGTCAGAGTGCTTGCATGGGAACTGAGGCCTGAGCATTTTGTACAGAAAGAATAAATCCCACATCTCCCATACCACGTGTTCAAGCACTTTCAAATGTATCAAGACACTGTTGTGATAGATAGAATATGGATTCCTTTAAAAGCATCCCTGAACGTAGAGGTTTTGATCATGATGCATTTTCTGGTGTACATGTGTGTTTAAGGCGTCTTCATACTCAGAGTTACGAGCTCCTTCTCAGGCAGACCTGGTGCGTGCTGCTCACTCATCCATGAAAGCTCCTTGGGAGCCTCAGAACCGGCCTTATCTTGCATCCAGCTCTGCCTCTGGGTCACTTCTACAGTTGCCCTGGTCCTGTGTAGTGTGACTGAGAATAAGCCCCTCCAACCTTTGGAAATCAGAGTCTGTGTCCTGGTCCAAATGTGTCCTGGCACCTCTTTCTCATTCTCATCTTGACCTATGGTGATCAGCTTCTCCTGGTCTGCCAGAGAGTATCCTGGATTTAAAACTAAAAGTTCTGGGTCTGGAAACTCCCTCAGTCCCAGGAAAACTGGAATGGTTGGTCACCACTGTCTACTCTCTTTCAGGCTGAACAATGCTATTTCCTAAAATGTTTATAGTAGACAAGGTGTCTACATCCCACCATCCTGGTACCCCTCTGGGCTCATGCTCCAGTTCGACAGCGTCACTCTGAACATGCTGCATCTTAAGCTGAAGGAGATCCTCCGTATTGAGGTTGTGGGTCTGTCGATCAATGTATTCAACTTTTAACTAACTGCTCCACAACACTGGCTTATAATGCATGTGTGACCAGTTAAAACCACAGGGCGTCTCCATTAACTTCTGTCAGGTCAGGTTTCCCACCTCCACCCTGTACTTGGCAGTTGCTCTTTTGACCTAATGGCAGTTTATTTTAAATTTAGTTTAATTTATTGGCTTGGGCCTAGTCAATGTCCCTTTTCAGGTGATGTGAAATGTGAGCCCCTGGCCCATCTTGGTCGTCTTGCCCAGGTTTGTGGCTTCTGCTCATTTGGTAAACCCACCTTCTGTGCCCCCATCCAAAGTGTCAGTACAAATGTTTGGCACAGATCCCTGGGGCACATCACCTGAGACATCCATTGAGATTCACATCAAGCTGTCAGTTGATAATCTCTATTTTCTTGTTCAGCTACCAGGGAGAATAGATCTAATTGTATTTTGGCCCTTAGGGGTAACCCCAGAGGCTTTGGGCACATGCTGATAAAAAATCAAAATCCCTTAGGAGCTGAAGCATATTCCAGAAAGGCTAGGATGCCACCAGGTCAACACCACTCTGAATAAGCACAGGTAATTGAGGCATTGACCCTATAATTATGTGGGTGGTTTACTCCCAGCAAAGGCCTAATCCTCAGTTGGCTCCTCTTTGCCACTCACAGGTCTCCGAGTCACTTCCTTTCACCAGCCATTTTTAGTAAACTCCAGGGGAGTTCGGATCAATTTGCTTAATATTTCAAGATTTTATTCCATCACATAAAGAAATAGATTAGTGGGATGTACCTTCAAGTATAATCTCTTAGAATTTGTGTATTAACTTTTTTGTCCCTGCACCTGTGACCTTTTTAAAAAATTGAGTTAATACCTACAGAGAAATGCCCAGATCTTAAATATGCACTTCCAAGAGTTTAAGCAATTGTATAATCCACGCCATCAGCACCCTAGTCAAGATACAGGTCCCACCCATCACCCCAGAAATGCTTCAGTGCCTCCTTCCAGTCGGTTTCCCCCTCACTCTTCATGTGGCCTAAGACTGTACCACTCTAACAGGTCTTAGACCCATGCAAATATAACTAAAGGTGATTAGAAAGAAATATCCCATAAAAATAAAATAAGAACAATATACATGTTTTGAAAATAACTGCAGTTTAGCATTTTCCATCTCTGTCTATGGCACAGGTAACCAAGTGTTTACTACATTGTTTTCTCACATTTTCTATTGCATAATTTTCTTTGAATAGTTCAGTGTCATACCAATTAAAATGTTTACTCTGTGTTGCAACTTGTAGTATCTTAAAAAACGTATATGTACAACTGAACTTAAAAGGAGGGACACTCTGCTGGAATGTGAGAGTCATTAGGTATATAACAACCAATGTCATCATTCCTGGCTGGTAGAATTGTCTGATGAGGCCTGCAGCCAGCAGAGGTGCTCACAGGTGCAGGAGTGCATACTGGCTGGCCTTTACCTGGTGGTTTGTGTTGGCTGCTGTTTGTGGAGACCTGCATTTGTAAGAGCATCCCTGACTGCTGTGGCTGACACACCTGCAAGTGTCTGTGGAATGTAATTAGTGCAGCCCAGCCTTGCAAAAAAGAAAGTCTTCTCTTGTTGCAGGAGATGAACTGGACTGACCCATTCATGATTGGTGGATAGAAGATATCCACCTATATTTTTGTACTTTGCAAAGAGTGTTCAACATTCACTAATATGATGGTGACCTTCTGGGAAGGATGAAAAATTCTGAGAAATTCTTTAAGTCTGATAGCAAATTATGTTTTAGCTGTCCTGTCTTAAGTTCAGCTTTGGTGTTTGTGATGGTTAATTTTATGTGTCAACTTGATGGAGCTAAGGGATGCCCAGCTCACTGGTAAAATAGTACTTCTGGGTGTGCCTATGAGGGTGTTTCTGAAGGAGATTAGCATTTGAGTTGGTGGGCTGACTGGAGAAGAGTGCCCTCAACAATGCGAGTGGGCATCATCCAATCTGTTGGGGGCCCAAATAAAACAGAAAGACAGAGGAAGGGCAAATTTGCTGTCTGAGCTGCGACATCCACCTTCTGCCGTCAAACACCAGCTCTCCTGGTTCTTGGGGAACTTGGACTGGAAGAAACCACACTGGGTTTCCTGGATCTCCAGCTTGCAGATGGCAGATCTGGAGACTTCTCAGCCTCTGTAATCCATGAGCCAATCCCTCATAATAAATCTCTTTCTATATATCTCTATATATCCTCTTGGCCTGTTTCTCTGGAGAATCCTAACTAATATGACATTTTGCCTAACTATGGTAAGGTGCTACTCAGAGCCCTGCAAAGCAATGAAGAAATAGTAGTAGTAACAGCAATAATAAAAACCACCATGACAATAATAACAACCATTTGCTATTGCTCACCATGCTGGCAGCTGTGCTGAGGAGCTTGTATAGATCATCACAATTAATTCCCACAGCAGTACCATTTATAGATCAAGTAATTGAAGTAAAACAGGTGAAGTAACTTTCCTAAAGGGGTAAACCACATTAAAAGTAGAATTTGTACCAGGTGTACCTGTCAGTGTCCCAGGAGAAAATGGCTGGTATATTTAAATTGAGCGATTGGAGGCAAGTATGATAAATAAATAATGGAGTTTTCACATGTATGAGGAACTGCACCTAGATGTGTTCCTTGGTCTGTCTTTCTGGATCATTCCGTGCTATGATGTCCTTCTAATATCTCTAGCTTTCATAATAAGTTATATTATCTGGAAGAGTGAGTCTCTGACTCTCCCCGCTCCTCCTCCTCCTCTTTCCTCTTCAATTTTTGTTTCTTAGCTGTTCTTTTCTGTTTATTCCTTGCATTAATTTGAGGATGTACTTGAAAAGTTTCATGAAAAAAAATCTGGGTGGGGTGCATTGGCTCACACCTGTAATCCCAGCACTTTGGGAGGCTGAGGCTGTCAGAGCACTTGAGGCCAGGACTTTGAGAACAGCTTAGGCACCATAAGTGCCATCCTATCTCTACAAAAAAGAAAAAGAAAATTAGCTGGGCATGGTGACTTGTGCCTGTAGTCCCAGCTACTCGGGAGGCTGAGGTGGGAGGATCACTTAAACCCGGGGGGTTGAGTCTGCAGTGAGCTGTGATTGCACCACTGCACACCAGCTTCAGGGTCTACAAGGCTTCACTCTGTCACACAGGCTGGAGTGCAGTGACATGATCACAGCTCACTGTAGCCTTGACCTCCCAGGCTCAAGCAATCCTCCCACCTCAGCCTCCCAAGTAGCTGGGACTATGGGCACGAGCCACCACACCCGGTTAATTTTTTATTTTTTGTAGAGATGGGGGTCTCACTATATTGCTCAGGCTGATCTCAAACTCCTGGGATAAGGCAGTCCTCCCACCTCGGCTTTCCAAAGTGTTGGGGTTACAGGCATGAGCCACCGCACCTGGTCAAACTATCATCTTACTTATAATAGATTATAAAACTCTCTTGGATTTTCTATACTAAGGTAGTCAAAATTTTAAGAAGGCCTCCAAGATTTTCACCTCTTGATGTACATACCCCATATAATTCCCTTCCCTTGAGTGTCAGTAGAACCTGTTAATATGATGGGATAGTCACTCCCATTATTATGCTGTACCATTTAAGACAGTTCTAGGTGACCGAAGGGAGAGATTCTCCTGGTGGCTTTGAACAAGTAAGCTGTGACAGTGTAGGCCAAGTGGCAAGGGACTGCAGGCGGCTTCCGGGGGCCAAGAGCAGGCCCCAGGCAACAACCATCAGAAAACGGAAGCCTCACTCCTATCATCCCAGGGAACTGAATTCTGCCACCACATGAGTTTGGAAGAGGATCATGAGCTCCAGCTGAGAGCAGAAGTAGGGCCTCCGCCTTGATTTCAGCCCCACCTTGATTTCAGCCTACTGACACCCTGTATAGAGATACTGACTTCTGACCTACAAAACTGTGACATAATAAATGTGGGTTTTTTAAACTGCTAAATTTGCGGTTATTTGTTACCCAACAACAGAAAGCATTGTAAACATTCTTGCTGTTTGCAATTAATGGCAAGATTGTTTCTTCCTTTCCAAACCTTATACATTTTATATTTATTCCTGGCCTTATTTTCCTGGCTAAAACCTTGAGTTAAATAGAAGGGACGATATTGAAAATCCTTAAATTTTTCTTGATTGTAAGGTAATTATTTTTTATTTTTATTTTTTTTGAGACAGAGTTTCACTCTTGTTGCCCAGGCTGGAGTGCAATGGCTCGATCTCGGCTCACGGCAACCTCTGCCTCCTGGGTTCAAGCGATTTTCCTGCCTCAGCCTCCTGAATAGCTGGGATTACAGGCATGAGCCACCATGCCTGGCTAATTTTGTATTTTTAGTAGAGACAGGGTTTCTCCATGTTGGTCAGGCTGGTCTCGAACTCCTGACCTCAGGTGATCCGCCCGCCTCGGCCTCCCTAAGTGCTAGGATTACAGGTGTGAGACCACTACAGGTGTCTACCCGGCCGATTGTAAGGTAATTCTTCTAATATGTCATCATTAAATGTTTTTGTAATCTTTTAGAGAACATCTTTGATGAAATCATGAGCTTTAACTTCTCTTCCTACTTTGCTAAGAGTTTATTTTCCAATTACGAATGGGCTTTAAAGTTGTTATGTGTGTTTTCTACAGCTATTGAAATAATTATATGTTTTTTCTTTTTTAACTGTTAAGCTAGTTTCTACGTTGATAGATTTTCTGAAGTTAAGCCATTATTTCATTCTTGGAATAAAACCTAAATTTAAAAATGTAGTACATTGCCAGTTTTAGATTGTTAATGTTTTATTTAAGATCTTTGTTATCTTTCTTCAAAGGATTAGTAAAACAATTGTAAAGCCTTCAAAGATTGTTGATCTTTTCTTTCCCTCTTAAATAGACTTTATTTTTTAAATCAGTTTTAGGTTCATAGCAAAACTGAGCTGAAGGTACAGAAATTCTCATATTTCCTCAGCCTCTCCCACTATCAACATCCTGCATCAGAGTGGAACACTTATTACAACTGATGAGCCCACATTGGCACATCATTATCAATCAAAGTATATAGTTTACATTAGAGTTCACCCTTGGTGTTGTATATACTATGGGTTTGGACAAATGTGTAATGACATATATTCATATATTCACCATTGTAGTATCACACATAATAGTTACCCTGTCCCAAAAAGTCTTTGTGCTGTTGAAAATGATTTCTTCTTTAACATCTTTCATCTCTTCCTACCAATCCCTGGCAGCCACTGATCCTTTTACTGCCTCCATAATTATGCCTTTTCCAGAATGTTGCATAGTTGGAATGATGTCGTATGTAGACTTTTAAGACTGGCTTCTTTCACTGAGTAATATGAATTTGTTTTCTCCATGTCTTTTCATGGCTTGGTAGCTCATTTCTTTTTAGCACTGAAGAACATTTCATCGTCTGGATGTGCCACAATTTCTTTATTCATTGACCTACTGAAGGTCATCTTGGTTGCTTCCAAGTTTTGGCAATTATGATAAATAAAGCTGCTATGAACATTCATCTATGGGTTTTTGTGTGGCCATAAGTTTTCAGCTCCTATGGGTGAATACCAAGAAGCACAATTGCTGAATCATATGGTAAGAATATTTTTAGTTTTGTAAGAAGCTGCCAAACTGTCTTCTAAAGTGGGTATATCATTTTGAAAGATTGTTTTTGTTGTTGATTTTTTTTTGTAACTTTTATTTAGCTGAATAGTCTATTTTCGTTATGGAACCATGCATTTTAGTCATTTATAATAATTATTGTGTGGATTTAATATACTTATAATGTGGGTTAACATTTGGCAGTGCAAACCCATCACTCATCCCAATGTATGCATTATTTTCTTCTTCAAAATTTGTGATGCTGAAGTATTATTCTATAAACCCCTCTCACCCCTTTGCCCCCTAGTTGTTGATTTTTTAAAAATTGATTAAATTTTTAAATTATTGTTTGTCTCTAAATGCTTAACAGATCTTTTCAGGTTTTTTATTCTTCTTGAGTTTTTAAAATATTTCTCTAGAAAATTGTGTACTTCATCTACATTTTTATTATAATATTGTTGTTCATAGTATTCTTTCATGAGGTTCTAAAATTTCCTATACCAGTATTTATATTGAATTTTTATTTTTTATTATTGTTGATATGTGCCTTTTCTTATTTATTATTTGCCAGGTTTGTGAAGTTTTTGTTTTATAAGTCTTTGTCAAGAGCCAGCATTTGGTTTTATTAACTCTATTTAGTTATCTTTGTTTTCTTATTTCATTCATTTCTGTTCCTGCATTTATTAGCTCTTTTCTTCTACTTTGTTTTGTTTATTAGTTATATAGCTTCCTTTTTTTTTTTTTTTTTTTTGTTTTTGGAGACTGTGTCTCACTCTGTCGCTCAGGCTGGAGTACAGTGGCGTGATCATGGCTCACTGCAGCCTTTGACCTCCCAGGCTCAAGCAATCCTCCAACCTCTCAGCCTCCTGACTAGCTGGGGCCACAGGCACATTGCCACCATGCCCAGCTAACTTTTATATTTTTGGTAAAGATGGGGTTTTGCCATGTTGCCCAAGCAGGTCTCAAATGATCCTCCTGCCTTTGCCTCTCAAAGTGCTGGGATTACAGGCATGAACTACTGTGTCTGTCTATTAAATCTATTTAGTTATCTTTGTTTTTTATTTCATTCATTTCAGTTCTTACATTTATTCTTTCCATTTTATTTATTAGTTATATGACTTTTTTTAATTTTATTTTTATTATTATTATACTTTAAGTTTTAGGGTACATGTGCACAATGTGCAGGTTAGTTACATATGTATACCTGTGCCATGTTGGTGTGCTGCACCCATTAACTCGTCATTTAGCATTAGGTATATCTCCTAATGCTATCCCTCCCCCCTCCCCCCACCCCACAACAGTCCCCGGAGTGTGATGTTCCTCTTCCTGTGTCCATGTGTTCTCATTGTTCAATTCCCACCTATGAGTGAGAACATGCGGTGTTTGGTTTTTTGTCCTTGGCGATAGTTTGCTGAGAATGATGGTTTCCAGTTTCATCCATGTCCCTACAAAGGACATGAACTCTTCATTTTTTATGGCTGCATAGTATTCCATGGTGTATATGTGCCACATTTTCTTAATCCAGTCTATTGTTGTTGGACATTTGGGTTGGTTCCAAGTCTTTGCTATTGTGAATAGTGCCGCAATAAACATACGTGTGCATGTGTCTTTATAGCAGCATGATTTATAATCCTTTGGGTATATACCCAGTAATGGGATGGCTGGGTCAAATGGTATTTCTAGTTCTAGATCCCTGAGGAATCGCCACACTGACTTCCACAATGGTTGAACTAGTTTACAGTCCCACCAACAGTGTAAAAGTGTTCCTATTTCCTCACATCCTCTCCAACACCCGTTGTTTCCTGACTTTTTAAAGATCGCCATTCTAACTGGTGTGAGATGGTATCTCATTGTGGTTTTGATTTGCATTTCTCTGATGGCCAGTGATGATGAGCATTTTTTCATGTGTTTTTTGGCTGCATAAATGTCTTCTTTTGAGAAGTGTCTGTTCATATTCTTCGCCCACTTTTTGATGGGGTCGTTTGTTTTTTTCTTGTAAATTTGTTTGAGTTCATTGTAGATTCTGGATATTAGCCCTTTGTCAGATGAGTAGGTTGCAAAAATTTTCTCCCATTTTGTAGGTTGCCTGTTCACTCTGATGGTAGTTTCTTTTGCTGTGCAGAAGCTCTTTAGTTTAATTAGATCCCATTTGTCAATTGTGGCTTTCTCTTGAACTGACTGTGAAATCATTAGTTTTTAAATTTTTCTTCGTTTTTGAATATATCTGAATTTTTCCCTCTAGGTTCTGCATTACCTGCATTCCATATGATATGTAGCATTTTCTTTGGTATCCATTTCTAAATACAGTATTTTGTTATTTTTTAAATGATTTATTCTTTAACTCATGAAATATTTAGACATGTATTTCTTATTTTCCAAATATGTTGGTTCATTTTTTATTTGTTTTGGATTTTTAATTGTATTTTATTATGGTTTGGGAACTTGATCTGAATGATACTGAGTTTTTATTTACTGAGATTCCTTTTGATGTTCATTCAGTGGTCAAGTTTTATGAATGTTCAGTTTTTTCAAAAATACTTCAAATGTGACAAAAATATGTCTGTAATGTCAGGTGCATGATTCCATTATCTCACATTTTTGAGGTCTCTCTTTATGGCGCTCTTACAAGGTTGGTTGTCTTTCATTAGATCACAGGGCTTTCTGATTCCCTGCCTAGCTCTCAGTTTAATTTTCTGAGTAAGGATTCCTATAATCTGGGGAAAATGTAAATATGAATACCATTCCCTTAAGTGGAATAGGTTTGGGGGTTTGATTTTATGTGAAAAACTTACTCTTTTTTATCCGTAGAAGCAGGCAGATTACAAACTCCCTTGACACCCACGGTGTTGAGGGAAAATGTATGTTTATGTGTATAATTTTTCTAGCCTCCTTTTCATAGAGGGGCTTCACAGGGAGTTTCAAAACTTGTATTGCATTTATTAGAAATTTCAGAGGCTAATCCCTACATGAACAAGTGGATGGATGATAGAGATGTACCAATTATAATTACATATACATACAGCTATATGTATATATTATATATGCAAACAGATACATATGCAACACTATAACTTAGATTTTCACTGTAATGTATGAACTAGCACCTATTTCAAACACTGCTTTTGAACTTGATAGAAAGACATTGGTTATATATATTTTTAAATTATATTTTAAAAATTCTATCAAATTGTCTGCAGTCATTAATTAGGTTATTCAGAGCTGCCTCAGCAAACTTATTCTGCAGTTGAGAAAATGGGAACTGAATGGACTTCTTTATCATCAATTTGTGCCATTGTCTACAGAAACTTAGATCAGCTTTGACTAGCTTTTTCCTTCTGCTTTTTTTCAAAGAAGATTTTTATAATATGTGGGACAGGGACTGTTAATTTTCTCTACTACAACATTACATTCTACTGAGCTGATTGCAATTTTATTTAATCTTCCATCTTTACAGATGGAAGGCCTCCAAAGGCTTTAGTAGGCCCCAATTTGGGAATATAATCACTCTGAATGAAGAAACCAAAGTAAGTAAACTGTGTGGTATTGGGGGAAATTGGGATTGGGGTGAGGTAAAGTCTTTTTTTTAAATGTACTAAAAACAAGATCTCCCTTGACTTTTGATAAAGGCAAGTTATCCTAAATGCTTAAACCATTTGACTTAATTCTTGGTAAGGATGCCCATTAAATTTGATTTCATCCACTATAGTTCTGAGCTCAATTGCTTTTTGCCTCATTTATTTTTCTTAGGCCCTGAGAGAGGATGGGTAGGAGCTCTCCACGAAGGAGGCCCAAAGTGGTCCGTTCCTCCACGCTGGCACTCTCCTCACTAGGTCAGCTCATCTTCTTCTAACTCAAAACAACACATTGTTTCTCTCAAGAAAAGTGATTTTTGAAACCATTATTTTTGCTATTTGACAGGCAGGATTGTTTGTTTATACTAACTCCAACTCCAATCATAATACTGTACACATGGTGCTCAAGAAGCTGGGTGGTTCAGAAAGAAGTAATGCTTCCAATGATGGTGGGCATTTTCCAAGTGTTTGATCTGTGCCAGATGCTGGGCTAAGAGCTATTGGGCTCTTATTTGATCCACAGGCCAATTCTGCAAGGAAGGAGCAGGTCATTTATTCTGATAATCAGAGCTTGTCAGGGTTTGGATCCTCATTTACTGTTGCTCTACTGGTATACACTGCCCAGATGATATCCATTGTTATTATCCTCTACTCCTCATCCTGATCTTGACCTTGAAATGTGAGCCAATGTGATTACCTGAGAGAATAATTCATTAATGCATAAAAATAATTTATAAAAGTGCTTTTTCTTGAAAAGATTCCTTGAATGCCATTCTAGGAACATTTTCTTCTCATCATTGGCAGTGTGGGCTGGGCACGGTGGCTCATGCCTATAATCCCAACAATTTGGGAGGCAGAGACAGGAGGATTGCTTGAGTCCAGAAGTTCGAGACCAGCCTGGCCAACATAGTGAGACCCTGTCTCTATTCACATATTTAAAAATTAAAAGAAGTTTGGCAGCGTGTTCAGGAAGGACAGGACCTACTTCGATCATCTTACGACCATGAGACAGGATGGAGAAGGGAAGAAGGTGAGTCGTAAGCTATAAAGAAAGATTGATTTATGGGATAAATAAATGAATGACCAGAACTGTAGCTTCTGTTCCACAAAATGGTTTGTAATAGAGAGGACACAAGCTTTGTGATTAGACCAGGTTTGAAATAGCATCCCACTGCTTGCTGATGGCATCCTGGACATGTCATACAGGCTCTCTCAGCCTCAGTTTCCCTGAGGAAAGAAAGAGCAGAAAAGAAAAAATCTTATGGTCAGTGAAATCTCATCCTATCAGAAAAGTAGGTTACAACAACATGGTCTGTTAAATCAGAGCATTATTGAGAATGCAAGTCCTCAAAGATGTACCTTCACTCTAGCACTGCTAACGATACAGGAGAGTAGTGGGGGTGCTTGGCCGTTGCTCACTCTCTTGTGTGTCCCCCTTTGCTCAGAATTTGGTCTCTATAAGGAGCCAGGGCCCCTTACAGGGAAGCTGATTTCCTGTCTTAATCAGAGAAAACCTCAGGATTGATCTGGAGCAAAATAATGATTTCAAGTGGTTTAGGAACCGTGATGAAAGGACATAGGCATTGACCTAGAGAGCTCCTGCCTGCCTTTGGAAATGTGAACGTGGCCCTGAAAATGATAATTATAGTTCATTGAAAGAGTTGAATTTGTAAAAAGTTCATAATATTTATAACAGAAAAACTAAAAGTTCAATAAAAAAGGAAGTCATAATAAGAGTGTGGATGCACTGCTGTGTTTAATTTTGTGTTGATTGTGGTAAGATGAGATGAGTAATCCATGTGGGGTTTCTCCTTCTGTTGGGCTACGTCTACTTGCCCACTTTGGGTGTGGATGTGCACGTGTTTCTGTCGATGTGGAGAGAAGGAGAGCATGGCTGTGTTTGGCTCTGGCCGCGTCGGGTGGGCTCTGTGTGTTGGTAGGAAGGTAGGCTGTGGGCTTCCTGCAAGGCAGTGGTGGCACTGGCTGGTCCCTTTGCCTTGTTTCACACTCCTGCTTTAGGTCTCAGCTTAACGGTCTGTTTCTCAGTAAGCTTGCCACCCAGACTAGTTTACCTCTCTCAGAACCTTTCCCTTGAGAATTTATCACAATAGGCAGTTGTGCAGTTATGTGTATGATTATTTGATTAACGTCTTCCTCTCCCACTGAGCTGTGATCTCCATATGGGCAAGGCCCATGTCTGTTTTGCTCACTGTGTTATTTCCTAATACCTGGCACAGGTACATCACAGGCTCTCAATAAACGCTTGAAACATGAATCAATGGCATAGTGCTGTACCATCCTTTATAAATGTAACATTTGGCTTCATTCCCCACCAGTACAGCATATAATTAACATGCAAATTTCTACCCCTAACACAGTAAAGGTTTACTCTTGAATTTTATTCTCTATAACTTAACAGTAGTTTGATTACTTTAACTTTTGCATCTCTGTCCTCCAGAAAAAGAGAATAATCATAGACTCATGGCACTAAAGGGGACCCTGTTATCTCAACTGGACAATTTAAACATTAGACTAATATTAAGCAATCCAGTCAAGATAAATGAGCTTCCTAAAGTTTCGGCAAGGCAAGGAGGTGGGGAAGGGAGAGCGCCCTGGGTTGGGGGCAGCATGTGCAGAACTCTGCCGTGGGACGATGCCCATCTGGAATGCTTGAGGAGCTCATAAAAGGACAGAGTGGCAGGAGCAGGATGGGGAAGGTGAAGTGGGAAAGTGGGCAGAAGTCAGATACCCCTCTGATGGGAATGTTCCCTTGCCTCCAGTCATATGTTGAAACCTAATCCAAACGAGTATTAAGAGAAGCTCACATGAATGGAATTAGTGCCTATAAAAGGCACCCAGGGAACTCATTTTTCTCTTCTGCCATGTGAGCTTACAGTAAAAAGACTCCTGTATATGAGGAAATGGCCCTCACCAGACACCAAATCTGCCAGTGCCTTGATCTTGGACTTCTCAGCTTCCAGAACTGTGACCAATAATTTTTTTTTTTTTTTTTGGTAGTTACGCAGTCTAAGATACTTTGTTACTGCAGCTCAAATGGACTAAGACAGATACCAAGTTACAAAGACCATATTAGGTATTCGGCCTTTGTTCTAAGAGTGATGTGGGGCCATTCAAATGTTCAGGTAGAGGTGTGTGTGTTCAGACTGTGTCTTCAGAGGCTCACTGACTGCCCTGCTGTCAATTGTGGACAGGCAGAGTGGACGCACAGTACCCTCAGTGAGGAGGGTATGACTGCAACACTTAGCACTCAGTCAGGATGGAGCTCCTCCTCCCCCATGCTGTCCACCACCTCAGAGCACATCAGGTTACGTGATATTTGTAAAAATGACCTTTCTCAGCAACGCAGTGCACTGGACCCATGGTGGGGCCTTGAGGGGCTTCTAAGGTTTCAAAAGTACCCCAGGAGTGTTCAGTATTATAATTATTACTGACTCAAGGGGGGTGAGGCCTCCTAAATCGCAATGACCACATCCTGCTACACCCCTCATATCCTTTTTGAGTTCTCTCCAACCCTAACTCTACTTTTCCTGAGAACATGATCCTCCAGAGCCCAAGGGAGTATGGCCTTTGGCCGTATCTTGAGAAATCTTAATACTTTATAAAATTCAATTCTGTTTCCTCCTACTGACCTGCAGAACTTTTACTTACATCATTTGAGGATTAATTATGAAATTTAGGAAGATGTCCAGGTAAACAGATACGCAGTCTTTCAAAATCTCAATAGTGAGAAGTGAAGTAATTTTTCGCTGGTGGAATTATTAGTGGAGCTATTTTTTTTGTAGTGTTAATTTTTCATCACAAATAGTAGGACACCAACCTTCTGGAAATTCAAGCTAGTTTTAAGGAATTGGAGTAAGATTTAGGACTACATGTATCACTACGTCTTAGATTCAGCAATTAAAACAGTTTATTTTGGGATACATTGTATAAGATAGTACTTTGTTCTTCTCTAATGAAACAGAGATTCTTATTCTATCAAAAGATATCAAATTCATTCTTTTTGCCCTCTTGGAGCCTGGAGAGGCCCATGGGAACAGGGCTTCTGAAACAGCAAACATGTCTGCAGGGCTGTGCCCTGAGGCCACTTTTGCTAGAAGTGACATTTCTGGAACCAGAGGGAGCACACAACTGTTCTTGAAATTGAAGGTGTTTATGCCCGAGATGAAACTGAATTTTATTTGGGAAACAGATGTACTTATGTGTGCAAAGAACAACACAGTGGCCCTGGCAGCAAATCAAACAAAACCAGAGTCATCTGGGGAAAGGTAACTTGTGCCCAAGGAAAGAACAGCGTGGTTTGTGCCAAGTTCCAAAGCCACCCTCCTGCTAAGGCCATTGGGCACAGAATCCATGTGATGCTGTACCACTGGAGGATTCAAATTCATTGAAAAGTAAATAAATACAATTTTAGGTTTGTTAATTTGAAAAAACATGTGGGTATCTAATTTCTATGTGTTGGCAGGGCCAAACAGTGAAACACGGAGCTTCAAGGCGAAGGCAGCTTGTTAGGGTCCCTCCTTCTGACCTGCCCTTGGCAGCACATAGACAACCTGCCTACGAGGTCCTTCCCCCACTGCTGCACTGTCGCAGGGGGTCATTGATAGGTGTCTTATTTTTTATTTATTTTTCAGACAAGGTCTCACTCTGTAGCCCAGGTTGGAGTGCAGCGGCACCATCAGAGTTAGCATGGGATGAACTGTTGGAGAGAGGGCTGGACAATAGGACTGGACTAAGGGATCTTAGTCCTTACTAAGGAATATAGGCTGCAGTGGGCATCTGTTGTGTACCTCAGCAAGAAGCAAGGACCAACTCTTAGTTCTCTGAGGTGAATTTTCGGGAGTGATGGGGGAGATGTTTTGAGGACATCCTGAAACCACACCATAGGTGCCTCTGTAACCAAGTGGAGAGAGGCCCTTGGTTATAGAGTTAGGAGAACATGGATGCCTCTGGTACACAAAAAACCCTGCAGTGGGGGCTTAACTTCCATGCTTGGGAAGGTCCCCACTTGCCTTCCTGGTCTTGAGGGATTCTCAGATGGTGGCCTGCCTGCAAGTGGCTCCTCCATTGTGTTCTGTTAGGAGGGAGGGATGTATTGATGGAGACTGAGTGGAAGTGTTTTTGAAAACTTGTGTTTGGCTAAAAATAAACGATCAGACTTAAATGCTGCTTGGAAATCATTCTTTGTTTTACCAGTCAACTTTCCCTCCTATTCTTCATGGTGGTTACCTTAATATTTATTCTGTACCAACCTCCCAACCTAATTCCTCCACCATCACTTTAAGCAACCACTCATGCCTTTTACCTTTCAGAAAAAATAAAAGCCTCTTCCTGCCACCAAACTTACAAACTGACTAGCTCCACCCCATTCTCCTCTTTTTGTTGTGATGGAAGGAGAGTCCCTCCTCCTCTCCAGGGTGAATCCCTGCACATGCACTCTGTGCTCTTTCTCCTCTAGCTTCTCCCTTTCTATAATCTTCTCTTTCTCTATTTCTCCTGCCCCTTTCTTTCATTTCATTGTTTTAAGCATGCTTAAGTGTTGCCCATCTTCAACCAGCAAACTAAGCAACCAACCAACCACTTCTTACATGGAAAAACAGGCATTCTTATTCCTGGTTAGTAGCATGTAAATTGGTGCAACTTTTTGGAAAGGAAATTGGCAACACCTAATGAAATTTAAATGTCCATGCCCTTTGATCCAGCAACTCCACTTCTACAATGCATTTTAAAAGTGCATTTGCACACACTGAGACATGACTGAGAATGTTCACTGTGGCACTGTAACAAACAGCGCAAATATCCATCAACATGGATTTGGATTGCCATGTAGCTATTAAATAGAATGTGGTTGAACTGGATATTATCTGTGTATTATTCAATGTTCTTCAGAGAAACAGAACCAGTAGAGAGCCTCTCTCTCTCTCTTTCTCTCTCCCTCGCACACACACACACACGCACTCACGCATGCACACACACATCTATCTAAATTATAAATCCTCCACTGGGGAGGTCACTGGAGGACCATCAGCAGAGGAAGGGTCATCTCTCCCAGCTGTGTCAGGAGAAAACCAGATGACTTCCAATGTCCTGTGAGTCTAACTTTTTATATCATTAATATAACATTGTCAATAAAGGTTTAAAGCTTAATTTAGAAAAGAAGCATAGAATGTGCTTTATCATTGAGAAGGCCCTGGTAGTACTGTCCCCCGAATGACCTGAATCTCTCTGGGTTCCTGGCAACAAGCCACTGGGCACAGGGCTTCTACCCTGCCTAAGGAATTTCCATGGCTCACTTCCTCTAGAACCCTGGAAGGGGGACCCTTGATCAGCTGGCAGGAGATTCATCTCCACTAAGAGGCTTCCTTCCCACAAAAGCCTCCAGTCACATCCTTGGTTAGGTTTTGCCGCCTGCTCTCAGTCTCAAAGTCTATAGCAAAAGGCAGAGCTGCAGGGGCTCCTTCTCCTGGAGCACAAGACAGGCTGCATCTGGGGTGCCTGGTTTAAGTATATTTTTCTTGGGTGATGAGTGGCTTGGAAAGGACATGCATCATCTTGCTGCCCTCCTCTGCTAATTTAAGCTGCACAATGCTTGTGGTGTTTGCGTCAGCTCTTAATTTTGACAATGCAAATAACTAGGGCAACACTGTCCAATGGACCTATCTGTGATGTTGGAAATGTTCCATAATATCTGTGCTGCCAAATATGGTAGTCACTAGTCACATGTGGCTATCAAGCATGGGAAAGGTGGCAGGTATGACTGAGGAAGTGAGTTTTAAATTAAATTTAAATTCATTTAAATTTAAGAAAGCACATGCAGCTAGTGGCTGCTGTGTTGGGCAGTGCGGCTCTAGGCCCTTGAACAGAGTTAGCGTGGTCTTGGTTAAGCTCTAGCCTTGGAATGTTAAACTGATCTTCTTGAAATGTGCTCTGATTCTTCAGCTGGAGAGCTAGTATTAACTGTCTGTATTACCTTTAAACCAACCAATTAATCCATCAACTAACCAGTTTACACCCCCTGCCCACCCCCTGACTTTCATGGCTTTCACAGCCATCTCTATGCTGATGCCTTCCAAATCCCAGATTTTCTGCTGAGCTCCAGACCCAAATGCACAACCATGTGATGGACATCTGTCTACACTTGGATGTCCTACAGGTGACTCAGATTCAACCAGCTCAAACAAAATCATTGTCTTCCCACTTTCTCCAAACCTGTTTTTCTTCTACGTGCTCTAGCTCAGGAATGGCACCTCCATTCTCCCACTTGCTTGTACTAGAAACCTGCAGCTTGATCTTGACTTCCCCCCCTCTCTCATCCATCTCATTCATTCAGTTTCCATGATCTATAAATTCTGCCTCCTAAATGATTCTTAAATTCTGCTACTTCTCATCATCTCCACTACCACTCCCCTGGTTTAAATCACTATTTGATATTTCTAAAATGCAAATCTGATCATGTCCCTTCCTTGCTTAAATTACTTCAGTGACTCCCGATTTCTCCCAGGATAAAGACAAACCTTCTAACACGATCCCTATGTGATCTTCCCCTGGCATCTCTTACCTCCCCTTTGGCTACTTCTTCCCCTTGCATTCTCTGTTCTAGGTTTATTCCAAATAAATCACAGCATCTCTCGCCCACCTGCTTTGGCTTAATGATTGCTACTTATCTTTTAGGTGTCAGCATTTAGAGGTTACTTTCTCTGTGGCGATCTGGGCCACATGTTCCTCTCTGTGCCCCCACAGGACCCTGCAATTTCCAGCTCCTCCATGTGACTATAGGTTCCTTGAAAGCAGAGCTTTGTCTGTCTTATTTACCACTGACACATAGTTGGTGTTAAGCCTCCATAACAGAATCCTTAAATGGAGCATGTTTGGGGCAGGGCTTATGGGGATCTTCCTCCTGTGACTTCTTCAGCTGCTTTCTGCACTCATGGAGATTTTCCTACACGCCAAATCTATGCTAGAGGGCCTGCGTGGTTCAAGGAAAATGGCAGCTGGAGCCCTGTCCTCCTGGTGCTGATCTCAAGAAGTACTTCGTTTGGAAAGAGCAAGAAGAGAGGCCTTTCTCCCTACACCTGAACATAGAGCCACTAGGTTAATCAGCATAAGTTCTCAGGGCAGCCTCAAACAAATTGGTGGAGTCTATGTAAGTTCACAGGATGGACAAATGTATGTGAACAGAACACAAAATAGAAATTGCCAACAGTTTCTCATATTGTGGTATGATAAGCTTACAGCCATCAGGTGCAAGGTTTTAATTTTTTATTCTTATTTATTTATTTTGAGACAGAGCCTTGCCCTGTCACCCAGGCTGGAGTGCAGTGGCACGATCTCTGCTCACTGCAACCTCCGCCTCCTGGGTTCAAACGATTCTTCTGCCTCAGCCTCCCAAGTAGCTGGGACTACAGGTGTGCGTTGGGATTACCGGCATAAGCCACCGCACCTGGCCTAATTTTTTATTGTTTAAAAAATATTTTTTGAGGGTCTCCTGTGTGCGTCTGTTCTAGATGCATGTAGTTAGAGCTGAGCACTCCAAAATGCACACAAGCAGCCAAGTCTCCGGAATTAACTGTCCCACAGAATGCAAGAGCCTTTTAAAGACTGTGCTCCTCTTATAGTCATCTGATTTCCCAAAGTCAGAGAGGTTGAAATGCAAAGAGTATGCATTTTGCTAAAAAGGAATATTTATAAAACTGAAAGTGTATTGCACCTCCTGATATTTTTATGAGTAAATAAAAGCAAAGTAGCCAGAGCTAAAGAAATGCCTTTAGTAAAGACTCTACACTTGGAAGTCTGAGCAATTGCAGAGTGAGACCAAGAGTTCTCCTCCATTAGGATACTCCTCCTACAACTAGGAAGGGGCTGCTCTGATATTGACTAATGGGGCTGACATTGGACCTGGTGGTTTCCTGAGCACACAGGAGAGGAGACACAGAATTCCAGCACTAGAAAACACCAAAAAAAGGGGTCCAGATCAGGGAACAGTTTCTCAGTTACTGATGGACAATGGTTTAATCATTATTCCAATGGGAAGAAGTACCCAAGGTTGGTGGTGGGGGCGGGAGTTGGGAAAGTAGGGAATCAATTGACTTCTGCAGTCACTGTGAGTGAGCAGGACAGGCAGCTGGCCAGTGCCCCTCCCACTTCCCTGCCGGCAGAGAAGGAAAGAGAATGGCTGTTTCTCTGCCTTAGAGTTAAAGCACCAAGGGAAACATGAGAATGCTTGCGGGAAGCCGACCACGTTTGCTCTTTGCTGACTTTTGTTAACAGGTGTCAGTTGGTGTGACACTGTCTTCCCTATTCCCATCCTCGGCACGAACACATATGTGGGAAATACTCTAGGATTTGCAGCCAGTGTTGGGAAAGCCTGTCCACTCCACACCAGGCCCACAGTAGCTCCTTCCTCTGCACCCACAACTCGGCTGTCTGTGGTCACTGGTTTAAATTTTCCTTTATTCACATTTTGCCTCCCCAAATGGATTGTAATACTTTTGAAGATGGGGAGTATCCCTGGCACATCAGTGGTGCCCACTTCATACATAACAATACACACAGAGGTCGTTAAAACTCTGAGTGAATCGGATAGAAGTGCTGGAGCCAAACAGTGTAGTACCTAATGTGTGTTAGGCACTCACAATGCATGAAGAATAATGGGCTTGTCTATTGTTCATTCGTTCACTCTTTCATTCATTTGAATGTGTGGGAAATGCTCAGTCCATTGGGTCAGTAGAGAAGCCACTCGCAGTTCTTCGTGTTGGTAAGAAAGGCTCAAGGGATAGACCCTCTGCACTAATACCCCCGCATATCTGCATCTACTTTGTCTCCTTTCTATTTGTTATGACATTTTTGGCTTAAAAAAGAAAAGATGAAACAGAGTTCAAATGAAGTTCATTGTGTGTTTCCTCACAGCTTACACTTGGCAATCTTCTAGGGAGGACTTTGGCTGAACCCAGTGAACCAGGAGGAAAAGAATCACAAACATCTGGAGTTTGTTGACTAGAAAAATTCCTTGTGGTCTGACAGATTACCATTTCCTACCCAGCCATTCTCATCAGAGAAACCAGTCCCATTTTCAACTGGCGCGGCTAGTTGAAAGTTCCACATGTTTCCCCAGGTATCTAAATTATATGCTTCTGTGTTGATTTTTCAGATTAGGCAGAAACTTTGACTTCTTCCTATGAAAGATGAAGATTGAGCACTTTTGTTCCCCTATTCTTCCAATGTAATTATATTGTATTTTTTAATTAAGTAACTACTCAAAGTTAACTGTTGTGATTATTATAAATGTTTTCCCCGGTAAGGCACACAGTGTACACTGATAATACTTCCGTTGTTATACAACTTCTTTTTCTCCCTGGAGTTCAAAATTATCTTGTTTTGATATTTTTCTGTCCCTAATTCTCCTCCAACGCATTGCCAGCAGTGTTAATCTCCTCTTAATAGTTCAAACACATCAGGTAATCAACTGATTTTTTATTTTTAACACATCCCCTCTGGAGCCCATTGGCTTCCTGCTCTGATGTGTCGTTCAGTTCTCCTTAGTTGGATCCCTCTCTCTTGAATCCTTTGTATGCCTTTTTCCTGGTTTGCTCTTTCATTTTGTGGAATATATCCTCCAGTACCTTCCCAGTAAAGCCTGTTTGGATTCTATTGGATTTTTTTTTCCTGTTTTTATATTTTTTTAGAACTGAGAGCTCATTTTTGTTTTATGAGTAGTTTGTTCTTTTTTGTAGATGCAGTTATATTCTTTCTCCGAAGATATTAATTACAGTTTTCCTTAAAGTTTATTCTGCTTTTTGTGCTGTGTTGGCTTTCTCTGAATATGTATATTTGATTATAATCCCCAGTAGTCATTGTTTATAAGTCTTTTCTTTGAGGAGCTCAGTTTCTCCAGAGAAGAAATTTGTAGCCTGTCGCCCCATGTGTCTAAGCTGAGTCACCAGGATTCTCAGATGCAGTGGCGAAAGGCTGCAGGCTGTTCTCGCCATTCAGCATGCTGACTTGGCCCTTATCCCCTTCTCTGGTATGTCTTCTGTAGGATGAGAGAGGTGCCTTGTCTGATGGGAGTGGAGAAGCGATCAAAGGATCAAGCTGTATTTAGTATAGCCTTTTAACCAACACCCCACAACCAGAGAGGTTCCTGGGGCCTCCAATTCTATGCCTACCAGGTGCTCCGGGGCCAGTCTGTTGTCTTCCTGCCTCCTCTCTGCAACCTGTGCCTGGTCTCTAAGTTACTCATCATTTACCACCTGCTTTCCGGTTTCCGACATCGTGTTTACCTCTCTCTCTCCACACTTGCTCCTTTCTCTTTTAGCCTTGTCCTTGAGATGGTTTGTTTATTTGTTTTTTGCCTTTAACAAAATCTCGATACTGTAGTGAATTTTGGGGGTGGGAATATAGGCAAAAGACAATGTTCAGCCCACCATTGTTATGGTTTAAATGTGTCCCTCAAGTTTCATGTGTTGGAAACTTAATCCTCAATGCAGCAGTGTTGACAGGTGGGACCTTTAAGAGGTGATGAGGTCATCAGGACAGTCTTAATGCCATTATCTTGGGAGTGGGTTAGTTACTGTGGGAGTGGGTTCCTGATAAAAGGATGAGTTTGGCCCTGTTTTCTCTCTCTTTCGCTTCCACCAGAAAATGGCATAGCCAGAAGGCCCTCACCAGATTCCAGCACCAGCCTCCAGAACATGAGCCAAATAAATCATCGTTTATAAATTACCCAGTCTCAGGTATTCTGTTTTAGCAACACAAAACAGACAAAAACAACCATGTTTACTTGGCTGGTTGCCCCATCTTTCTTGAATGGAAAAAAAAAAAGCACTTGAAATAGTCTGTGGAAATTCTACCCAGTTTGGAAATGCTGCTGAATTCTCATGTCTCTAGGCCCAGTTCACAACCCTCACTGAGCTGATGCTACCAGGTAAAAAGCGAGCAATTACGGTGTGCTGACCATTTGAGTGAATAAATTAGTCAGGTGTTCACTGGTAGCACTGTTGACTCCTCTGAAAGCTAATGGACTCCGAAAACTCAGAAGAGGGGAGAGTACAGCAGCCTTAGTAAACTTGGGAGAAGTGGCTTCCATATCTGATTGCAAATTAGAATCACCTAGGAAGTTTTCAGAATTATAGATTCCTAAGGATGATTCCAGAACTAGTTGAATCCTAAGCTCATGAGCTAGGTCCTGGATAAACTGCATTTTTACCAACAAACTACCCACTTACAGCCTTCTTGTTGTGTGAAAGAATACACCTGTAGTGTTTAAGGCACTGTTAATCATATCTTTTGTTGCTTAGAGCTGAAAGTGTTCCTAACAGATCTGCAGGGCTCATGAGAGTCCTTAGACACTGGAATGGGGAGGGTGTGTTCATTCAGGGGAGTGTGGATATGTAATCAGGGCTTGGCAAACATCTCTGGGAATATGCAACCAGCTGAGGGGCTCCTGGGGCTCCCAAGACTTCCAATGTGGACCTGCTCCTCACCATGTGCTCCTCCCCTCCCTCGGCCCAGCACACCTTACTCTGGTCTCCCTGGAGGCACTGGGATAGGGCTGTCTGTATATCCCTGTCCCTGGTCCACATGTCTCTGTGCTTTGTGCCCCAAGCCTTGCTTTTTTGATTCTTGGATGCTGTTTTAGAGTCACAAATATGAACGTTGACATTTTTGGCTCTTTTCAGTCCCTCTTTACCAACTGTACTCTTGCGTGAGGCTGTTTGGTCACTGTACAAGGAAGTGAGCAAAGAAAAACCCACAGATTAATATCTCAAGATAATATCTTGCCATACATATTGATAACAATCAGCCCATTGTTGCATCCACCCCTACCCTACCTTCAGCAAGATAGCTGGGTTCACTCCCAGAAACTGCTGGAGGCAGATTATGCGGATCCCACAGAGATGGCAGAAAACAGAGAAATCTGGGGAGAGGGCAGTGGCTGGAGCCCAGGGACTAAAGAGTGCAGTGGGGGTTTTTTATGGCCTTGGGGTAGGGAGTGAACTCCAGAGCCAAAGTCCCAAGTCAGGGAGGCAATGGTAGACAGTATAGTCCCAGAGGGGTGTGCTCATGGATGCAGGGGAGGTAAGGGCTGTGGGTGGGGGTTCCAAGCAGCTCTTTTTATTGAAGAAGTCACAAAGGCAGCCCAATTTCAAGGGGAAGGGAAATAGATTCTATCTCTTAATGAGGGAGTAGAAAGTTTCTGGATGAGCATGTGGACTCAGAAACATTTTGTGGCCATTTTTGGAAGATACAATCTACTACAGCAAACATCCCACTAAAAGGCTGGTGCCTTGGGAACAGTAGGATAATCAGACTTTCACATGGCAGTGGGAATTTGTTTCAATTCTAATGGCTAGCTGAAGGGAAGGGGTAATTTTTGACTAGGGTTAGAAGATACTGGTTTGAGAGCATTCGGGGGGCAGGCCAGGCCACTGGGGAGATAACCTAGTTTAAGACTTGGAGTCTGGGGTGCAGGAAAGAGTGAAGAGGAGGGGACGGTTGTAGCACCCTGACATGAGCCTGCTCATCCCTTGGGGTCAGCATTTCTCACCTGCCCCTATTGGTTTCTGCACAGCAAGCCTCGCACCCCCTGTGAACACTCTTCAGAGACTCCTGCGGTGCTTCTCTCTCTTCCTGTTACCCGTCACCCCTCGTTCATTCCTATCCTTCTACCTCTGCACAAGGTGCTCCCTTTAGGGGTCCCACAGTGTCCTGTATATCCCTCTCTTGTTGGGCTTATTAGTCTGAACTGTCACATACTGGTTCTTTGTCCATCACTAGTACAGGGCTGTGAGCTAATTGAGAGTAGGAACTGTGATTTTGACCCCTGTCTTCCAAAATGTCTAGCAAAGTGAGAGGCCTCAGTCATGTTCACTGAATGAATGAATGAATTCTCCAGCACTCATTAGGCCCTGAGACCACTTATCTCTCCCATCAGAGGCCAGTGATATTTCTGAGGCTGAAAATGTTCTCCTCTACTCTTTTCCAGCAGTCAGCTCTCTTGGGCTCACCAAGAACCATGTCAACAGCCAGACTTGCTGCACTGCTGATATATGCAGCTCCCTTATCACAGCCTCCCAGTTCTTGTCTTTCCTTTCTTCTGTTACAGGCTTGTTTTTCACCATCAGGGTGACAAGGTCCCTCAGATAGAAAGTGGCAAGACCACAATTTGCACCCAGGTCCAAAAACCCCTGGTCTCTGCCTTTTATTAGCAGTGTGACTCCCGCGGCCGACTCTTCCCAGCCTGTGTTCTAAACATGCACCCTCACCCACATCAGTTCTTCCCTCTCTTCCTTACATTTTCAATTGCTCTCTCTATTGCTTCCTTCCCCTTAGAATATAATTATGTGCAAATGGCTCCTATTTTAACCCATTTCCACCCATTGACCAAAAGTTCCTTTCTAAATATTGCCTGTTTTGCTTTCACACCCAAGTTTCTTAAAAAGCATCCTGTGTCTCTTTCTTATGAACACTGTGCCCTGCTGTCTTCCTTTTCCTCTTTTCCATGTTTCTGCGATGGGCCAATTACCCCCTGGATGACACATTCTTTCTAGGGGGTTTCATACATTCAAGTTTTCTTGGCTTGAAAATCGCTCATCTTTTCAAGGTAGACTTTTCAGCATTCTGTTCCATTCTGGCAGGTGTTATTTTTATGAATTGGCAGTAGGGGGAGATAATTTTGCTTATATAGGTATGGGTTTTTGGCCTCTCATACTATATATTCACATTCTACCTAAGTGGAGTTGACCTGTACAAGGAAAAGATGTGAAGCTGAGTTACCTGGGAGCTCAAGAAACAGAACATTTAGATGAAACACTTGGTTGCTATTGTGCCAATAACTTTTCTCTTTTCCACTCTCCTGAGCAGCAGTGCTGCGGCTTGAACTCTGTGTCATGCTCTTTGCATCAATGCTGGGCAAAGTCAACTTGCTTTCCCGTAAGTAGTAGAATTATGGGAAAGTAAAAAGATTTCTTTCCACCTACCTCATAAGGGAGTGGCTGAAGGCCAGCTTTAATAGAAATGATGCTTTGTTACTCAATATTAACATTTGCAACATTAGGAAATGCAGTTTGAGTGTCTTTGTTTGTACTCTATTATCCGTTCATTATTGTCATGTTCTTCCTTAAAAGAAGGTGGGGCATCTGCTTGTTGGATTCAGGCAGAGCATGATTTTTAATATGTATATTCTTGGTCTTAAGCCACGAAAGTGTTGTAAATCACCAGCAAACAGCACTAAGTATTATCGTCCTCTAGGCACTGAAAATTTGAAATGAGCTGCTGACCCAGATTCTTTGAAGAGAATACTCAGTCATAAAATATTATTTCCTGTATTTAAAAATTACTTTTTTTCACTTCAAAGAAAATGAAGTGAAAAAAAATTCAGTCAAAGAAAATTACCTGGTATTTGTTACCCAGTTATGTGTTTTGGTTGAAAGTTCTTCTAATTAACTGTGAAGGAGTAATGTGATCCTCCTCCACCTTCTTTTTTTTCCAGTGTATTTGCTTCCCCTTTTCATTTTCTAGGTCATGTAAGAAATCTTAAATTAATTGTACAATTTTTTTCCAAGATGCTCAAAATCCTCTAGTTTTTATCATCTGAGTTCAGACATCCATGCATATGCCAGCAAATATTATTGTTTATAATAAAATTTCCTCCCGTAATCATCAAAGAGATAAATCAGATTTCAAATCCCAACATCAATGCGTTCATTTCTCAGAAATACTTCATGCTCATAAACAACTTCCACTTCTGCCCACCCACATGCATCTCTCCTGTGGCTCTGAAACTGCATGGATGAGGAGTAATCAGGGTCCCTCAAACATGGTGCTGGAAATTTTGCATGAAATGAGTTAAGGAGCACAACAGTATGACAAGAACCAGATGGCATACTTTTCCAAGAGGAAGTCTTGACTCTCCCTGATGTACTTACTGCCAGAGAAAAAGTACTATTTAAACTAAAAATTACTGCTTTTGTCTTCTGAGCATCATTTTTCTGGGGTCTTGTAATATAGCCTTAACACTTTTTTCTTAAGTTTTTGGAGTATCTTGAAAGGCCTATATTGACTTTTTTTGTTTTTGTTTTTGGTTCTTTCTTCAAAAGGTGAGGATGAGTGGGAGACAGTAACACTCAGATTGCTGAAACACACAGTACAATAAAAGAAGATGAAACTGAAATGTCAGGGTAGCTCTGGAGAGGGAAGAAGAGCCTGGGAAAGGAGAAGCAGTGGAGATAAGAGCAGAAGGATGGGGAGGACCCAGGGACTGGTGGTGGGATGAGTATGAGATCAGGGCTGCCAGTAGAAAACCCCCAGGGCTTGGATGGCCAAGGACCTTTTAAGAACAATGATTAGCGGTTTTCAATTTCAGGTTGCTGTTGGTGAAGCATGTCCAGGTTCTTGGCATCTTGAACAAAGAATTGGGCAAAACACACAAACAAAGTAAGGGAAGAGTGAGGCAACAAAAGCAGAGATTTATTGAAAATGAAAGTACTGTCCACAGTGTGGGGGTGGGCCCGAGCATAGGGACACAAGGGTCCTGATACACAATCTTCTTGGGTCCAAATACCTCCTAGAGGTTTCCCACTGGCCACCTGGTGTTCACCCATGTAAATGAAGTGGTGGCCTGCAATCAATCTGGTTGCTTTCCACTCAGAGGCTGAAGTGGTTACAAGGGTCACACTCCTATGCAAACTCCTAAGATTCACTTTAGCATGAGAGGCTAAGGTGAAGTTACAAAGTTGCACTTTTATGCAAAGGAAGACTTGGTCCGCAATCAGTCTGATTGGCTGTGGACAGCAACCAGTCAGAGGCTGAAGTGAAGTTATGAAGTTACACTCCTATGCAAACATCTGATTGGTTGCTTGGCACCAATCAGAGATACTTTCAGTTTCCCATCTGCCCTGTAGAAAAGGTGGGGGTTTGCAAAGGGAGTAGCCTCTGGTCCTTTTGTTACTTAGGCATGGAAAGTTAGGGTTTTCCTTTCAATTTAGTTCTATGAAGTCAATGTGAAACAGCCTTAGGTTCCCTGCCTTCAGACCCTATTCTACCTCAAGGTTGTTCTGTTTGGTGGGTACGCTGTGCTCCCTCTGTGTTATCCCAAAACCTTCATGGAGAGCCTGCCATATCTGGCAAATTTGTACAGGTGGATTTGGGGACTGAAGGCAAAAAAGGACCATGTTCACCTGGGAAAGAAGTGACATGAGGGACAAGAAGCAGGGGCATGAGTGGGACCACAGGCCACAACTACCCCCATGCATCCCAGTACCCTGCAGGGTGGCATTGGGAAGGGCTTTGGGATCTTCCCACACAACTCCGGTGAGGTTTGTGTCTGTGCCCGAGAGAAGCTGCACAAGAGGAACGCAGGAGGCCAGGGCTGGGGAGAGCGGCCTGGGGAAGGGTGGGAAGGCTGCAGGGCAGGCCTGGGGGCTGGAGGGGCAGTTGTGGCTGTTAGGAGGGAGTGTGGATCGTGTCACCTCCTGGGTTCCCTTGAGATATTTGGCGGGCTGGACGTGAGGGGGAAGAATCTGATAAAATACTAAGTTCTTTTGACCAACTAAGTTGGAGCATTACAGGCTGGGGCTGTGTTACAGACTGGAAGTGGGGCCTGATTTGGGTCTCTGGAGCTTCTGAGGTCTGGGACATTTGGTTTGCACAAGCCACTGAATCCATTTTTTATGAGAGACAGAAGCTGGATTAAATGATAGCTATATTTCTTTAATTTTTCCTATTCAATAATTGAAAGATATAAATTTCTAGGTCCTCTGTCTCTCCCAATTTGGCCAACACCGGTAGAGAAGCCACTAACTATTTGGTTAGTTTCATTTTACTTTTAGACTTCTAAAGGTACCTGGCTATTTACATTTAAGGGGACCCATCAAGTGCTAAATTTGTTGACTCTTTAATAAAAGAAAATTTTAAGAAAAGAAAAAGGAACTGATATATTTCACAACTGGTAAATTACAGTAAGCTAAAGTCCCATGACATTCCAGAGTGCCTCAACCACCCACAGCACTCTTAGAGATAATAAGGAAATTTCAGACTAACCAAACTTGTCCTGTGTATTTTCTTCCTGTGGTACATATTAGACTACAAAGCTTGCAGTAGAAGAAGAAAAGACAATCACTGTGTACTGCTGGGTTGTGGGTTCTGAAGCAAACTTGAAATTGAAGGTTAAAGCTGGGCAAATGTAGCAGAATGATCTGTTTCTGGAGAAAGTGATTCTAATGCAGAGATTATGGCCTGAGATTTTGAGAGGGGGCAGTGAGTGTTGTGGGGGCAGGCAATGGCCTGCTACGCAGACAGGATGGAGAGAGATAAATGGTCCTCCTGAAATAGTAGCTTTTGGGGTAGATATTACTGGTGACACAGCAGAACTGAGTGATGTACTCCTTGCTGGGGAGGAAACCAGCATTTTAAAATTCGCTACATATTTATGACCCTTTGGACCATAATCCTGGAGACCTTTGCTGTTCTAAGTGTCTGATGAGGACTCCTGAGCTGCCGGGTTCCAAGATGCAGCTGCCAGATTATGTTTATTTTTTGACAAAAACAGGAGCTGGTGGATCTCAAGTCTGGGACAGGGCCCTGGTGTCCTGCTGACCCTGATTGGAATTCATTTAGAAAAATGCAGATGGGCTGCACCGTTTCTTACTTAAGGATATAATATACCCATAATACTTTAAATGAAGTGCTGGAGATGTTTTCTAGAGGTCTCACCTTGCAAGAGATCTAGTGGGCTAGATGAAGCTAACCATCAAACTGCTGCCCCCGTTTGAGTCCCTGAGACAACTTCATGCCAGTCAGGACTCATACAAGTTAGGAGCTTTGTGATAATGAGTTCAGAATTAGTAGTGTTTCACTCTTCAGACTTGTCTTGAATTCTATCAATGACTTCCCTCAGTGGAATTTGTTTATTTATTTTTGAGATGGAGTGTCTCTCTGTTGCCCCGGCTGGAGTGCAGTGGCATGATCTCGGCTCACTGCAACCTCCGCCTCCCAGATTCAAGTGATTCTCCTGCTTCAGCCTCTTGAGAAGCTGGGATTACAGGCATGCACCACCAAGCCCAGTTCATTTTTTGTAATTTTGGTAGAGATGGGGTTTCACCATGTTGGCCAGGCTGGTCTGAAACTCCTGACCTCAAGTGATACGCCTGCTTTGGCCTCCCAATCTCAGTGGAATTTAGATCTGTCAATTTCTTACTTTTTGTATTTTGAAGCTATGTTATTGAGTGTGTTTGGATTTAGGACTGTGATATCTTTCTGTTGGATTCAGTCCTGATCACATAAAGTGCCCCTCTTTATGTTTGGTAACACTTCTTGCATTACAATCTCTTTTGTCTGATATTAGGATAGCTACCTCAGCTCCCTTGTGGTGAATATTTACATGGTGACTCTTTTTCTATCCTCTCACATTCAATCTATTTCTTATACTTAAAATGTGGTTGTTGTAAGCAACATATATTTTTATCCAGTATTACAGTCTTGGCTTTTTACTTGGGTTATTTAGTTAGTTTATACTAAAACTGATACAGTTGAGTTTATTTCTACTGTCTACCATTGGTTTCTATATGTAGACCTGTTTGTTTTATGTTTCCTTTTTTTCTTACCTTTTTTGATTAATAAAATATTTTTTATTATTCTGTTTTACACCTTCACTAACTTGCCATAGACTTCATTACTGTCTGCTTCCATTTCCTCATTGCTAATCTCTGGCTACCTTCAGTTCTGGATTCCATCAGTTGAAGAGGAAAAGTAACATTCTCCAAGTGCTCAGGGTGAGCAATAGATAGTTTAAGCTTAGAAATGAATGGGCTGGAAGGATAAATAGAGATAAATAGAGATGGAAAATCACATTCCATGAGATACATGGTTTTATAATGGAAGGGGCTGCATTTTCAACAACAGAAAAGAGAAATAATGTCAGTTATTCTAAATATTGTATAGTAAAACTTCCTTGGCTCCAAATGTAGCCATGTTTCCCAATTTTCTTACACTTACAGATACGTCTGTCCTTTGAGAAGAAGTCATGCTATTGACATTCTGAAGTCAAAATTAAGCATCACTCATTATTTAATTGCTTAATTTACTGTAATCCTTGGATGAGTTTAGTAAAAGAAACTGGTATTATCTGATACCTGTTCTATCATCTTTCCTCTTCCTGGCTTTCTTTTTGATTTTATTTATTTATTTATTGAGATAGGGTCTCACTCTGTCACCTGGACTGGAGTGTAGTGGCGCCATCTTGGCTTATTGCAACCTCCATCTCCCAGGTTCAAGTGATTCTTGTGCCTCAGCCTCCCGAGTATCTGGGGTTACAGGCAAGCACCACCATGCCCGGCTAATTTTTGTATTTTTAGTACAGACGGGGTTTCACCATGTTGGCCAGGCTGGTCTCAAACTCCTGACCTCAAATGATCCACCCACCTTGGCCTCCCAAAGTGCTGGGATTACAAGTGTGAGCCACCACGCCCGGCCTCTTTTTGATTTTAAAGGAGGAGTTTTTACTTCTGTGTTTCTAAAGCTAATACTCCCAGCTCCTAGCTACCCTTACCCACCTCCTGTGGAATATCACCTTCACATGTTTTGGCATGTTTGCTATCACTCTTTCTGTTTCTCCTCAGAATATATCTTTTGTCTCTCCTGCCATTTCTAGTTACATGCCGTCTCTTGGGTCTCTTTTCCAAGAGGTTTGTATCCTCTACTTTCATTTTCTATTTACTCCTTTCTTTTTTTTTTTTTTTTTTTTGAGATGGGGTCTTGCTGTGTCATCCAGGCTGGAGTGCAGTGGCGTGATCTCAGCTCACCGCAAGCTCTGCCTCCCAGGTTCACGCCATTCTCCTGTCTCAGCCTCCCAAGTAGCTGGTACTACAGGCACCCGCCACCATGCCTGGCTAATTTTTTGTATTTTTAGTAGAGACGGGGCTTCACCATATTAGTCAGGTTGGTCTCGATCTCCTGATCTCATGATCCATCTGCCTCTGCCTCCCAAAGTGCTGGGATTACAGGCGTGAGCCACTGCGCCCGGCCCACTCATTTCTTTTTTTTTTTTAATTTTTCTCAACAGTTTTAATTTCATCAGGTCATTTAAAAAACGGATGCATATAAACACAAAAAGAGTTCAGATTTTGACTTCCTGCTGGCAGAAACATAAAAAGAAAAAAAAAGAGTTCAAATTTGTATGTTTAAAAAATGGATCCATAATAGTTGAACATATTTATAGAGTACAAGTGAGATTTTGATACATGCATACAATATGTATAGAGCTCAATTTTTCTTTTTAATTAAAAATTTTATTATTTACTCATTTATTTGTTGATGTATTAGCTAGGATATTTTCAGCTACATGTGACAAGAAATCCAACTACTAATGTAGCTTAAATAATGAGGACATTAGTAATCTCACATCACAAGAGTTCAGAAATAGGGCTGTTTGAAAACTGGTGAAGTGTTCAGTGATGACATTCAAGACCCAAGCTCTTTTCATCTTTTAACACAACCATTCTTGGTATATTGGTTTTCATCCACAGCCTTATCTTCTCATGGTTGCAAGATGGCTGTCATAACTCCAGGCATCACACTTCATACAACTATGTCCAAGATGGAAAAAAAAAAGTAGTTTTCTTCTCACATAGTTCTTTTCATCGGGAAGGAAAGCATTTCAAAACCTCCTTATCAAACTTCTATGGGGCCATTTCTCAGAATCAGGTCACATGTCCTGGCTGCAAGGACTGAGAAAATGAGTAGATGGTATTTTAATCCTCTATAGTAAGAGATGGTTTTGGTAGCAAGAAAGTGATATTTTGGAATGTTATACTTTGTGGTAAGAAACCAGTGGTGTTTACCACAATTAACTCTTTAAATTTACCTTCTGGTCTTGAGCTCCAGACTCATATAACCAGTTGCTACTGGAAATTTCCACTAGGAAGACCCACTGATGCCTTAAATTCAATGTATCTGCCCTTTCTCCCTGCCCCTGGCTCTTCTCCATACTCCATTTCAGGGAACAGCACCACCATCTATGCAGTGGTCAAGCCAAGAACCTCGGTGTCATCTTTGCCTCCTCTCTTTCTTATCCTTTTTCATCACCTTATATGATTGCCTCCATCACCTAAAGGCCCCTCACATCCGCCCATTTCTCTCCATCTTTATGTCCTCATTGTCTCTATTCTGTATTGTCCATTTCTGAACCACAAAACAGTGCTTAACTCAGAGCAGTAAGTCAGTTTGTGGGATGAATGTTTCCAAATGGGAAACAAACATTTTAAGGTAAACAATGACTACCATCTTGCCTTATCAATTAGCCTCTTTTCACCCATTTTTTGTTGGGTGGGTGGAAGGCCAGATGCAGCAGGATGGGTTATTGACAGAAGAGAATTATAAAGGATATAAAGTATTTTAACTCTCTGTCTGTCCTATACTAGCCTATGCCTCTCTCCTTGTGCTCTCCTCATATTAAGAAACAGAGGATGTTGTCCGGGAGGTCATAATAACCTAAGTGAGTAAAATTCTGAAAGCCAATTTTCGATTCCCAAGTGTATTGGCTGTCTAGAATTTCCAAGGAACTTGATGGATCAGAGTAATGCAAAAAAGCAGGACCTCAAGCCCCAGGGTTTTATAGCACCTATAAAACATGTTTTACAGTTTCTGTTCAATTTTATGCTGTTAAGCTAAATATTTGACATCATATGGCACTTTAAGCACATTGATTTATGGTAAGTCAGCAACTGCATCTGTAATAAAAAGTCCAAAGTATGGGTTTTAAAAGTAATCTGCTGTATTTATTATTGACATAAACAGTTACCTGCAGTCCATTTGAACATCATCTTAGATTTAACTCATGTATTAAAGATATTATGTTTTCCACTCAGCAAGGTCACCTTCAAGGTGAAAACTGTATGTGGTTGAAAATGAAAAAGATCAAGTGTATAAAGATAAATATTTAAAAAATAAATGATATATAGGATTTCATTTTTGTACACTCCTGATTAATAATCATATTCTGTTTATTTTTTACACCCACCTTCTTCTCCCAATCTCCAACTCCAGAAACCACTAATCTGTTTTCCATCTGTATAATTTTGTTATTTCAAGAATGCAATGTAAATGGAATCACATAGTCTGTAACCTTTTGAGAGTGACTCTTTTTTTTTTCACTCAGCATAATTCCCTTGAAGTCTGTTTACTTTTATGTGGATTGTCTGTCTCATGCTTGTTTCACCAGGGTAGTTACAACTAGGGTGGCATAATTTGACTGATTCAAGAACTACTTCAATATAAATCAAAATAAGAGAGTCTAAATTCTAAGTAATTTTTTAACAGGACAAGATTATTTATAATTATGAGTCCATGGTAATGAGTGAGGAATATTTATTTTTAGACAGTGTTAGAGCAAATATGGACAAAAACGCGCCTAGTTCAACTATGACATAGTTGGCAGCATGATTAAAAGAACCACCAAATTTCCCTAATGCCAGTTTGAGTGTTTTAGTAAACATTTGAGAAGAAAATGCCAAAAATGTTGGAAAATACATAATATTTATTTTGCACGTGCCAAATGTGTATTAATTTATGAACATTTATTGTGTTTACCTTGTGTGTGCATGGTAAGCCCAGAAGTCATGGAAAGACAAAATCTGCATGGGCCAAAGGTATAAATTTGTATTGCCTTTCTTTGACTAGCTAATGTGTTTCTTGCTACTGTTCTTAAGATATTGTATGTGGGTTTATATTTGTTTTCAAAAATAAATGGAAAGTTTGACAAGAGCAATTTCTTTTTAAATACCTCAACAGAAGGAGGTCTGCTGTTTGGGGTTGGTTTATTTTAGGGAGCGTGTTACCAGGCTGTGACACAAGGTCTCCAAGGCCACTCCCAGGTTCAGTGATTCTCTAGGAGGACTCACAGGACTCTGCATAAATCATACTCATGATTACAATTTATTACTGAGAAAGGATACACAGCCAAATCAGCAAAGGGAAAAGGCACATGGACTGAAGTCTGGAGGAAACAAGGTACAAGCTTCTAAGGGTCTTTTCCCAGTTGAGTCACACAGGACACCCTTAACTCCCCAAGCAACAAGCTGCGACAACATGTATGAAATGCTACCAACCAGTGAAGCTCATTAGAGACTCGTGCCCAGGGTTTTCATTGGGGGTGATGACATAGTACTTTCTATCTAGCACATACCCAAATTCCTGGCTCCCAGAAGGAAAGCAGGTGGTCAGCATAAACCATATTATTTGTACAAATAGTTCAGGCACAATGAGCCACTCTTATCTACTAATGGAGGGAATCCTCCCCAAATCTAAGTTCCCAGATGCCAGACAAGAGCCAGCCTTGGAAGCTGGTCTTTTCAAGGATAGCAGCTTAGGCCTGCTGTGTAAGTCTTTTCTGTACATAAGCATATTTAGTGTAATGCCTTAGCCTATCAATTTGATCTCCATCTCTCTGACTCCTTTGTCTTTGAACTCAAGTGAATAAGGGAAAAGTGTTATTTATTTATTTATTTTGTTGCCTAGGCTGGAGTGCAATGGTGTGATCTCACCTCACTGTAATCTCCATTCCCCCGGGTTCAAAAGATTTTCCTGCCTCTACTTGCCAAGAAGCTGGGATTCCAGGCATGCACCACGATGCCTAGCTAATTTTTGTACTTTTAGTAGAAATGGGTTCTTGCCATGTTGACCAGGCTGGTCTTGAACTCCTGACCTCCAGTGATCTGCTTGCCTTGGCCTCCCAAAGTGCTGGGATTACAGGTATGAGCCACTGCACCCAACCAAATGTTACTTATTGACCCTCAGCTAAATATTATGGCAGGGACAAATGAACAAGAGAGTGGTTAGGCAAGTAGGCCTCTTTCTCCAAGCATGAGAATAAAAGAAAACAGCAACAACCCAACAACAAACACCAACAAATTAAAACTTTATTATTAAGGATAGTGTCTGAAAAATGGATTTGCTTCACTATCCTTATTGACAAAGTCTATGTTGTGGCTTGAGATATTGATATTGCTGTATGGAATACCTCAATTAAGAAATGTATAATATTGTTTATTTCATTTAAGACTGTCATCTTTTATAATTTTCACATGTGTGTGAATGGGTGTGTATGTCTGCATGCCTGATCATTACTATAAGATACTGGTACTGTGGTAGATGTATACCTTTTGAAACTAAATAAATATACATGTTTTAGAGCTGTGTGCTCAAAACTGCTTTACTAATAGGGGTTTAGCAACCATTGTCTTTGCATCATGTAATTTCAAAACTGGAAGGAATCTAGAGACCTAGTTAAACTCCTTCATTTTACAAATAAAGAAATTGATACCTAGGAAGGTGAAGCTGATTTGTACAAGATGACACAGAAGTTAGTGATAGGGCCAGGCTAGAACTTGGATAATCCTTGAGCCAGGCAGGAATGTTTAACAAAATCTGGTAGGCCTTGGGAGCCACAGTTCTTTTGGGAGAAGAAATGAATGAGTCACCTTTCTCCTTGCCTCTGTTCCTCCTGTGTCATCTTGCTTCTGAAGTCTTCCTCCTCCTTTTCTTCTCTAGGAGGACTGGGCTCCCACAGTTTGCCTCACCTGGAGAGGGATGAGGGAGATTTATGCCCCATTCTGTCTCTGTGGGAGAATTTCACCTTGGAGTGTGCCTGAGACATTGCTAATTGAATATTGGCTGGGACAATGATTGCTCAAAACTGTGCCATGAGTGCATTCATTGTTATACATTTTACTCTTTTTCAAGTATGTAGGCTGAAATTGGAGAGAGCTTAAATTAGTTTGGAGTCTCAGTGTTATAATAATCCCTCATGTTTTCACAGGGCTCACCCAGTTGTACAGTTCTTTTCCTTTACATAGTTTCAATTGGTATTGTTTACAAGCACTCAATTTTGGGATCATTTGTAACCAGAAAACAATGAATAAAATAATGAATTATATTTTACAGCGGCAAAAATCAAGACGCAGGGACATTAAATGATGGCATGTCAGAACAAAGTGCCAAGCAAAGGCTTCAGATTTTTTCCCTCCGCTATACCACAATACTATGATTCTGCATTGTTACTCAGGCCACATACTGTACAGAACCTTATGTAAATTATGGAGGCTTGATTCCAAGTTAATTATTTCAACTACCCCATCTGTAATTTTAGTTTGAATTTACATATGATATTAATATACTATAAACCTCCTCTGTAGAATTTAAAGAGTGTATTCTAAAAAAATTATATGACATGTCAAAGGACATAGAAGAGTCAAAACAGTTTTTGAAGAAGGAGAACCAAGTGGGAGAATTTATATACCTAATTTTAAGATGGACAAAAAAGCTACATTAATCAAAACATGCGGAATTGGCATAAGGATAGACACAAAGACCAATGGAATACAATAGAGAGTCTAGAAGTAGACCCATAAATATATTTTCAATTAATTTTTTACATAAGGTAATTCAGAGGGGGAAAAGATTGTATCTCTAACAAATGATATAGGAGCAACTGGATGTCTAAAAAAGAAATTAAAGGACCTTGACCTTTAGTCACACCATATACAGAAGTTAACTGGATCATATAATTAAATATAGAAGCTAAAATCGTAAAACTTACAAAGCACAAGGGAAAAGTTTTGTGACCTTAAGTTAGGGAAGACTGTCTTAGATAAGACACAAGAACACAGAAATAATAAGAAAAAGGTTAATTGGACTTCATTGAAATTATAAACATAAAATCTTCAAGAATAGAAGATGAGGTTTCTGGAATGGTAGTATGAGTCACTGACAGAAACGAAAGGAGAGATAAATAATTCAACAATGTAATTGGACACTTCAATACCCTACTTGCAATAATGGATAGAAGAGCTAGGCATAAAATCAAGAAGGATAGGAAGACATGAAAACCTCGGAAAACTATAAATCAAAGACACCTAACAGATATCTATTCAGTACTTTACCCAACAACAGCAGAATACCCATTCTTCTCAAGCACACACGGAACATTCTGTAGGACAGACCATATGGTAGGCCACAAGGAAAGCTTCAATGAATTGAAAAGGATTTAAATAATATAAAGTATGTCTTCTGATCAGAAATAACAGAAGAAAATTTAGGAAATTCATAAATATATGGAAATTAAAGAACACATTTCTAAATAACTAATGGGTCAAATAATAAATCACAAGGGAAATTAGGAAATGTTTTGAAATGAATAAACACAAAATACAGAATACTAACATTTATATGATACAACTAAAGTAATGTTTACAGGAAAATTTATAACTAAATGCCTATGTTTAAAAAGAAAAAAATACTATATCAATAACCTAATGTTATACCTCAGGAAATTAGAAAAAAGAAAAAGAAACTAGACACAAAGCAAGCAAGAAGGAGAGAAGTAATAAAAGTTAGCATGAAAATAAATGGAATAGGGAACAGAAAAACCATAGAGAAAATCTACAAAACCAAAAGTTGGTTCTTGAATCAACAAAATTGACAAAGTTTTATCCAGATTGACCACCACCACCAACAACAAAGAGAAGACTCAAATGGCCAAAACTCAAGAATAAAAGAGGGGTTATAACTACCAATATTATTAGTCACTGGAGAAATACAAAGTAAAACTACCATGAGATACTACTATACTTCTATCAGAATGGCTAAAATCAAAATGTAAAAAACCTGACAATACAATGTTGATGAGGCTATAGAGCAACTGGTGGGAATGCAAAAAGCCAAAGCCAGTTTTCATGGCAGTTGGCAGTTTCTTAAAAAGTTAAACATGCACTTACAGAAATTGACAAGTTGATCCTAAAGTTCATATGGAAATGTAAGGGACCTCAAATAGCTAAAACAATCCTGAGAAATAAGCACACAACTCAGTAATCCTACTCACAGGTATTCACTCAAGAAAAATAAAAACATAAGTTCTCAAGAAGACTGTACATGAATGTCCTAGCAGCTGCGATAGTCTGAATGTTTGTATCCCTCCTCAGATTCATATGCTGAAACCTATTCCCCAATGCAATAGTACTAAGAAGTGTAGCTTTTAGGAGGTCATTAGGTCATGAGGGTGGAGCACTCATGAATGGGATTAGTGCCTTTATAAAAGAGGATGGAAGGAGCCTGTTCACCCGTTTGTCATGTGAGGACACAAGAAGGTGCCATCTATGAGGCAGACAAGGAGCCCCCACTAGATGTTGAATCTGCTGGTGCTTTGATTTTGAACTTCACAGTCCCCAGAACTCTGAGCAATAAGTTGCTGTTTATAAATTACACAGTCTAAGGTATTTTATTATAGTAGCCTGAAAGGACTAAGACAGCAGTTTTATTCATAGTAGCCCAAACTGGAAGGGGACTCAAGTGTTCATCAACAGGTGAATGGACAAATTGCTCTATACCCATTGAGTGGAATCCTACTCAACAATAAAAACAAACTACGGATGTACACAAGATTCATTATGAAATTCATTGATAAATTTCAAATGATTTATGCTAAGCGAAAGAAGACAAACACAAAAGACTACATACTCTATGAATCCACTTATATGAAAATCTAGAGAGAGCAAAACTATAATGAAGAAAACCAGATCAGTAGATGACAATAGTGTTCACTACTACTACCTATGTGCAATTAGTATACAATATATATATGAAATATATAAAAATATATGAAATATATATAATAATTGCAATGTGGCAGCAGACTATAATGGCAATGGGCCCTTAGGAAATCTTAACTGATTTTCCATTTCAGCTTTTGAAAAATTATCAAAATTCTACGCAAAATACTATTCCTCTCAAATAACTATGAGTGATTTATCTGGGCAACTCCTACATTCAAGGTTGCTAGGAAGACTCAGTGAAATGGAAGGAAATGGTGTGGTAACTCTTCCAAGCCTCTACTATCCATACAATTTATTCTTCCCTTTAAAAAAATAGTCTAATATTCACAGAGAAAACTTCAAAATCCCTCTCTCTATAACAGAAAAGACAAGGCCAGAAAATTTAAGATGCTCAAGTTAGAAACACACAATAGCCACAGGGCCTCACAAACACAATGCCAAGGCCAGTCCTATGGTTATAAGTGATTAGAAACAAACATTTAGCAATCACAGTGGAAGGAAGAGGGCACTTCCAGGAACTCCCTTGTGAGGACTGCCCTTCAGGTGACCTTGGAAGAAGAGCATAACCAAGAACTCAGGACCATCTTGCAACTGGAATAAGGGCTGTACAACCCAAGCAGGCCTGTGCCAATGGGTGGTAACATGTGGCAGAACTTCCACAGCGCAGAGAGAAAAATATAGAATGGATATAATTTCTTAGCCACCCCTGGCTAAGGGTAACATAAGGATAAATTTAACTGTTGATATAATGACTCTATGTGTATCTTTTGTCATCAGTTTTATTAGTCATACTCATGTTTAATAAATATTGAACTTATTCCAGAATGGGGAGTTTGGTTATTTGCAATTAAACTTTTGTGGTTTTTGTTAAGACTCTTAAAACTTTTTTTTTGATGTATCCTAATGTTTTTCTGCTGAGACTCTACTGTTAAAACATCTATTTAAAAATATAATCTATATGATATTTAATTAATTTTAATAACAAATGAGTGATATTGATGACAAATAACACAGCTGTAATCTGTGAACTTAACCTTTTCTTTCTTTTTTATTTGAAAATTACCTGCTTTTTGAAACAAACTAATGAAAATTAAAGATGTACAGTTTAATACCTTAGATTTTCTGTCCTTTAATCCATGAAGTAATTAATTAAAGGATTCTCTGGCCCTCACATTTTTTCTCTTAATGCATCAGTGCTTTCAGAATTCTTTTAAAGATCATTTTTTGGAAGGTAGTATTAGGAGAAGGACTGCAAGACCTTAGCTAAGACATTTGCATTTTGTGATTGGAGACTGTTCTAAGTGAAAAAGTCATTGCCCTCAGCTAGAGAGGGGTCTGTAGGAGCATAGGTAGAACCTCTCTCTTGTTCTCTGGACCTGTGTAGGGCATTTCATCAAAGCGTAAAAATGACAAGCTGTTAATATTTACATATATCAAAGAGCCACATGGTTATGGCTAGTTCTTATTGCCATGAATTTTGTTCCTAACTTAGATAATTTTAGTTATCAGATCAAAACCACCATACACTTTGTTTAAATCAGAACATGCTGAATTGGTTTTCTTTACCCCTTCAAAAAGCTCCCTCCTGTTAAGCATATTATTGATGGGCTTTCGAAAAATGACTTTTAGCTTTACAAAGTCATTTTTAGCGAAAAAATAAAAAAGGACTCAACCCCAGGAATCTCCTGCCTCATTTATCTAATGAGCACATGGAGTGGATTTTAAAAGAGAGTTATTGTCCTAAAATATAGGAACAGAGATGTACTAGAATTTATCTCTTAAAGTAGCACTTGAGTGACATCCACTGGCCAGACAGCTTTGTTGGCTGTGTGAGAGAGATGTTACCTCTGATAAGTGTCAAATAAGAGAACATTTGAAGACAGATACTCTTAATAGTTGTACATAAATGTCCAAAAAGCAAATGATTTCTACCTTTAAAAATTTATATCCACTACTGTAGACAGATCTTCATGCTATTTCTGGAAATCTATGCCACATGTCTCAGTTTAAATGGCAAAAAAATTCAAAAGCTTAACAATACAATTTCTTGGTCAGACTGGGGAAAATAGTTTTTTTTTTTTTTTTTTTTTGGCAGGGTGTCACTTTGTCATCCAGGCTAGAGTGAAGTGGTGTGATCATGGTTCACTGTAGCTCCAACCTCCCAGGCTCAAGTGATCCTCCTGCTTCAGCCTCCCAAGTAGTTGGGACTACAGGCTTGTACCACTATGCCTGGCTAATTTTAAAATTTTATGTAGAGAAGGGGGTCTCACTATGTTGCTCAGGCTGGTCTCCAACTCCTGGGCTCAAGTGATCCTTCAGCCTTGGCCTCCCAAAGTGCTGGAACTACAGGCATGCGCCACTGTGCCTCGCCAAAAATAGGTATTTTCATAATGTGAAATGCTACAACCCTTTAAAAGGAAATTTGGCAATACCTAACAAAACCATATATGCATTTATCCTTTGGTTCAGCAATTCCACTTTAGCCTGAAGACACACTTCCACCAACATAAAAATATATATTTACAAGATTGCTTATTGCAACATGAATTGGCAATCACAAAATATTGGTAACCTACTAAATACACAAATATAGAAGGGTGGTTGAAGAAACTATAGTATTAATACATACACACAATGCAGTACCATGCAGGTGTAAGAAAGAGAACAAGGAAAACCTGTATGAACTGATATGGTGAAATTCTCAGGACATATTGTTGGGCAGACAGAGAGATAACTTTTAACAGCTGACATCCATATCAGTGCTGTTTTTTGACCTAATCCAGTCATCATTTAAGTTTTTAGTACTAGAAATTTCAGGTGAATCAGGAATGGTAGAGGTGGGTGGGGAAGGTATTTTGAGCCAGGTACAACATCTATCTTTGGCTTCCACATGCCAGCCGTTCCTACATATTAATGTAGTCTATTTGGGGACTCGGGGGTCAGGTCACTTATCTGATGTGTATATACATAGATGGATAGATAAGAGACCCAAAGCAGATAATAAATACATGTGTTTGGGTTTAAGGTATATGAATTGAACCAGACACGGACTCTGCCATCTTGCAATATTCACAGACAAGTCATGCTTGAGTCTGGTAATTTCATTCACTCCAAGATTTCACACTGATCTGTTCACATGGGTGTGTGTTGATTTACATTTCTGCCTTATTTTCAGTAGTCCCTCATTGGCCTGAAAGGCTGAGTTGGTATCGTGTGGGAAAACCCTACTACTTTCCAAATTGTAAAATTTGTCCTGCTTCTGTAGAGTAATGCTCACGTTTCCCTTACCATTGCTTTTATCCCAGTGGGCTTATTTTTATTTTTTATTTTTCTTATCTTGTTCTCTTTCCTCTTCTCACTTTGAATTTCAAAGTTATCTTTGTTGCATTTATTTATTCTATTAAGATGTAGGGGCTCGTAAAAATTTCCATTAAAAAAACAGAAAGCAAAAAACAGTAGACTGGCACAGAAGAAGCCACGTGTGCTGCGTAACTGGAGGAAAAACCGTTTTTTCCTGAGATGTCTCTCTGACGCCATCTACTGACAAAGCTGAACATCATGCCAGCTGGCAAAGGAAAAATATTTTAAACAGTCTGAAAAGAATGAACTCGGACCCGAGACAGTAAATTCATAACCTGCAAGGGAAGTGCTCATATATACTTCACATAGCAATTCCTTCAACAGGTTAGTTAATTTTTTCATAAAATATGTTCTCATCTTTTGTCTTTCTCCTTCTCAATATGTAATTCACAAGTATGTGCACATTATTTTTTATTATTTATTTATTTATTTATTTGAGATGGATTTTCACTCTTGTTGCCCGGGCTGGAGTGCAATGGTGCAATCTCAGCTCACTGCAGCCTCTGCCTCCTGGGTTCAAGAGATTCTCCTGCCTCAGCAACCCAAGTAGCTGGGATTACAGGCATGCACCACCACACCTGGCTAATTTTGTATTTTTTTAGTAGAAATGGAGTTTCACCATGTTGGCCAGGCTAGTCTCAAACTCTTGACTTCAGGTGATCCACCTGCCTCAGCCTCCCAAAGTGCTGGGATTGCAGGTGTGAGGCACAGAGCCCAGCTGCACATTATTTTTTACTGCTTAATTTCTATATATTTTTTCTTGTACCAAGCTAGAGGGATCCTTTAACATTTTTTTCAATTAGAAGAATATACTATCACCTGTTCTTTCCTGACTCCCTTCACTTCTTGTGAGGAAGGAAAAATACAGCGAGTATGTTTTTACAATTGAAGACAAATAAATGTATAGATAGGTAGACGTATGGATGAATACATAGTTGGATACATACACAAAGAGAAAGAAAATAGAAACAGATTAAGAGAAGAATGCATGAACAAACAAAACATAGAGGCATACATTTATCAAAAATTGAATACTGTAGGACATAAATGTATTCATTGGCATTCGAAATTTGGGGCATTTTAGGATCACATTTCATCCAAGGCGTGGTACCTGTCTTTGTTCCCAACCCGCGAGTCCCTCTCCTCTTGATCCTAACATACCAGTTTAGTATCTTTGGGGGTAGATCATTTATCTCTATTTAATTAGTTTTCAAAACAGATGATAAGAATGTGCCTGTCTGGAGGTCTGTATAAAAGGAACTTTTTTTACTGTCTAATCTTTGTTCAGTCGTTAATTTGTATTGAAATTCCAGGGAATTATTTATTCTGCTCCTTCAGAACTCAAGTTTGCTATAAACAAATGAGGAAAACAGCAAATTATTTCCTTGGAACTGAATAAAAATAAATGTAAATGATTCCTACGCGTTTTGATGTACAAAAGTAGTCCTACCTTATCCATGGTTTTGGTTATCTGCAGTCAACCTCAGTTCAGAAGAATGAAATGGAAAATTCCAGAAGCAAATAATTCATACGTTTTAAATTACATGCCATACCGCGTATCATCATGATTTCCCAGTATGAAATCATCCCTTTGCCCAGTGCATCCACTGTTTCCACACTCCCCGCCAGTGAGTCACTTGGTAGCTGTCTCAGTTATCAGATCAACTGTTGCAGCATCGTAGTGCTTGTGTTCAAGTAATCCTTATTTTAATAAAAATGCCTCCAAAGTGCAAGAGTAGAGATGATGGCAATTCGGATATGTGAAAAAGAAGCCATAAAGTGTTTCCTTTAAGTGAAAAGGTGAAAGTCTTCGACTTAATAAGGAAAGAAAAAAAATCGTATGCTGGGGTTGCTAAGATCTATGATAAGAATGAATCTTCTCTTTGTGAAATTGTGAAGAAGAAAAAAGAAATTCATGCTAGTTTTGCTGTTGCATCTCAAACTGCAAAAATTATGGCCATCCATTGTGTGCCAAGTGCTTAGTTAAATGGAAAAGGTATTACATTTATTGGTGGAAGACATGAAGAGAAAATGTGTTCTGATTGATGGCAATGTTAGGCCAAAAAGCATTCAGCTACATGAAGACTTCAGCAAGGGATCCCCTAAAACTAGTGACATCAAGCCATTTACTGCAAGTAAGGGATGGTTAAACGGATTCAGGAGTACAGAAGGTCAATGGTAGCTTATTGCTGTCACAATGACTACATCATTCACCTCACTTCATCTCATCATGTAGGCAGTGTATCATCTTGCATCAACATAAGAAAATATGTACAATACAATATTTGGGAGAGAGGCCACATTCACATAACTCTTTTTACAGTGTATCATTACAGTTGTTCTATGTTATTATTAGTTATTATTGTTAATCTCTTACTATGTTTAATATATAAATTAAACTTTATTATAGGTATGTATGTATAGGAAAAAAAACATAGTTTACATAGGAGTTCGGTACACTCCATGGTTTCAGGCATCTACCTGGGGAGTCTTGGAAAGTGTTCCCCCAGGATAAGGCGGGGGCTAGTGTACAATAAAAAGCAGTATTTATTAAGCACATAAACATTCTTTCAGATCTATTATTCATTTATTTAAATTTGTAAACATTTATAGGGTACAGGTGCAATTCTGTTACATGCATAGATCATGCAGTGGTCAAGTCAGGGCTTTTAAGGGTATTCATCACCCAAATAATGTACATTGTACCCATTAAGTAATTTCTCAGTACAGAATTTCTCACATTCACCCTCCCAACCCTTCACCCTTCTGAGTCTCTACCATCTATCATTCCACTCTCTATGGCCATGTGTTCACATTTTTTAGCAGTCACTTAGGAGTGAGAACATGAACTCCCTAGACCTCTCAGTGGACACTTTCCTGCTATCTTGGCCACTAGTTTTGCCAGTTAGGCTCTAAAATATAAGGACAGCCTTAGACTCCTAGAGTACATATTTTTCTTTTAAAATTGGTACTTCATTTACATAATAATACAAAAACTTTTCATTCCTGTGATTACATAAGTCAGCATAAACTATTTTTCATGAGTCACTATATGGAAGTAAACCAACGTCTAATCCCATGATCCAAATCAACGCAGTTATTTTCACCAGACTTCAAAGGCTGTCTTTGCACATCTTCTATGTAGAGTTGGATGAAGCTAATATAGAAGTTGAGAGAGTCAGAATCTCTTTCTAAGGCCTTTGTATATGATGTTGTTTTTGCCTGAAATGCCCTTACTCTGCCCCTCCAACCCCCACTCCCAGTCTTCTTCATTCTTCAAGATCAAGCTCATTTTTCACTGCTTCTGGGCTCCCAAGCAGAACCAGACACTCCTCTCTTGTCCCATACTAGAAACCTGCACTGCTGGTGGGGAGAGGTGGGGGTGGGGGTAGACCGGGGAGACAAAAGAAGGCATTGAAGGGGTTTACATCTTGGCTTCCAATATGAAGGATGAAGATAAAGAGAATGTTTTGGCTCACACAGCACTCAGGAGTTGTAGGAAGTAAATGCACATGAAGACTGAATCCAGAACTTGGATTTTTAGGAGTTACCCTATTCTCTTTTCTGTCTGTGTGGCTAACTTTGCTCCAGAGGCTGCAACCACCCCCACACCTGTGAAACCAGGCTGGTCAGTCTAGTGACCTTGTGTCCAAGATGATAAAGCCTATACTTACACCCCAAATTGCTTTCACTTTCCCATCACTTGATAATTATAAAATAAGTGCAATTTGTTTGGCTAATAATAGGTCAACACAGTTAGAATGAGCAAGTTCATTGTGGACAGGAACAGGTTTTTCCACAGCAGTAAGCTTCCTTTGTTACACCACTAGGTGGTGTAACGTGCTCCTGATTTAAGGGATTCACTTATTAAGCAGTTTTCAAGCTGGCCCTGTTCTAGATGTTTGAGATACAAAGATGCACAAGACTCTTAGGAGGTCAAAGTGTGGTGTATATAGTTTCAGATTTACAGAAAAGTTGTAAGGCTAGTAAAAAGAGTTCCCACATACCTCTACCCAGACACCTGAAATGGCAACATTTTACCATGTTTGTTTTATTCTCTCTCCATATACATATATATCTAATATATGTACATGTCCTTTGACTTCTAAATATCTCAGTATGTGTTTTCTAAAAACAAGTTCCTCCTCCTCCTCCTCCTCTTCTTCTTCTTCGTCTTCGTCTTCGTCGTCTTCGTCTTCGTCTTTTCTGAATTTTGCTCTTGTTGCCCAGGCTGGGGTGCAATGGCTTGATCTCAGCTCACGGCAACCTCCGCCTCCTGGTTTGAAGCGATTCTCCTGCCTCAGCCTCCCGAGTAGCTGGGATTACAGCTATGCGCCTCCACACCCGGCTAATTTTGTATTTTTGGTAGAGATGGGGTTTCTCCATGTTGGTCAGGCTGGTCTTGAACTGACCTCAGGTGATCCATCCGCCCTCCTTGGCCTCCCAAAGTGCTGGGATTACAGGAGTGAGCCACCACGCCCGGCCACAGGTACCTTCTTTTATAACCACAGTCCAGTAGTCAAAATCAGAAAATAAATGCTGACAGAATACAAATTACTTACAGAACTTAGATTTTGTCAACTGTCCCAATAATGTTCCCTATAGCCAAAGAAATCCTGGATCATGTGTTGCATTCAGCTGTTATGTCTCTGGAGTCTTCTTTAATCAGGGCAGTTCCTTAGTCTTTTATGACACTGAGAAATCAGGCCAGTTATTTTGTATAATATCCTTCAATTTGGGTTTGTTTGATGTTTCCTTATGCTGAGATTTAGGTATGATGAGCTTTTGTTAGGTAAATCACAGAGTTTTGTGTTTTCAGTTTCAGTGCATATCTGGGGGCACATAATGTCACTTTGTTCCAATACTGGTAGTATTAACTATGATCACTTGGTTCACGTATGTGGGCCAGGCTTCTGCACTATTTTTTCCTTTGTCATTAATAAATCTCTGGTGAGGAGCTACTTTGAGATTATGCATATATCCTTTACACTTCAAACTTTTATCCACTAATTTTAGTAACTACTGATTCTTGCCTGGATCAGATATTATGATGATGCCTAGCAAACAGTGGTTTTATATTTCCATCATTCCTTCTACATGTATTGATTGGCTTTCTATTACAAGGAAGAGCATTCCTTTCTCTTCTGTTTGTTTAATATTTATCCCAGGTCTAAGGGAAGAATGTACACTATCTTCACTGCCATTTAACATTGAACTGGAGATACTCACTACTGCAGTTAGTAAAGAGAAATCAATTGAAGGCAGGAGAACTAGAAAAGAGTGAGTAAAACTCTTTGTCTTTGCAGATGGTATGACAGTACACCTGGAATATCACAGAAAATTAACAGCAAAACTAAGTCAAACTAGAGAAGAATTCAATAAGTTGGCAGGACATAAACTTAACATACATAAATCAACAGCCTTCACATACATAATCAGTAACATGACATAAAGGTAGAGAAAACTACATTTACAAAAGCAACAAAGAATAATAAATTTAACAAGAAATTTGTAAAATATATATGAAGAAAACTTTAAAACACTCTCAAAAGACATGAAATAGTTTGAAAAACTGGAACACCACTTTTTTTTTTTGTATGTGATGACTTAACATTAAAAACTAAAGTCTCCTTAAGTTAATTTTCAAAGTTCATTAAAAAAATACCAGTTTTCTTATGGAGCTAGGCAAGCTGATACTAATTTCAGGTGGAAAAATATGGAAGAATATCCAGGAAAACAAAAATAAAAGCTATGAAAGGGGACTACATCTACCAGTCACTAAAACATATTCTAAGGCCTCTAAAATAAAAACAGTGGTCCTTGTGCATGACAAGAAAGAGCAGTACAACCGAAAAGAAAGTCCAGAAGTAAACCCAAATACATATGGGAATTTAGTATGCAATAAAGGTGGCATCTCAAATCACTTGGACAAAGATGGACTTAACAATTGGTTAGCCATTTAGAAAAAGATAAAAAGTTTGATCCATACCTCATACTAGGCAAAAGAATAAACTCCAAATGGGTCAGGAATCTAAATCTAAATAATGAAACCATACAAGTACTAGAAAAAAAAATGGGTGAATTCTTCTTTAACCTGGGTACAAGGAAAGGATTTCTAATTATGTTTCAAAATCCAGATGCAATAAAAGAAAAAATTGATAAATTTGACTATATTCTAAAAAAAACCCTTTTCATGACAAAACAAATAAGCCAAAAACTTCATAAAGACAAAAGACAACTGTGAAACTGGGAGAAAAAGGGTAATACCCCATTAATGTACTGTTAAAATTGAGACGAAAGACTTCTTTTGTGCTTAGGATATGAAAAGCTGCAATGAACATCTTTCCTTTCTCAATAATGAGAAAAACTCAGATGAACTACAAAGTCACAACCTTAACTGAAACCATCAGACACAGCTGGGTTGCAAGGTAACCAGGTAGCCTGAACTCCTGGGAAGGGCAAGCCCCCAAGGAGAAGTTCTCAGGCATGCACAGGGGAGTTGGCACTGACTAAAAAGCTCTTTCCTGTGTCCTTCTCTGGATGCTCAGTTTGGTGGGTACATTACCTTTTTACCTTTTTTTTTTCTGTAGGTTTCACATTTCTATAATAATTTTTTGAAGCCCTGAGAATTAAAGCAAGTTTCCACACTCCTAGAACCAGTTTTAAACCCATTCAATTAATCAACTGCCTCAGTAAAACTTGTTTTGAAAAACCCCTCCTTTCTCAAAGTCAGCCAATGACAGGTTCACTCCAATAAATTCAGTGGAGAATTAATAACAGTCTTACCAGAATATCTACTCTTCTACAGGTGATGGCAAACCCTTTTGCCTCTGAAATGCACCTATTCCTGAACTCTGTATTCCCCAAAGCTCCATAGAGCATCAGCAGCCAGCTCTGCTTGGGGAGACTGTGCCGACCCAGCATAGCTTTTCCTTATTAGAGTACACAGTAAATCCAGTTTCGTTGCTTTTTTTTATTTTTATTTTTTTTGAGGCAGGGTCTTGCTATGTCACACAGGCTGGAGTGCAGTGGTGCAATCACGGCTGACTGCAGCTTCTATTTCCTGGGCTCAAGTGATTCTCCCACCTCAGCTGGGGCTACAGGCGCATGTCACCACACCTGGCTAAGTTTTGTATTTTTGGAGAGATGAGGTTTCGCCATGTTGCCCAGGCTGGTCTCCAATTCCTGAGTATAAGCAATATCCCCACCTCAGCCTCCCAGAGTGTTGGGTTTCCAGGTGTGAACCACGGTGCCTGGCCCAGTTTTGTTTCTTTTAGTTCAAATATTGATGGTTGACTCATAATTCCTTGACAAACCAAAGCTCCAAACTAACTAAAAAGATCATTTTGATTGTTGTGCGGGCAACATATCATAGAAATGCAACAACGGAAGTAGAGAGACCAATTGAGGCTGTTGAAAATCTTGCGTGAGAAGCAAACCCCTGGAGTTATAAAATAAAAAGAGAGTTTGGCATTAGAAACTATATGGAAATATTACCGTAAACAGAGTCAAAATAAATATATGCAGCTCCTATCAGCAACAAAGAGCCTATTTAATCAATAAGAAAAAGCCTCAATAATTCATCTGGAAAAATAAGCAAAGGATATGAAGATTATTCCTAGAACAAATATAAGTGGCTGTTAATCACATAAAAGAGGTTCAATATTCCTCAATATAATAGAAATATAAATTGAGACTGCACTATGATAGCAAATTTTCACTGATCATATTTGCAAAGACCAAAAATCTGGTAACAAGCTTGATTAGGATGGTGTGGCAAACAGACTGTTTCCAAGATCGTCCTCAAGAATAAGAACAATTTCTAGGCCACACTGCTGGGCTGAAAGGAAGAAAAACAACTGTGTGTAGTAACTCTGGAAGGATGCAAAATAATCTGATAATGATGATTACTTCCCAAGAGTACTGGGTATAGGGAGGCAGGAAAGACTCGCTTTGAACTTTATTCTCTTTGGTACTGTTTGAATGATATACACCAGATGTATCTCTCATCAAAATTAAGCAAAATAAAACAATTTAAAGAGTCTGTTGTGATTGTCTGGGAGAGATCATTCTGGTAAGAGGAGTAGTGATGGAGAACATGCACAATGAGGGTATATTTTGGAAGAGAGTTGACAAGACATGCTGAGGGAGTAGATGTAGGAGATGAAGTAAGCCATCAAGGATGACTGCTAGACTTGCGGATAGCAAGTGGTAGAGAGATGTCCCATTTACTTTGCTAAGGAACACTTAGGGAGGAATAGGTATAGCATGGGTGAGAGAACTCAAGGATTCTGTTTTAAATGTGATAAGTTTGAGATGCCTATTAGTCATCCACATCATCCACGTGATATCAAATAAACAGTTGGAATGGTAGTCTTAGGCTGAAGAAAGGAGTCTGGAATGAAGGTATTTTAGAGGCAACAGCATATAAATCCACACTGATAAACAGAAATACAATGTAAGCCACATAGGTAATTTTACATTTTCTAGCAGCCACATAAAAAGTAAAAATGGGTGGAATTAGTTTACACACACACATATATATATATAAACTAAAATAAAATTATATATATATAATTTTTTTTTTGAGATGGAGTCTCCCTCTGTCACCAGGCTGGAGTGCAGTGGCGCGATCTCGGCTCACTGCAACCTCTGCCTCCCGGGTTCAAGTGATTCTCCTGTCTCAGCCTCCTGAGTAGCTGGGACTACAGGCGGGTGCCACTACGCCCAGCTAAATTTTGTATTTTTAGTAGAGATGGGGTTTCACCATGTTGGCCAGGATGGTCTCGATCTCTTGACCTCAGGTGATCCACCCACCTCGGCCTCCCAAAGTGCTGGGATTACAGGCGTGAGTCACTGTGCCCGGCCAGTTTTAATATATATACATTTAACCTAATATCTGCAAAATATTATTTCAACATGTAATCAGTATTCAAATTAGGAGGTTATTCTATTTTTCATACAAGTCTTTGAAATCTGGTGTGTATTTTATACGTATTGCACATCTCCTTTCCAACTATCCACATTACAAATGATCAACAGCCACACATGGCTACCTACTGGACAGCAGAGGGAGGGTATTTAAAGTTATGGGAATGGATGAGTGGAAGAGAGCTCAGGAATGGGTCTTGCATCATTGAACATCTAGATTTTGAATAGAAGAGGAGGAGCTGACAAATGAGACAGCAAATGAGATAGGCCAGCAAAGTGGGAGGAACACAAGGCAAGTATGGTGCCAAGGAGGCTAAAAAGGAGTGGCTGTCAATTCCATCAATTGATAGAAGTTGAGTAAGATGACAGAGAAGTGACTAATGTATTTGGAAAGATGGAGTTATTACTCCTCTCGGCAAGACAGTTTTATTAGATCGGGAGCTCCTCCACTGGAGCTGAAGAGAGAATGGACTGTGAAAGTGGAGATATGTATAGACATCTCAAAGGCAGCACCTGATCCTTGACACTCTCTCCTACCTCCTTCTCTCTCTAAATTTTGATCTCTATTGGCGGCCCAAGCTAGAAATCTGGGAGACACTCTCAAGTCTTTCCTCTCTTTCAGATCGCATAGGCTATTATTTACAGTTATTCCCATTTTACCTCCTAAATAATTACTGATTTTCTTCTGTGCCATTCCTGCTTTTTATTGCTAACAGGCCCTCGTCATCTCTAATCGTTACGACTGCAGCATCTTCCTAATAATCCTCACAGTTTTCAGCCTCTAGCTTTGACGCCCTCAAAATTCTGTTAGTAAAGCCTGAGGGCTCCCAGAAAGCGACGATGGTGCTGTGCTGGCAGACCGAATGTTTTTTAAAACACAAAGCTTGCAGTCCTGCTGCTGTGCTCAAAATCCTTGCATGGCTCTTCTTGAAACAGGTTTAGTGTTTCTACTCGAGTTCCTTCTCTGTCGTTCAACACAAACACATACACACCCAGTTCTGTTTCACGCTTTTGTCTTTATTATCCCTCGTAACTGCCCGCCCTGCAACCAACCCGCTCAAACAAGCACCCTGACTGGCGCATTCTTACTCATTCTAGCCTGGGTTTCAACTTCAAGGAGCTTCAGCGCCCCTCACTCCCTTGCCCTGAAAGCTGGCTAAACTACGCACCTTTTCTCCCCTTTTGAAATGACCTTTCCAGATATTTCTATGGAATTCAGTGCCATTTTCTGCCGCTGTTCTCACCACATTCATTCATCATGTTTAGTTTTAAAAGTACCAGATTCTGTCGATTTCTCCAACTGAACTCTGAAATCTTTGAGGTCAGGGAGCTTGCCTCATTCTATTTTGTATTCCCAGTACGTGACACATGGCTGGACACACCAGAAATTGTCCGATCAAGTTTGTGGGTATTAAGAGTGGTCAAAGACGCTGGGGAGGGCAGTGCTGGGAGAAGGGCAGCGCGCGTCTTGGCGACCCCAGCGCAGTTCGAACTACTCCGGAGTCTGGTGTGGAGCCGAGAGGGAGCCCCGCACTTTTCTCCCCGCGGAGCTGCGCTGAGTCTGAAATAGGTGTACGCGTCAGCGGGGCAGGAAACGGAAAGACAGTGCAGTAATTGGTGGAAAGCTGGAAGTGGGCACCTCGAGGGCCTCAGCCCCACGAACACAGTCACCCAGGAAAAGCGAACCGCGCCAGGCCCTGTCATCGACCGCTGGGTCCGTCCTCCCAGCGCTCGCGGCCGCTCACATGGGCGTGGCCCTGCGTGACCTGCCGGGGCGTCACGTGAGCTCCCGGAGTCATGTGACCGCCGTCTTGACAGTGTTCCACGGGCGCTGCTTCCTGCCTGGGTTTGGAGTTGTCACCACTTTCCCCTCTCCGTCTCCTGCGGGCGCAATGGAGGAGGAGGATGAGGAAGCGCGGGCGCTCCTGGCAGGCGGCCCTGACGAGGCCGACAGAGGTGCCCCGGCCGCCCCTGGAGCCCTGCCGGCCCTCTGCGACCCCAGTCGCCTGGCGCACCGGCTTTTGGTGCTGTTACTGATGTGCTTCCTTGGCTTTGGTGAGCCGGCCGGGTGGGTTGGGGCTGATCTTTAAGGAATTCCCGACTTTCTCTTCGAGGTAGATCGTCATCGTGGTCACTGGTGCCACGGGGCCTCAGCGCAGCTTCTGTCTTAAGCTCCTGGGCCTCCTTATTTTCCCCTTTGCGATCGATTCCAGCCACACCTGTGGATGTTGCTAGTTACTCCGCGTCCGGAACGTGGAGGTCGAGGGACTGAGCTGGGCGAGTTTTGTGGCACTCCTTTGCTCTTCAGTAAGTCCCAGGGGCTAGCGACTCGCCCTAGAGGCGATAGATATGAAGGTAACTCCAGATTTTCAAGGTTCCTCTTTTGGCACACGTGGTCGGAGGAAATTCAGAAAGCTTTAACTGTTCCTAAACAACTTTTGTTTGTTTGGTTTTAGGTGAGACAGGGGCTTGCTCTGTCACCCAGCCCGGAGTGCAGTGTTGTGAAAGTGGCTTACTGCAGCCTCCACCTCCTGGGTTCAAGCAATCCTCCCGCCTCAGCCTCCCGAGTAGCTGGGACCACAGATGGGGCGCCACCACACCCGGCTTTATTATTATTATTATTTTTAGACACAGGGTCTTACAATGTTGTCCAGCTTTTAAAAAACGTGAATGATTTCGTCGGCAGTCTTCTATATATTTTTCACCCTCTTTGAGAAAATGTATGAGTGTGTCTTGCTGATAGCTTCAGTGAATAGATATTGTTCTCTTAATCTTCCACTCTGCCACTGTGAAGCAATCATATTGGACGGGACTTGTGGTAGTCTTGACAGTGGTTGGTTTCTCTTATGAAATCTGATGTCTCCGAAAACAGTTTCTTGATAATTAGAAAAAAATTTTCCTTCCTATGTTACAGTTTTTAATTTATTAAGCAAAATTCTAATATTAATTTGGTATGAATGTGTTTTTCAGGAGGCTAGCTGGAGCCCGTGTAATCAGCAGGTTTAAGAACATTATGGTGGATAACTATTCTAGCGCTGAACATATAAGTAGACATGAAGGATGCTTTGGGCTTTGGTTTCCTTGCAACTCCTTTTTCCCCCCTCCCCTGTTTTTTAAAAGATGATGCCCATCCATTAGCTTTAAAGCAGGACGTTGAATCCTTAAAAGAGATTAAAGCAGGGTTTAGAAACAACCACCACCACAACAAAGAAAGAACAACAATAAAACATTAAAAAAAATGGTCCCCACTCAAGCAGACAGACAGTTTTTGGTAAATTCTGGTTATCTGCCTAGAATTCAGAAGCCAGATTCATTCCTTTCTAATGACAGTTTTTATTGTCATTAGAACCAATAGCCTCGTGCACTTGTAGAGTTAGTAGAGCTATGGAGGCAATATTTTCTTGTAGCCTACGAAGGAATCTCAATTATTTTATCTTTAAAATAAATCCGAGTGCATGGTCAGATCTCTCCCTACTTCTCTCTTTCCAGTTCCCCCAAAGACATGTTTTAATTTAATCCTTTAGAATTCTCAGTTTCATTTTTTTTTCACTCCTGGCCCTGTATTCACTAAATTATTTGATTTTGGGTAGTTTGTAGAATTAGAGAACTTGTTTCAAATATTGGTTTTGTCAGAATGGTTACACTCCATTCCTTTGTCCTTAAGCTAACATTATTAGGAAACTGATGAGGTTGTAAAGTTTTTAGTGTATGTGTGTTTGTAAATAAGGAAATAAATAAAATATAGATGCTTCATGAAGATATTAATAAAATAGTATATGTGTGAAGCATGATGAAAGTAAAATAGAAAAATATTTAATTGTTGGTTGTTGACTTTTTAATTCAGGTTCCCAGTATTTGCTGTGTATGAACACTACCAATTTATGGAAGTTATTTGATATAACTTAGAAAATACTGGTGGATAAGGAAGTGGTTCAGAAATATTTCTGTAGTGTCAACCCGTAGTATCAGCATTTAAAATTGTAATTTCAGTAGCAACTGCAACTTGAAACTTTTATATGGGAAGTATTATTACTTATAAAGTATTTGCTCTTTTCTAGGCAGCTATTTTTGCTATGATAATCCTGCTGCCCTTCAGACTCAAGTTAAACGAGTAAGTTGATTTTTCACTCTTGTTTCTTTTGTTTTCTTTAGAGCAAGTGTAGCGGTGGAGGCATTATCAACCCTCAGGTGCCCTAGTCTCACGTGTCCGCTGAATCTATTTTGACATCTGTAGTCACCAAATCCACAAGTTGCAAGGGGTGTTCTTAAGTTGAAATGAGTTACCACAAATAATTCATTTATAGCACATATGTGACTTGAAATTGTTTCAGACCTTAGATAAATAATTATGTGGTATTTCCACAGTATTGTCAAAAATATGAGCAGGTTTTTGTTTGCATTTCACTCTCCCAGTGCTTAGTCACCCGAATGACAAATGATTTGTTAAGATAGCTTTTTGCCTTCTTAAATAGGTTTTAGTTGTTATTTTGTTTTTTAAATGTGGATACTGATTGCAGAGGATTGTCCATGTCAGGATTTTTAGTCTGGTTTTGTATTGTAAGAACATACTTGATATTTACAGTTTTTTGGGTATTTAGTCTCTTTTCTTTGTAGGTTCTTTTTAACCTTTGGACAGGGAAAATGCATAGGTTGACCCTTTTCATTCTAGAATGAAAGAGAAAGGAAGTAGGAGGAGCATGCTTGAGGGGATGGAGAGGGTAGGGTAGGTAGGGATAGGCTAAGATTATCCTTGTATATGTGGGCAGAGTCCCCAGTGCAGGTAGTATATAGAAGTTATAGTCAGACAGAAGTGGTCCCTGTAGCAGGGTGTCTGATCCTGGAATCCAGGAAGCCCCTGAAATGGCATGTGAACTCAAGAAGTTCCCAGGGTTCCCAGGTGTGACCATTTTCCTGGGCCAGGGGCCATAGCTTTCATGAGATTCTCAAGGAAGTTAGTGAGACTTATAAATGGTTAAAAAAAACTTGCCCTTTACAGAAAGAAGAATGTAACTACTTTCCACTTTAGATTGTCATATTTTGATTTGTTAGTTGCTAAACTTAACTGTTTGGAAAAAAATAGTTTTATTTTCTTTTCATATAGGATATGCAAGTGAATACCACGAAATTCATGCTGCTGTATGCCTGGTATTCTTGGCCCAATGTAGTTTTGTGTTTCTTTGGTGGCTTTTTGATAGACCGAGTATTTGGAATACGGTAAGCTTGAAAAGAAACTATGGGTAAATCTTACCTGATTGTTAGAAAAATACAGAGCTAGATTAAGGTATTTCTAGAAAGAGCTGAATAAACTTCTGTATTAACTAATAATTTGCTTGAGTTTTTTAAAAAAATGATTTTTATATCTCTGGAGTTGGTTTTTGAAACGTGGTATTTCAGTTAAGGTCAGGACTAGTAAATGCTGATGGTATAAGGTAACTCAGTTATCCATAGGAAAATTATACTCACCCTTGGGATCAGGTAAACCAGGTTCTGAATCTTATCGTTGCCACTTTCTCATCTTCCTGGCTGTTCTGAGCTGTTTGCAGCTTCCTGAGCTTCAGTTCTCTCATTGCCAAAATATAGATGATTCCTACCTTGCAAGGTGGTTATGAGGATTAAGTGAGAGATGGATGTACAGTATTTGGCACATAGGTAGTATGTGCTTCCTCCAGCCCCGGTGAGATTTTCTATTTCTGCTTTTCTTGGGGTGTAAAACATTTTGTGACCACTTCTGTTAGAGGCTGAGCAGGGAATAACACTATAAGGTTTGCCACTGTTCATCCTTATTATTGTGTGTATGTTGTTAGTGGAACTGAAGAGGAATATAGACTGGGAATATTTTCAGAAGGCAAAGACCAAGATGATGAAAGGTCTTCAAACCATGTCTGGTGGATAAAGATTAAAGAAACTTTAAGAGTTTACACCTGGGGACTAACCTTTAAAATTTTTGAAGAGTTAAAATATGAAGGAAGAATTAAATTTATTTTTTTTGATCTCAAGAGAGAGAATTAGCTTGAAACTTCTGGGGAACAGATTCCTTTTAATATGAGGAGTTTGCTTGGTCAGATTGGCAGGAGATGACAAGAATTGTCTTGGAACCATAGTAAGTTTTCCAGTGCTAGAGAACATTGCTAGAGAACATTCAGTAGAACATGGCATGGTCATTTCACAAGGATCTTGAGAGAGATTTAAGTTTAAGAAGTATGGTTTACCCTGATGGCCTTTAAGGACTCTTCTAATACTGGCATTTTATTATTCTAGGGCAACATTAATCTGATGTCCAGATTGTAGGATGTTAGATTTGTATAACATGGTTGGTGTTTGTCCTTTTAAAAATTGGTTTTAGTTATCAAGAATTATAACCACTTAAAATTACTTACTGTAAAATTCCTTGGAATCAATCCTAAACTCTTAATAGAAATTTTATGAAGAATTTACATTTTTAAGTAGTTTTGACCCTGGGAACTTCTTGAAGATTAGTTGATTAGTTTTATTTAAGAGATGATAATGATTTAAACTAATATATGCCATTGCTAAAGCCTCCGGAATCCCCTTAGAAGTCTAGACTTCTGTAGATTCATATTTAGCCTGAGAGTTGCTGGCTTCAGAGGGAGATGAGCCCTTTATTTTTCTTTCTTTGGAGGGAATACAGAGGGAGGCAAAGAAAACCAAAGTGAATTATTACTAAAGGACTTTGTGATTACTAATACTAATGTAAACAGAAATTAAGATTTTTTTTTTCTTTTTCTTTTTCTCATTCTCATTCTTTCTTTCCCAAACAGATGGGGCACAATCATTTTTAGCTGCTTTGTTTGCATTGGACAGGTAAGGAAGGCCAAAACATTCATTGATTATTGACAGTGACTTCTAAATTCTTATCTAATTAATTCCATTGGCAAAGCTGTGTTTAATTAATGCCTAGCTTAATTAAGCAGAACCCATAAATGCCCATGTGATATAATCCATAGTCTATTTTAAGCCTTGAAATAAATGAACATTAATATTTTAACTTCACAGATTTATTAAGGAGAAATATTAAAACTATTGTAGAAGTTGAGATTTATCATGTTCCTTTTGCTTCTCTTTAATACTTTGAATTTACTTTTTCATTAATTTGACATGAACTTCTACATTATAGGTTGTTTTTGCCCTGGGTGGAATATTTAATGCTTTTTGGCTGATGGAATTTGGAAGATTTGTATTTGGGTAAGTTATGCATAATTTAATTTATCCTAATGTATTATTGTTTTAGTGTTCATCTATGAAAGATCTTTAAAAAACCTTGTCTCTTCTGGGGAATTACTTCAAATCTTTGAAACCTAGCTTCATATGCATAAGAGTATTTCTTAGTTGTCTTAGTTTTCCTTTAAAATAAGCAACAATTTTGAATGGTCCTAATCAACTCTGTGTGGGGTTTGAGTATTAAATAGTTCTCTGGAAATGATATTTTTCCCAGGCATTTTGCCTGTTCTGTTGTATTAAAGACTATGATTTGAACCACATTTAGAAAAGTATAGACCATCGATTTCTAGGTTGGTGACTGATGGACATTTCACTCTTTCTTAGCAAGTGATGCGAGGGTCCTTTCAACCCTGTCCAAGAGCTTTGCTTGAATGAGCACAATATGTGTAAGCTGACTATTCTGTGTGAATTCTTATAGACCAGTTGTTCTACCTGAATTGCATTGTCTGTTCAGTAAGCCTATTCTGAGACCAGCCTTGGGCTTGCTGCCCTGAGGGACCCAGATGACAGAACTGACTCAGTTTTAAAAGCATAACTTATTCAAGCTTTGCACAGGTGTCAGGAGCATGTAGACATAGGTGACATACCCCAAAAAGTAACCGTCAGTGAGAGAGAAGGAAGAAGAATGTATGTAAAGTTATGACAGGGATTCAGAAACAGAAATGTGGTCAGAAATGGCCTTACAGATGAAGTAGGCCTTGACAGAAGTACAGGATTTGGATTATTAGAAGAGAGGGAAAATATTTTTGGGCTAGGACAGAGTCACAAGAAATAAGACTATTTCTTATTTGTCTTAAGACTGTTTCTTAGTCCTTAATACTGAGGTGGCCTCGGTGTAAGGATATGGAGGAAGGAAGCTCCTAACTGAAGGCCCTTGGAGGAGAATCGTAAATATTGAAACTTACTGAAGGAAAATTAAAACCCAGGAAGTAGGAGAGTGTTGAATATGGAAAGTGAATGTGGGGATTGATTGATGGAGAGCTTTGCATATTGTTCTGAAAAATGTGAGTTTTTATGTTTTCACAAAGCATGGACCACTTTTCCCACATCTGCATTTTATATAATATCGATGGTAATGTAGTAACCAAGACGACTCCTTTTGTTGCCTATCATGGTTATTATTGCAGTATATCATGTGACTCCCACACTTAGCGGTATAAAACTACCATTTCATTATGCTCATGGACTTTATGGGCAGGAATTCGGACAAAGTGTAGCAAGGACAGCTTGTCTTTGCCTCTAGTGTCTGGGGCCTCAGCTGGTAAGATTCATGGAAGGGTGGGGGCTGGGATCATCTGAAAGCTTATTGACTCACATGTTTGGCACCTGGACTGGGATGCCTCAAAGACTGGGACTGCTGACTGGGGCACTTACATGTGGCCTCTCTTTGTGGTTTGCTGTCTCATAGCATGGGGGTAGTGGTTCAGGGCTCCAAGTGCGAGTGTCGGAGTGAAAAGGTGATGTCACCTTTTATAACTGAGCCTTGGGATCACACTGTCTCATTTCCACCATATTCTATTGGTTGAAGTAGTCACAAGCCCACCTGGATTCAAGGGGAGGGGACAGAGGCCCCATCTCTTGATAGGAGAAGTGCCAACATTTTAAACCTGCTGCATTGCTAACTGTAGTATTTCTTTAAAGTTGTGACTTCTGGTTTTTTTTTTTTTTTCTATTTTTAGGATTGGTGGCGAGTCCTTAGCAGTTGCCCAGAATACATATGCTGTGAGCTGGTTTAAAGGCAAAGAATTAAACCTGGTGTTTGGACTTCAACTTAGCATGGCTAGAATTGTAAGTATAATGAAAAGCCTGATGAAGCCAAATGGAAGCAAAAGATTAAATCTTATAGTTCTCTTAAAAATCACAGGATGAAATGTATTTGTGTATGGTAAATTAGATATTAACTTTTATGGATTTCTCTAGAACACAGCATGGCATTTACCTTGAGTAAAGCATTTCTAACCTTATTTCATCTAGTAAACAGTCTAAAATGGTTGTGTACATTCATTAGTTCAAAGAATCTGAGCATAGGGAGAGATCCTGTAAGTTTTGTTGTCTAATTTCTTACCCATTTTTGGCATCCCTGCTAGAACCTCTCCACATACGGCTGTCCAGGTTCAGTTTGCAATATTTCCAGGGATTGCAAGCTTGCTCTGTGATGAAGCAGCCCACCTACCTTAATGAACTTTATGAAGCGTAACCTCACATAGCGATGAAACCTCCATTTACAAGTAGCTTTTACTGATGGCTCTGACTTTTGCTCTCTGTAGATAAAGTTTACTTCCTCTGCTGTGCATCAGCACTTTGCTCCTTTGTAGACAGCTCTTAAGTTCTTGGTTATGTGTGCTCATTTCCTGTGGTTGCCTGAGCCATATGACATGGATCTCAGCTCCCTTACCATGGTGCTTATGCCTCTCTGAACTTATCTCAGTTAGCCAGTACTCCTGTTGGCATTTGGAACTTAGAAATGATCATGGTGTTTCAGGTTTGGTCTTAGAGGCTACCTAGCGGGAACAACATTATGGGTTTCGTTTGTTTGTTTGTTTGAGACAGGGTCTCACTTTGTTGCCCAAGCTGGAGTCCAGCAGTGCAATCTTGGCTCATGGTAGCCTCGACCTCCCAGGTTTAAGTGATTTTCCCACCTCAGCCTATAGAATAGTGAGACTACAGATGTGTACCACCATGTGCAGCTAATTTTGTGTATTTTTTATAGAGACAACACTATGTTTTTATTAATGCAAACTATAAGGTGTGTTGGCATTCCCAAATCCCATTAGGTTTTTTCTCTCAAGAATTCCCATGAATAGAGTATTAAAAAAAAATTTTTTTTGCCACTAAAAATCAAGCTTTCAAGCTTTGATTTTTAGTATATGTGCTGCCAAGGCGAGCAGAAGCTTTGACTTTTAATAAGTGTCGTGAAAATACAACATAGTCTCAGAGAATAAGAAACTCAATATAAAAATATTTTCATATAATACTTCATCATATGAGTATTTCTGTATTTTTATACATGTAAGTTCTTTCTGATTTTTCACTATTATAAATAGTGCTATAGTCTGACACTCTCGCTATGAAAGTTCTGTGCATCTCTTTTAGTCTCCATAGGCTAAGTGGCTAGGAATGGAATTATTAAGTCAGGGTATTTGTTAGGTCATCTGAGGACTATTGAGAGATATTTCCGCATTATCATTCCAGAGACGTTTACATCCCCACCTGTGGGATATGAGAGGATCCCTTTTATTGTAGCATTGATAGTACAGGCTATTATTACTTTTAGAAAATTACTTTATCACTTTGATAGGAAACAGCTAAATATTTGAATTTGTAATTCTTTGGTAAATAGTGTGGTTTTCCATATTTTCTAAATTTTGCCTATAAGGATATTCCCAAAGCCTTCATTACGAGTCTTGTGCAAGTCCAGATATGTCTGTGGCAGTTTGTGAATCTAGTTGTCTAACAACTTTTTAAAGAAGGAAGTGAAATCAGTTGAGCAAGACTCAACTGACTTCATTCTGGTTACCAGGACATCAGGTTCTTTTCTGTGTCATTTTAAGTTAGCTATAATTCATTAAGCTGCATTCTGAGGAGCCCTAAGTTTCTCTCTTTCTCTGTGTATGTATTTTCTTTTGATGACAGAGCTACTAGGATTGCTAACGGAAAATATGTAGAGTGTGGGGGAAAAACAACGGAGGCGCTCAGGATGACAGCACAGTTTTTGCTTAAGCAACTGTGAGCGCTGTAACCTAGCTCTTGATACTCTGCCCACCATCCCCTAAACCAGCTCCTGCTGTACTTTTCACATCCTTAGTTAAAGGCAACTGGGTTTTGGTCGTGTTAGGTTAGACATGCCTGCCATTCATCCAAGTGGAAATGTTGAGTAGGCAGTTGCATATACAGGTGTAGAATTCAGGGGAAAAATCTGGGCAAGTGATGTAAGTTCAGGAGCAAGGAAAATGCTACTTAAAATGGCAAAACTTGGTAAGATCACCAAGACTATGGATGTTGAAAGAAAAGAGATGATGTCAATTGACCAAGCCCTGGGGCACTTCCCACATTTGCAGGTTGAGAAGATCGAGATGGAACCAACAAAAGGGCTCCATTGGGGTGGGCAGAAAGGCAAGGGGGAAACTATAGGCTGTGGTATCCTGAAACCCAAGAAAAGAAATCAAGGTGGAGAGGATGTCAACTGCGTGAAATGCTATTGATAGGTCAGACACTGCTGAAGACTGAGAAGTGTACATGCCTTCAACAATGTTCTCACAGCAAATACAGTAGCAAATTTCACATGGCTGTTTCTTATAAAATACTAGCTAATGGCATTACTCAAATAAGCAACAAGGTAAACAGAGACCTACTGGAAGCTTTCTCTAATACCATCAAAAATATAAATTCCTCAAAGATAGGATGTTGCCTTAATAATCCTTTCATTCCAAAATACCTATTAAATAACTATTTAAAATCTCTTTTAACTATTTAAAATATCTATTAAATAAAATAACATGACCTGGCTTAGCAAGTACTCAATAAATGTTTGTTGAAATAATGAGTTTTCAAGTAACAATAGTGAAGGAAAATTGAAAGGGTGCTGGATCTCCAGTCCCGAGCTAAGACATGAATACTAAGAAAAATGAGAAGTGCACTGAAGGTATATGGTATATGCTAATAGTTCAAGTGTCTAAACACAATCAAACTCAAAAACTCAGGCAATAGAAAAATCATGGAGAGGTAAACCCAGGACCTCTGTGGTCATTCTGGAGGCTGCACAGGGAACAAGAGAAGCGCAAAAAAGACGGAATCTATGTCACCCCCAGCAGCCCTATAATGGAATAGCTCTTGGCCATTTTGATCATAAAATCATCTTACATGGACGCTAAATACATAAATCAGATAAAAGTTGAGCAGCGTTGGCTGAAACTGAGGTGGCTGCCTGCGATCTGGCTCATTTCACCTCCTCAAGATCTCCCTACCACTCTCATAATCCCTAAACTGCCTCTAAGAAGCCCCTGAGATTCCCTTCTAGAAACTCAGGGCAACTTATATGCAAATATATCTATGCTCTGACCACTTCCCACCATGCCCACTGCTAACCACCTAGGGCTAGGCCCAATCATCTCTGTTCTGGATTATTGCTATAGCTCCCTAACTGGTGCCTTTGCTTTTGCCTTGTGGTCTGTTTTGAAGATAGAGTGAGTCTGCCAGTATGAGTCTGTCAAAGTATCATGCCACTTCTATACTCAAACCCCAATGGCTTCCCATCTCACACAGAATAAAAACTGAAAGTCCTCCTGTAGCTTCCCTTCCCACCATTTCCTCACTGGGACCTCATCTCATCCTCTCCGTTCTGTTTGCACTGTTCCAGCCTCTGCTCTCCTTGCCATTCCTTGAACTCTCCAGGCAAGCTCCTCTTGGGGCCTGTGCAGTGGCTGTTCCTTCTGCCTGGAGTGCTCCTCCCTCAGGTATCCCCACAGTTCGTTTCCTGCAAGTTTATACGCCAAAGTTGCTTTCAGTTGGGAGGCCTCCACTCCCAATTTTATATTCTCCTTTCCAGCTTTATTTCTTTCTTATTTTTTAAAAGTACTTGTCAATATTTAATATACTAGATATTTTACTTTTTTTTTTTTAACCAAAGTAAGTTGGATATTTTTATGCTTTCTTCTTTTTTTTTTTTTGAGACGGAGTCTTGCTCTGTCACCCAGGCTAGAGTGCAGTGGCATGATATCAGCTCACCGCAACCTCTACCGCCTGGGTTCAAGCTATTCTCCTGCCTGAGCCTCCTGAGTAGCTGGGATTACAGGTGCCCGTCACCATGCCTGGCTAATTTTTGTATTTTTAGTAGAGACAGGGTTTCACCATGTTGGCTAGGCTGGTCTCAAACTCCTGACCTTGTGATCCACCCATCTCGGCCTCCCAATATGCTGGGATTACAGGCATGAGCCACTGTGCCTGGCCACTTTATTCTTTATTATATTCCCAATACCTGAAACAGTGACTGGCATGTAATAGGGGCTCAGTAATTGCTGAGTGAATGAATAAATGAATGAAGAATCATCTATTATAACTTTTACTGTCCTCTTTATGGACATTCAGAGGAAGATGTTTTTCCCTCAGATTTCAGTGCCAGGAAAAGTTGTGCTTTTTCTGTTACTGGTATATTTTTGTCTTAGATACTCTAGATTTTATAACTCATGTTTCACTTTTGCTTTGGCTGGTAGGAAATTCTACATGTATTATGTTATTTTTTTATACTAGCAGTTTCTAATAAATTGGCTTTTTTTTTTTTTTTCTGCTGTCGTAACTATCTGTGGCTTTATCTTGGTTTGTCAATTTTTTCTTGTAGTGTCTTTTAAGGAAATTACCTCCTGTTCAATTTGGATCCTACTTCTGAGCCACCTCAAATCCCTTTTTTTGAACAAAGCAGAGATATATATGATTTAAAATGCTGTTGTTTTTTTTTCCCTTCTCATTTAGGGAAGTACAGTAAACATGAACCTCATGGGATGGCTGTATTCTAAGATTGAAGCTTTGTTAGGTTCTGCTGGTCACACAACCCTCGGGATCACACTTATGATTGGTGAGTGAATCCCATGTCCCACATCTCTCCTCTTCTGAAGGCTTGTCATAGGAAGTATCATAGCAGGGAGGAAGGCACACTGGAATTTGTATCTACTTTGGTTATAGTGTTGTCTCCATGGTTCTAATGAACTCTTTGACACAACTAGAAATAGGCTATCATTTACGCTGTTTGTATATTAATTTCCACTTTCTGAAAATGGATTTAAAATTTCTTAAAATGGATAGCCTTATTCCTTGTTGTCTACTTTATTTTATTTTTATTTGTTTTTGAGACAGAGTCTTGCTCTGTCGCTCAGGCTGGAGTTCAGTGGCGCGATCTCGGCTCACTGCAACCTCTGCCTCCCAGGGTCAAGCAATTCTCCTGCCTCAGCCTCCCGAGTAGCTGGGATTACAGGCTCCTGCCACCATGCCTGGCTAATTTTTGTATTTTTAGTAGAGATGGAGTTTCACCATGTTGGCCAGGCTGGTCTCGAACTCCTGACCTCAGGGGATCCGCTCACTTCTGCCTCCCAGAGTGCTGGGATTACAGGCGTGAGCCACCGCACCTGGCCTGTTGTCTACTTTAATATTGGCATTTGCATCTCATACATACAAAGAGATCATGTAAATAAAAACTTTTTGAGAACAACCTGAGAATTTATTCATGCATACAAAGAGATTATATGTGTAAAAACTCTTTGAGAACAACCTGAGAATTTATTCAGGTAAGATGTTAATTAAAAGTTTATAGCAGCCGGGCACGGTGGCTCACACCTATAATCCCAGCACTTTGGGAGGCCGAGGTGGGTGGATCACCTGAGGTCGGGAGTTCTAGACAAGCCTGACCAACATGGAGAAACCCGTCTCTACTAAAAATACAAAAATTAGCTGGGCGTGGTGGCACATGCCTGTAATCCCAGCTACCCGGGAGGCTGAGGCAGGAGAATCCCTTGAACCTGGGAGGTGGAGGTTGAGGTGAACTGAGATCACGCCGTTGCACTCCAGCCTGGACGGCAAGAGCAAAACTCTGTCTCAAAACAAACAAACAAAAAAACAACCAACCAACCAACCAAACAAAACGTCCATAGCATAAGGGAGAATTGCTTCCTTTTAATCAAATACTGACTTTTTCCGTCAGTGTGCCTGGAAAGCTTAGATTTTATGGAGGTTTGATGTGATATGATATGGTTGAAAAACCACTAAGTTGGGAGTCAGGAGCCCTGGCTCTAATGCTAGCTCTAACTAGTTCTGTCATCTTGGATAAGAAAGTTAACCTTCTGTGTCTCAGTTTTCTTTTCTTGTAGTGTCTTTTTTTTTTTTTTTTCAAGTTTAAGCCACTATTATATTTCAAGTATCTACAACAAGAGCTCAATACAATTCCTAGCATTTATTACCCTTCCTAAAATAGGCATATAGAATTGTATCTTTCTTTCCCATAATCAGAAAATAGCAATAACATACATATATACACATGCATATAAAAATGTGTATTTAAAAATGTTTGGTAGAAAAGGTACCATAATTACCAAAATACAGATATTATTTATATCATTTTCTGTTTCTATTTCCTTGTACTTTTCAAGTAGACTTTTTTTTTTCTTTTTTTAAATTATTATTATTATACTTTAAGTTTTAGGGTACATGTGCACAATGTGCAGGTTAGTTACATATGTATACATGTGCCATGCTGGTGTGCTGCACCCATTAACTCGTCATTTAGCATTAGGTATATCTCCTAATGCTATCCCTCCCTCCTCCCCCCACCCCACAACAGTCCCCAGAGTGTGATGTTCCCCTTCCTGTGTCCAAGTGTTCTCATTGTTCAATTCCCATCTATGAGTGAGAACATGCGGTGTTTGGTTTTTTGTCCTTGTGATAGTTTACTGAGAATGATGATTTCCAGTTTCATCCATGTCCCTACAAAGGACATGAACTCATCATTTTTTATGGCTGCATCGTATTCCATGGTGTATATGTGCCACATTTTCTTAATCCAGTCTATCATTGTTGGACATTTGGGTTGGTTCCAAGTCTTTGCTATTGTGAATAGTGCCGCAATAAACATACATGTGCATGTGTCTTTATAGCAGCATGATTTATAGTCCTTTGGGTATATACCCAGTAATGGGATGGCTGGGTCAAATGGTATTTCTAGTTCTAGATCCCTGAGGAATCGCCACACCGACTTCCACGATGGTTGAACTAGTTTACAGACCCACCAACAGTGTAAAAGTGTTCCTATTTCTCCACATCCTCTCCAGCATCTGTTGTTTCCTGACTTTTTAATGATCGCCATTGTAACTGGTGTGAGATGGTATCTCATTGTGGTTTTGATTTGCATTTCTCTGATGGCCAGTGATGATGAGCATTTTTTCATGTGTCTTTTGGCTGCATAAATGTCTTCTTTTGAGAAGTGTCTGTTCATGTCCTTCGCTCACTTTTTGATGGGGTTGTTTTTTTCTTGTAAATTTGTTTGAGTTCATTGTAGATTCTGGATATTAGCCCTTTGTCAGATGAGTAGGTTGCGAAAATTTTCTCCCATTTTGTAGGTTGCCTGTTCACTCTGATGGTAGTTTCTTTTGCTGTGCAGAAGCTCTTTAGTTTAATGAGATCCCATTTGTCAATTTTGGCTTTTGTTGCCATTGCTTTTGGTGTTTTAGACATGAAGTCCTTGCCCATGCCTATGTCCTGAATGGTAATGCCTAGGTTTTCTTCGAGGGTTTTTATGGTTTTAGGTCTAACGTTTAAGTCTTTAATCCATCTTGAATTAATTTTTGTATCAGGGGTAAGGAAGGGATCCAGTTTCAGCTTTCTACATATGGCTAGCCAGTTTTCCCAGCACCATTTATTAAATAGGGAATCCTTTCCCCATTGCTTGTTTTTCTCAGGTTTGTCAAAGATCAGATAGTTGTAGATATGCTGCATTATTTCTGAGGGCTCTATTCTGTTCCATTGATCTATATCTCTGTTTTGGTACCAGTACCATGCTGTTTTGGTTACTGTAGCCTTGTAGTATAGTTTGAAGTCAGGTAGCATGATGGGACGTGTCTCAAAATAATAAGAGCTATCTATAGCAAACCCACAGCCAATATCATACTGAATGGGCAAAAACTGGAAGCATTCCCTTTGAAAACTGGCACAAGACAGGGATGCCCTCTCTCACCACTCCTATTCAACATAGTGTTGGAAGTGCTGGCCAGGGCAATTAGGCAGGAGAAGGAAATAAAGGGTATTCAATTAGGAAAAGAGGAAGTCAAATTGTCCCTGTTTGCAGACAACATGATTGTATATCTAGAAAACCCCATTGTCTCAGCCCAAAATCTCCTTAAGCTGATAAGCAACTTCAGCAAAGTCTCAGGATACAAAATCAATGTATAAAAATTTCAAGCATTCTTATACACCAATAACAGACAAACAGAGAGCCAAATCATGAGTGAACTCCCATTCACAATTGCTTCAAAGAGAATAAAATACTTAGGAATCCAACTTACAAGGGATGTGAAGAACCTCTTCAAGGAGAACTACAAACCACTGCTCAATAAAATAAAAGAGGATACAAACAAATGGAAGAACGTTCCATGCTCATGGGTAGGAAGAATCAATATCATGAAAATGGCCATACTGCCCAAGGTAGTTTATAGATTCAATGCCATCCCCATCAAGCTACCAATGACTTTCTTCACAGAATTGGAAAAAACTACTTTAAAGTTCGTATGGAACGAAAAAAGAGCCCGCATCGCCAAGTCAATCCTAAGCCAAAAGAACAAAGCTGGAGGCATCACGCTACCTGACGTCTTGTAGTGTCTTTTAAGGAAATTACCTCCTGTTCAATTTCTTTTTCTTGTAGTGTCTTTTAAGGAAATTATCTCCTGTTCAATTTGGATCCTATTATAATATAATTACAGTTGTTTCAACAAGACTATATAGGTCACTACTGTCCCTAAGTTCTCTTAGCTATGGCTCCATGGTGCTAGTTGCTGGGTGGGTCACTGGGAAGGGCACGAAGCCTTCTGGGTTTACCACTTTTGCTTTTTCTCTGGGCAGGCAGTTTGTCTAACTGAACCCTGTGGTGTGCATTTGGCTGTTTGCAGGGCTGTAGAGAGACCTGTGTGATGATAGGGTGAAAGTTCTGTGCCCAAGATGTGCACATCTTTTATTCCCTTTTTCCCTAATTTTTAAATTGACACATAATTATACATATTTATGGGTACAATTTGATGTTTCCATACACAGATACATTGTGTAACAATCAAATCAGAGTATGTAGCATATCCATCACCTCATGCGTCTATCACTTTTTTGTAGTGACAACACTCAAAACCCTCTCTTCTAGCTATTTTTTAATGTATAATCCCTTACTGTTAACCATAGTCATCCTGCTGTGCAATAGAACACCAGAATTTACTCCTCCTAATTGTAACTTTGTACCCCTTGATTAATGTCTACCTGTCTTCCTTTCTCCAATCTCCTCCCCAGTCTCTAATTAAACCACTGATCTACTCACTACTTCTATAAGATCAGGTTTTTAAAATATATATATATATTTTATTCCACATATGCATAGTATTTGTCTTTCTGTGTTTTATTCCTTATAATTCCTTGGTCGATACAGCCTGGTAAAAGAAGACAGTGGAGTGGTAATCCTAAGCAGGCAAGCATATTTAAAGATTCTTTCAAACTCTCCCTCTCAAATCCTTTGCCTTACTTAAAACCTCCTTTTTACTCTTAAAAGCTTCTTAGTATTCCATCTAATTTCCTCCACAATGGGAAATTTTAGAGTAAGACTTTTAGAGCCAGAAAAGACCTGTGCCATCATCAGGTCAAATCCTCTTATTTAAAACTGGGGAAATTGAATCCAAGAGAGCTTGTGTTCCATGTCCAAGGTGATTCAGCTCGTTAGAGCTCACGTCTACTGATGCTCATTTCAGCGAATTTTCAACCGGGCTGTGGTAGGGCAGTGAATTAAAGATTCATTTATTTTATTAAGCTTCTTTTGGAAATTCTTCCTGAGAAGTGTATCGTTATTCACTCTTTATCCTGATTTTCTGTAGTGATATGAGATTGGTATTAGAGAGAAATGCTGATCTCACAGGAAAGAGCTTGAGAGTACTGCGCTTTGGGAGGATGGGGCACTTGGGCTGCCAGAGGGCAGGAGCGAAGGCCGTGGACTCTGGGAAAACATCGGAAGGAAGAGAGATGAAGAGCCTAACTTGGCTTCATCATTTTTTCCCTGGTGTCCATTGACAATTGGTGCTTAGACTGAATGAAGAAATGAGGACTACATCAGTAGCTGCTCATCAGTTTTCTTCAGTCTGTATTCTGCATTACAGGACTAGACTAGTTTTTTCTAGTCTTTTCCTTTTAATCTTTAACTTTGAACTGTGAAATAATGCAGTAAAAGCTACTACTGTTTGCTGAGTATTTGAATGTACTCTTCCTCTTTTGTCCCGATTTAGTAATTGCAGATTTTTCTCGTGTCTTTATGTGACATCCCTTTCAGTTGCTGTTTTTGCTGTTTATGTAATGTACTTCTCCTTAGGAACCTTCTGTTTGGTTCTCTTTTCAAAGTCTGTTTTTCTTTTTTTTTTTTTTTTATTTAGGGGGTATAACGTGTATTCTTTCACTAATCTGTGCCTTGGCTCTTGCCTACTTGGATCAGAGAGCAGAGAGAATCCTTCATAAAGAACAAGGAAAAACAGGTAAGTCTAAATGAAAGAATGGGACTTAGGGGAATTACGGCCTTTGTGAGATTTTATAATGAGATCTAAGTTCCTAATGAAGTGTTGTAAAACCAGGTGGAGCTTAAGACATGATTTTTATTTTTTATTTCCAAATTGATTTCCACTTTTCTAAATTTTTAGATGTATTTTCTTTTCCCCTTAAATCTTTTGGCAGAATTTACATTCTCGATTGTATATTTGCAAAATGGTTATTCTTGGAAAGGAGCAGGAAAGGTAGATGCCAGTCTTAGTCTTAGGTTTTGCTTTTTCTTATGTCTTTGTAAGTTATCCCAGAAATGATGTTTGTGTAATTTACTAGAAAAGTATTTTTTTAAGTTGAATTGCAAAGATTAATCACAAGATTTTAAAAAATAATCTTGACTATAGATGAAAGCTCCTTAGGTATGCAAAATTATGCTGATAGTGTCTTCCCTTTCTTCTCTAAGGTGAAGTTATTAAATTAACTGATGTAAAGGACTTCTCCTTACCCCTGTGGCTTATATTTATCATCTGTGTCTGCTATTATGTTGCTGTGTTCCCTTTTATTGGACTTGGGAAGTGAGTATTCTCTATGTTTCCATTATTTCTTGTCTAAATTATCATGAGAGTTCAATCACATAAATGTAGTTTTTAAAGCAGTAAATCTTGCTTCTCTGGTTATAGTTTATATTTTCACAGGAATTACTTTAGATCCTGGGATATACATTTTCTTTTAGCTTAAGGTTTAGTATTGGTTTTATACTTTTATTATTCTTTTGAAGAAATACCTGTATTACTCCACTCTCATGCTGCTAATAAAAAACTGCCCCAGATAGGGTAATTTATAAAGGAAAAAGATTTAATTGACTCACAGTTCCATAGGGCTGGGAAGGCCTCAGGAAACTTATAACCATGGCAGAAAGGGAAGCAAACATTCTTCATTCACATGGTGGCAGGAGAGAGAAATGAGTGCCAGCAGGGGAAATGCCAGCTGCTTATAAAATCATCAAATCTCGTGAGAACTCACTCACTATCACGAGAACAGCTTGGGGGAAACCACTCCCATGATTCAATTACCTTCTACAGGGTCACTTCCATGACAGGTGGGGATTACGGGGATTACAATTCAAGATGAGCTTTGGATGGGGACACAGCCAAACCATGTCAATACCTAATAATTTTTGATTCATAATATTGATTTAATAGTTGATTTTAGACTAGTATTCTTTTTCATTCCCTCTTTATTCCTTGGTTAGAAAGGCTCTTACTGAGAATGGAGACTGTTTATTGGTGCACTGTGCCTGGGAACATCTCCATTGATTAGGACTGTAATTCTGCCAGACTTAAATTCTGGGTTCAAAGCAAATTCTTCTTTGCTTTATCTTCTACTTCTCTCTCCTTTTTCATTGGCAGCTGCTTAAGCAGCGCAATGTAAGTGTGTTTGTGTAAGGGTATGGTTTATACCCTTTGAGTTCAGGCTGTCCTTTTAAATAGTTTCAGACAAGAACCCTGTTTATTATTTAGCAAAGAACCCATTCAGTACTGCTTTTAAGGAAAAGAAGCAGCCTTAAGTCCCTGTGGTAGTATATTTGATTTTCTGAAAATTTGTGTGTATTCCTTACTGCATACCAGAAAAGGAAAAAAATATGCATCATATGTCATTTAGTCAGTAAACATTAATATAAATACTGAAGCTTTAGCAGATTGCCTGAAGGTGAATATAAATAAGGTGGGAGAATAATATCAAGAAAGAAGCTGATTAAACTTGAGTTATTTTTATTCAACTTTATTTTTTGAAAACAGAGTAGTTCTCTCTAATGTGCTAATTTCTCTGTCTTTTTAATTTTAGAGTTTTCTTTACAGAGAAATTTGGATTTTCTTCCCAGGCAGCAAGTGCAATTAACAGGTATTTTAAAATTAATTTTGTAAGTGCCTATTGCATGTGAAGTATGGGTCTTTATAATCAAATGTTAAAAGAAGCAAAAAAGATGTATGTGACCTAATATTTTTTAAGTGCGAAACTGGGACTACATTGGGACTTGAATCCTGAGTGGCTGTGTTTAAATTAGTGGAAAACCAAAGAAGTCTTGAACTGCTTTTTATATTTTTTGATGAGCATTTTATAAGAATGTTAAATGAGTTAGGATTTGCTTTGCCTGATATTTTCAAGACTTTCTTGAAACTGATGTTTGACTGTGTTGCATTTCATGAAATGTCTTATGTGTTCTCTGGGCAGTGTTGTATATGTCATATCAGCTCCCATGTCCCCGGTGTTTGGGCTCCTGGTGGATAAAACAGGGAAGAACATCATCTGGGTTCTTTGCGCAGTAGCAGCCACTCTTGTGTCCCACATGATGCTGGCCTTTACGATGTGGAACCCTTGGATTGCTATGGTAACGTCTGTGTTAGCCCATGGTGGGGTCAGGGCTTCAGCAAGGAGTCTGTCATGTTCATCTAAGTAGGCACGCTCAGCAAATTCAGATGACAAGGCCTATGATAGTGGGGAGATGACAACTTGATTCCAATATCTACAAAATAATTATTTTTTAAAGTATAATTATGAATTATTAACATATAAGGTATCTTTTAATTTCATTTGATTTATTTAACCAGTTAACTTCAGTGCTGAAAGAGAATTTGAAATAAAGTAGCCTTATAAAAGCCAGAATGCTTATTAGTCCCATTTGTTTTTCTAAAATAGGTGACTTAAAAGAAGGCATTCCATCATAGATGGCAAAAAACCAAAAATCTGTTGGACCAGTAACTCTTCTTTTTCTTTGACTTGCTTAGTAGGTTAAAAAGTGATAATGAATTCAAGTTTTTGTTATTGTTGTTCAAAACATCATTTTTAAGACCCGAGGCTCTAGTGCTGCATTTCCTACCTGTTAATAAAGGAATATCTGGAACATAAATATTTGTGCAGTGAGTGGGCATTTCTCTAGAAGTGTTTCAACAGATACAGTACAGACTCCTAGAAGTAGAGATGCTACAGCAGTGGGTTTGCGTATTTAACATCTTGGTTGAGATTGTGAAACTTTCTCCGATAACTTTCTACCCATTTATAACTTTAGTAATATACAATGTGACTTTTTTTAGTATCCTTGCTAGTATTGGGCATTGTCATTGTTTTAATCTTTGCCAATCTGATAGTTATAAGTGATACTCATTTAAATTTAAATCACAATATTTCTTTTTTAATTGAAGAAAAAATCAGCATTAGGTGAGGTTTACCAAGCATTGGTGGTGATTACTGGGTATTGGTGGCTCAGACGTAGGATGATGGACTGTTGGCATGATATTGCCTTGATTGCCTAATCTGTAACTCCTAATAAATACTGGAAAATTAGCTTGCCTGAAACATTGGTAAGAACTTTTTAAAAATTACCTTTATTTTCTTACTTGGTCCTTGACTGCATCTTGGGCCCCAGCCAGTTACATATGCATATAATATGATGACAAATGAAAATGGTTAAGACAGCATGTATCTTGTCGCTAAAAGGATACTCTTAGGGCAGAGACTTGTTTTGTATATTTTGAATACGAATTTTAGCCTAATAACAACAAAATTTGCTTGAATATATATATATTAACTACTCTGTCACTTTTGCTAATCTGCATTAAAGGAAAATCACCTTTTGGTTAATGTAAGACTGTGACCTTTTCTGCGTTGCTTTCTGTAGTGTCTTCTGGGACTCTCCTACTCATTGCTTGCCTGTGCATTGTGGCCAATGGTGGCATTTGTAGTTCCTGAACATCAGCTGGGAACTGCATATGGCTTGTAAGTATTTACGCTGTGGATCGTATATGTCTGTCTCTGCTATGTCAATTTAATTATCATATAAAACTCCAGATCTGAATCTAGTCGTCATCCAGCCTCTGGGGTAGCGCTGAACCTGGAGATAACTGGAAAAGTCAGTAAATCTATTTAAGATACTGTTGTGGCCACAAAAGAGCCTCCAGCAAGAGGGCTGGAGTAAGCTAACCCAGAAGAGGTCCTTGCTGACATTATAATCTCCCTGCCTGTTTATGTGAGGCTTCTTAGTGAGAAGCTGAGTCCAGTTCCTGGCACAGAAAGGCAGAGGGGGGAAACCGCACCTGTGGTTGATATTCACATGGCCCTTCTTTCATTCAGCACAAAGGTATTGAATCCACATTGCACTTAATGAGACAAGCTCCCTTACCTTTGAGCAGTCTAGTAGTGGAAATAGTTATGGGATAAAAACCAATCCAAAATCTAATCAAGTCATCCCTGGTGGAAAACATCTCTGAACACAAATAGTATATGGTTCACAGATACTAATATTTATAGTGAAGTGTTAGCCTATGTGTGAAGACTTTTGAAAATGAAATGTGTCTTTATATTTCTTCCATTGTAGCATGCAGTCCATTCAGAATCTTGGGTTGGCCATCATTTCCATCATTGCTGGTATGATACTGGATTCTCGGGGGTATTTGTTTTTGGAAGTGTTCTTCATTGCCTGTGTTTCTTGTGAGTATTCCGTATGACAACATTTTGTTTCTTTTACTACATAACAGAATGTTCTTATTTTTACTTAGGCATAGCTCCCAGATTTGCCTAATTCTCACCTGTGAATTAGAATTTCATAGCTGGTGACTTTCTAGCCCTCTGAAGATTCACAGGCATTTTTTAGGAGATTCCTATCCTTAAAGGCAGTGATTGAGTTGGTTTCATATTCTGTTTTAACTATTTACAGTTTAAAAAAAAAAAGCATTTTCCCACTTAAAGTGGAACAATTTGAAGAGTCCTGAGTATATCCTTAATGTGACTATGTGGAAACGTTGGTGTGATTTAGGTGTGAGTACTCATGGTTATTCATTAGGCAGTTTTAACTGATTTTTATTTTTAGTCCGTAATTTAGTTTTTACCTGTAATTTCATTGGTTTGAAATTGGAAGCATTAGGAAACTTGAAAAATATATAAAAATAATAGCATTTGTCCATAGGTAATCTTTACCCTACATATAAATTGTGTTTATCTGAAAAGAAAATTCTCCTTAACACATCAAGATGTCTTTTATAGTTCAATATTGTGCTTAAAATGACAAACCACAGTGATGATTTTATCAAACTTTGTTTTCATTTATAGGGAATAAAGACCATCCATACCTGAAGTGTGGTATTTGCAGATAATTGCTTATGAGTTGCCTTGAGTGCATTTTATTATCTCATAAATAAACGTGCTTGTTTTAGAAACAAGGACGTCAAGTTTTAAAAATAAATGTTTAAAAAAGTGGGTCATATAAGAATTTCAGACATTAAATCATAAAATGTTTTTTGTCTATTTTTGTTGTTGCAGCATGTGGTTAAATGTCAGTCCACAGTTCAACATGTATTTGGGTCTCAAAGCAAACAGTGTGCCGTTTGAATATGTTTTTCTGTTATTTTATTTTATTATTATTACTTTTTTAGAGACAGGATTTGTCTCTGTCACCCAGACTGGAATGCAGTGGAGCAGTCACAGCTCAATGTAACTTTGAACTGCGGAGTTCAGGTGATCCTCCCACCTCAGCCTCCGTGATAGCTAAGACTACAGGTGTGCACCACCATGCTTGGCTGGTTTTTAAATTTTTTTGTGAAGATGCTGTCTCACTGTGTTGCCCAGGCTGGACTTGAACTCCTGGCCTCAAGCGCTCCTCCTGCCTTTGGGATTACAGGCATGAATCAAAATAATAAGATAATAGGCCTGCCCTATTATTTTAAAGTAAATTAAACAGTGTTCTTCACTTATTAAAGGAAAAAGCCAAGGGAAAACTTGAATTTTGAGGTCTTGATTGATTTGAGTCTAATGATCACATTTTAATGTTTGGTTACTTGAAATTTGTAAAATGGACATGGCATTTTCAGACTTAAAGCCCCCAAAAGACTACTATTTGGCTTCCTCTGAAATGATAAACAATCGGGGGCTGGCAGGAGTTTTTGGTAAGTCCTGCAAAGGACCAGCACTGAGAAAGGGAGAGGAAAGAGGGGCAGGGCTGGGCTGTGGCTGGGTCGGCTCCCTTTTTTCTAGGGGCCTCAACTTCTTTGTTTCTGGCCTGCCACCCCTGGGCTGAGTAGCCCTTGGAGAAAATAGTGTGTAACTTATTTTTAGTGCTTTTGGAAAATAAAATAATGGGAATAATATTTTTATTTAAAATAGCAATTAATAAAGGTTTGATTGTGTCTAAGCTTTGCTTTGTGATTATGATTACATAGGAATCATTGAGAAGAAATACATATTTTAAGGGCCCTATGTTTTTTCACTCCTAGTGTCACTTTTATCTGTGGTCTTACTCTATTTGGTGAATCGTGCCCAGGGTAAGTAGAAGATCTGATATTTGCTTCTTAAACCGCAGTGGATCATCTTGTGGGGTCTCTGGGTCTGCCTCTTTGGGGGCCAGTGCTTTATTCCATGCAGTAATGACTTTCTGTTCATAATGATGGAAACACATTTGATTATGTAATATATAATTATGTTTTCTGGGCCTTCATATTTATTAAGATTGCTGTCATTTTTTAAAATCTAGCCAGATGAGTTTCTTAATAATATAAAATCTTAGATGTTATTTTTATATTAACATAAAGAAATATAGCATTTAAAAAGTAACCTAAAGCCCCTCTGTGTTATTGTCCTACGTTAAAAGAAATCAGAACTAAGCAAATTTATAGCTATAATTTACATTTTAAGGTTCAAGATGTTTGGTTTAGAATTAGAAATTACAGATTTTTTTTCTTTTGCTAATTCGTACTGTATGCATTAGTGGATTTTTGTTGTTGTTCTTGATAAGATTTTGATGTTGTCATTAGTAATTTTTCTAACTGCTTGCTCCTAAAGAGTTTTATATATTTAGTAGAATATAATATATATGCTGTGTAAATAATTTCAGGTCATTTCCTTTTTTTTTTATTTTAATAGTTTTTTTTTTCTTTTCTTTTTTTCTTTGACAGAGTCTCACTCTGTCACCCAGGCTGGAGTGCAGTGGTGCGATCCCAGCTCACTGCAGCCTCAACCTCCCAGGATCAAGTGATCCTCCCACTTTAGCCTCCCAAACAGCTGGGACTATAGGTGTATGCCACCACAGCCAGCTAATTTTAAAATTTTTTCTAGATATGGGGTCCCCCTATGTTGCCCAGGCTGGTTTCAAACTCCTGAGCTCAAGCAATCCTCCCGCCTTAGCCTGGGATTTACAGGCGTGAGCTACCACACCTGTTCATTTCCTTTAATTTCTCTTAATTTTCACTATTATTGAATATTAATACAGTGTCCTAAGTAACAACACTTGAAGCAATACATAAGTCCAAACTTAAAAAAATGCTTAAATTAAGGGGTGATTATTTATATCACACAAGAATTTCATTTTTTCCCTTTGGGAAGGTTCCAGTAGATAAACCATTACTTTTTCATCGTCGATAGCTTTTTCTATTACTTAAAATACAGTGTATCTATGCAAATGGTTGCATGTATGTATGTATGGTTGAAATTTACTTACTGATAATACTTATATGGAAAAGATCTATGTTTATTTGTGTTTTAGGTGGGAACCTAAATTATTCTGCAAGACAAAGGGAAGAAATAAAATTTTCCCATACTGAGTAAGTATTAAAAGGGTAAAAAGTTGTCTTTATTTTTGAAATCTTAAATATGAGCATTTCGTTTCAAGGTTTGGGCTTTGAAGTTTTTTTTTTTTTTTTTGATTCCCATGCTTGTCGTCCAGGCTGGAGTGTAGTGGCATGGTCACAGCTCACTGAAGCCTCAACTTCCTCAGCTCAGGCAATCCTCCCATCTCAGCCTCCCAAGTAGCTGGGACTACAGTTGTGTGTCAACATGTCTGGCTAATTTTTTGTATTTTTAGTAGAGATGGGGTTTTGCCATGTTGCCCAGGCTGGTCTAGAACTCCTGGGCTCAAGTGATCTGCCTGCATCGGCCTCCCAAAGTGCTGGGATTACAGATGTGAGCCACTGCGCCTGGCCTGGGCTTTGAACTTCTAAGAGATTAGTTTTCCTTGAGTTTTGAGAGCTAGCTATTATGTGTGTGGAACTATTATAACAACATTCTTGTTTGCTTCAGAAAATTTAAAAATGGATATTAAGGCTTGAAACGAAGAAAAAAAATAATTCAATTTAAGTTGTTCTCTGTGAGACAGAGAGAGACACAGAGAGAGAGAGAGGGGGAGAGAGAGAGAGAGAGAGAGAGAGAGGGGGAGAGAGAGAGAGAGAGAGAGAGAGAGAGAGAGACAGAGATCGATCTATATTACTTGTAATTTATTGGAGGAAAGGCCTTCGTCCTGAGGTCCTGGACTGGGCTTACCCTTCCATTCTCTCAGATATTTTCTTTTTCTTAAGTAGTTGATAATTTTTCATCTTCTTCTGGTACCAATATGTGGTTCTGTGTTCTCTGATTCATTTGGAAGAGATTTAAGTATATAGCATGGTGATTAAGTTAACATTTCTTTTTCTAAAAGTATGTACTGAAACATAATAGTGATTCTGTTTCCTGTTATTTCTAATATTTTTAGACATTGAAGTTTTTATGATTTTAAACATTTATTTGTAAATATATATACCATGTGATTGTAATTGTTGTGACTTTTGACTAGGTTAAAATCTGGTAGAACAGTCTGTTTTTTTGAGATGGGGGTGGTTTTGGTCATATTAAATTCACTTTTAACAAATACATCTTAAAATAATCAGAAGTATGAGTTTTGAATATCTTTATGATAGTCATATTATGTTAAAAGTTTGGAAACAACATAAATGTCTTAGAGTAGGGAAAATGGTTAAATATATCATGACACATCCATGTGATATGTTGTTAAAACCATGTTTTAGAAGGATTTTTAATGTCATAGATGCTTAACATGCCGTATGCTAAGTAAACAAAAGATAAAAATGCAAATATAATATCCTAATTTTATTCAAGAAAAAGTATGCTGTCACATGCTTGTTTTAAACCCAATTACTTATGTATAATAGAAAATATACTACTAGAAATAACCTCATATTAATTGAAACCTCAGAATATTAATTAAAAACTCAGAATATTTTTCAAATTTTCTACATTGATCTTTTGTGACTTTTAGGATCAAGAAGAGTTAAAAAATTGCTCAGAAAAAAAATGTGTAGCTTAGTATTTGCTATTACATGTCTTGTAATGCTTGGTTTTCATTTTATAAGGCAGGTGAGCTTCATGTTTTTTTCTTCCTCTTTGGTAATTTATTGCGTTATGTTTTGCAGATGAGAAGTTAAAATGAATGTGTCATGAGAATGGGCTTAACACATCGTTGGTTTGAAAACTTCCATTTTTAAAAATTTAGAGTTTAGTCATTAGAAAAAATAATGGACTGGAAAGTTATATTTATATCCAAATATACCTATTTCAAAGTGTATTTGTGAGGCCTGTTTTAGCCTGTGTCTTTTGTATTGTGTGTTGCTAAAGAATTCTACTTTTAGTAGGCTAATCAACAATGAAAGGGTTAGAAAATTGCTGTGGAACATCCAGGTGAACTTCAGGAAAGACAGTGAAAAATGGAAAACGTTGGAGCTTCTGTTGAGATAATCTTCATTAGGTATATATCTTAGGGATACAGCCTTTTCTTTATCTTATAGCAGGAAAAAAAAACTTTTGAGGGAAATAGAAGGGCTGCGTTACACAAAATAAACAATGGCATTGTCATAGGCCTTCCTTTTACTAGTAGGGCATAATGCTAGGGAATATGTGAAGATGTTTTTATGAAGTCTCTTTCTGATCACGAACAATAGCTTGCGCTCTACTCTGTAGTTATGTGGATTGCCGAGCAATGACCCTTTTCAATTTCTTATTTCTGTGTTACTGAGGACCCTAATCACTTAGGGATGTAATTTTATAGTATAAACTTTCTGTACAGTTTTTCTTATAGTCTAATAAGTAAAAAGTGTCCTTCAAATTATGATAATTGCCTATGTACATGGATAAATTAAAACACTGCACACGGAGTACTTGATGTCTTCTTTTGATTTTAAAAAATACAAAAACACTGATTTTAACTTTTATTCATGCAGAAGATTATCTAGAAGAAAACCCAAGTCAGAATAAAGAGAACTTGCCCAATTACAGTCACTGAAAGATTATGGGGGTAGCTTTTTCTCCAGAGTAGAACTTTAAGTAACATATGTGGTTTTTTTTATATTAAGTAAAATATGAGTATGAAGCTTCTCTGACAAACTTTAAATACTTTTTAATATTTTTCAGCCTTAACATATTATTTGTTAAAGTCAAAGAATGCAGATATTTTAGACAAGATATTAAACCAATGTATTTAGCTGATTATATTGTTTAAAGCACATGGCATGATATTGTAAGTGTAAATGTTTGGGAACAGATTGAAAGTACGTTCCTTATGCAAGGTAGCTTGGCAGCTTTATTTACATCTGTTTTTCTGACTTACAGTTTATTGTGTTGATATGACTTGTCTCTGTGTCCCTACCCAAATCTCATCTCGAATTGTAATCCCTATGTGTTTGAGGGAGGGACCTGGTGGGAGGTGACTGGATCATGGGGGCAGTTTCTCCTATGCTGTTCTTGTGATAGTGAGGGAATTCTCATGAGATCTCATGGTTTAAAAGTGTGGCACTTCCCCTTCACACTCTCTCTCTCTCTCCTACCACCATGTAAGATGTGCCTTGCTTCGCCTTTGCCTTCTTCCATGATTTTAAGTTTCCTGAGGCCTCCCAGCCATATGGAAGTGTGAGTCAGTTAAACCCCTGTAATTTACAAATTACCCAGTCTCAGGTAGTATCTTTATGGCAGTGTGAGAACTGACTAATACATGTGTCATTATTGAGTTGTTAGTTCTTTAGGCTCTGACGCCATATGACTGTTTCAGCACATGGGTGTTGAATACCTCACAAGTGGGGGAGAGTGCAGGAAGTCCACACTACTTCTGCTGGAAGGCCCATGTGGCCTGGCCTCTTGCCTTGTCTCTCCACCGCCTCTGTGCCCCAGCCACAGTGAGCTGCTTACATGTTTTCAAATGGGTTGTGTTCCTTTCCCTCCCAGCGGCTTTGTCCACACTGTTCCCTTTGCTTAGAATGTTTTCTCCAAGGCTCTCTAGAACCTGTTTTTACCTGATTTATACCAGAAAACCTTAGCCCCCAGCCCAGAACCATTCTTCCTCATGGAAGCTCTTCCAGATCCTTCAGGGTGTATTGGGTTCTTCTAAGTTGCTGTGATCTTGCAGTTTTCCTTTTTAGCTTACCTCAACTTAAAATAATGAAGAATCTCTGATAATGTGGGTGTGGGTGTCTCTCTCTTCCTTAAATTGGAAGCTCCTTGAGGGCAGGGACTGCGTCCGTTTTGTTATCGATGATTATATTGATAGTGCCTAGCAAAAGTAGGCACAAAATAAATATTTTTTTGAATGATATATAAAAAGAGTAAATTAGAATAACCCTTTTGGAGGATGAATTGGCAATATGAATAAAAAGACCTAAAAGGGGGATGGTGGTGGGCTAAATGCCTTTTGGCTTAGCAATTCCATTTCTAATAACTTGTCCTAAAGAAACCATCAGACAAATATACATGTAAATATATTTTAAGAAAGCGTCTTCACTGCCAGATTTTATAATAGCCTAAAGTATAATAGAAAGCCACTCTAATTTACAATAATAGGGGATTTGTTAAGTACATCATATTACATACCTAAAGTGAAATATTAAGTAGTCATTAAATGGTTTTGTTAGAGAACATATTGACATGGAATAATGTTGATGACATTTTCACACGGAAGATTCATAGTGGTGCCATTTTTATAAAAACAAATATATCTGCATGATATGTACACCAGTGTCTCTGAATGATGAATTTCTATTGGCTTATTTATGTTTTCTGATTTTTTTTCACAATAGCTCTTTATTGTGTAATGAAGGTTTTAAAAACCCCACAAAGAATATAGTTCAATGCAAGTTTGAGTCCTGCTGTTTTAAAGTGATAATGTTCAGAAGGGAGGAAAGGAACAGGTAGTGTTTTTCAAAGAACTCTGGGGGTGAAGATGGGAGTTCAACAGTGCCATGAGTTAGAAATCAAATTTGCATTGCCAGGAATAAAATTGCACGTAAAGGGAATTTTCAGAGACAAAATGGAAAAGAATGGTGTCAAGGATAAACGAAACAATGCCTTTATTTTTTAGTCCTAGTATTCACTGGTAGCAAACAACAGCTCCAACTTGTGTGCATGCTGCTCATGATATCTGGAAGGCCTCAACTGCAGCCTCATATCCTTTGCCCTCTTCCATTTGAGTGTTCCTGAGTGCCCCAGTGGGGATTTGGTTGTAAGCCTTCAGCAGTGATTTGCTGCCAAAAAGTTCATGGAAGAAAGCTTTGAGTTTTTGTAAGAAATACTAAAAAGCCCTGACATCGTGTAGGCCAGACAGCCAAACTTAGTATAACTTATTAACATTTATTTCTCTCAAGTATATTAGTGTATATGGTCATGCATTCCTGTGCACATATCTTTTCTTCAGTGGATCTTTATCAGTTCCAGGTTCTGGCAGCTGCCTGCTACAGTAATCCACTGTATTCCCAAAACTGATCTTCCCCTTGTAGATTTGGCAGATTTATTGTGTAATGCAAATCAGTGGACCTACAGGGCATTTCATTTCAGATTATCATGTACTTGTAGGCATTTGTCATTTTGTCTTTTTGAAGAGGATCACCTTCGGTGTGTGTCTTCCAAGTTTTACCACGTAGTAGCTTTTGTGTTTCCATTTTCTTATTAGCAAAATAGAAGATCACTAGAGTTCCTTCTATAGCACTCTCATTCTTAATTTATGAGACATAAGGATATGGCTAATATATGTTAGATGTGTATTGGTGGATGACCTAAAACATCTACAAATTTATCTCTCCATACCTTGTGTAGTTGATGGGTTGGGCAAGCTGGGCCTTCCTGGATTGCATTCACATTACTGTGGTAAGTAAATGAAGCACCCTGGAGGGGCAACAGAATGCCCTCTGGAATTTCTAAAAGTCAATGAGTTATCCCAAACAGCTGAAAGTGTGGGCTAACTTCTTGCAAGTCTTGCTCCCTCCCGCCAATATTGAGGCTTGTTCAGTTTTCCAAGGAAAATCCGATTATTGTGGGGGTTCTATGTCTTACCATGTTCAGATAGTTTTTAACCTTTGGAAGCCAACCCTGTCTGTCCTGGGGAAGAGGTAACGAAAAATTTCACGACAAATGGGAAACCCCCACCTCCAGCCCAGTAGAGCTCAGATTTCACAGGGTAAAGTGAACAAGAGATGGACAGTGGATAGAGTGGGTGGGAGGAGGATGAGAGAGAGGCTGGGCTGGAGCTGGAAGCAACAGGGTTCAAGAACTGGGAAGAGAAAATGGCTGGAGGTAGTAGGAAGGTGGGCCTGGCAGCAGGTCATCCCAGGATTTTAGAGTCATGCCTATGAGGTAAGTGTTAGAGGGAAGGTAAGAGTCCTCTTCCGGCTCTGGCAGGGTCCATGGAGGTAGAGGCCAGGCTTAGTGGATGGGAAGGTACAGGGAATGGGCCTGAGGACAATCATATTATCTCTTAAAATGTTTTCCGGCCGGGCGCGGTGGCTCACGCCTGTAATCCCAGCACTTTGGGAGGCTGAGGCGGGCGGATCACAAGGTCAGGAGATCGAGACCATCCCGGCTAAAACGGTGAAACCCCGTCTCTACTAAAAATACAAAAAATTAGCCGGGCGTAGTGGCGGGCGCCTGTAGTCCCAGCTACTTGGGAGGCTGAGGCAGGAGAATGGCGTGAACCCGGGAGGTGGAGCTTGCAGTGAGCCGAGATCCCGCCACTGCACTCCAGCCTGGGCGACAGAGCGAGACTCCGTCTCAAAAAAAAAAAAAAAAAAAAAAAAAAAATGTTTTCCATGACTTCTATTTTTTTTTTAGAATTCTGTGAATTTTAATAGAGATTTGTGCTATGACACCACAATTAGGATGCAGAACAAATAGTTCCTTAATGTTTCAAAGGAAAAATATTATAATTGCCTTTTAAGATAATGTATGTATTCTTTTCATGTGGAAATATTTGAATTATCTTAGAAAGTTCTAGTTTATTTGTCAGCACTTAGATTTTTAAAATGCTTTTTGAGTCTAATGACTAAGTACGTAAGGTTTTATGATCATGCTACTTAGTATGTTTCGTAGACAATTTTTCACCTTTTAACATTTCTGAAATTGGGATGTGTCTTATCTTTGTTCGCATTTCATGATTCAAAGAAGTACAGTAGTGGGGAAAACCAAGCATGATGCTTGTGGCAATGTCATGTTGCTTCCTGAGTAAGATGTTCATGGGCTTCTGGGTCTTCGTGTCTGGCATCATTGACTCCGAGGCTCTTTGCTAGACCTGGCAACTCAGAGATGTGGAAAGCGTGGACCACCTTGCTCAAGGGTCTCATGAATGAGTGGGGAAATAGACAGAGGATCAGTGATTCAGTGACTCTGATACAGCGTGATGAGGGCTGTCAGAGCAATGACAAGACTTAATAAGGTTCAGAGAACCTAGGACACCTGCATGATTTGAAGAGGAGGTGATCTTTGAGCTGCATTGTAAAGGGTGAGTAGGATAGCTCATCTAAAGCTGAGAAGGTGCAGGATGGGAGGGAGGAGGAGAAGACGTCCCAGAGCTAATCCTGAGAGAGGCTGCTGGTGAATGGAAATGAAATGAAAGTGACATGTGGGGAATTTAGTTGTGCAAGGCAGATCACTGAAGTCTGTTTCTTCGATGTTCAGGATTGTGATCATAATCTTTTGAGCTTCTGGAAGATATTAATGCTGGTGATTCTCAAGGTAGGATTTGAATTTTAGAAAGGTGACCCTTTAAGCAGTAGGAATGGAATGGATTGGGGGTTGAGGGGAACAAATTTGGAGGCAGGAGAATGGTTAATAGGTTGGAGCATTGAAGCTGGAGACATGATGGGCCTTGAATTAAGGCAGTGGTAGTGAAGATGGAAAGGAGGGACAGGTGCTTATGGTGCTTGGGAGGTTGAACTGACAGGTGGTCATTTGCTGGATGTGAGGTCGGGGAGAGGCCAGAGTTAAGGACGACTCCCAGACTCCTGCCTAGGGTGGACATTGGTGCCATTCAGCCATCAAGACCGCAGGTGAGAAGGTGCAGGGTTGGGAGGAAAATGAGTTTAGTTTTGGCATTGCGGAGCTTGCGGTGCCCGAGATTTGTATGAACAGGAACATGGGTTCAAAATGTGAGAGAGGATTGCTCTGGGGTGTGATTTGGGAGCCATCGGGGAGTCAGTGAGATTGCTCAGAAAGAATGTGGGATAAGATAAGAGGGCCAAGGACAGAGTCCTGGGTCACATCCACTCACCCGGTGTGAGCAGGGAGAGATGCAGTCTATGGAAGCTAAAGAGGTTTTAAGAGGGAGTGAGTGGGCCGGGCGTGGTGGCTCATGCCTGTAAACCCAGCACTTTGGGAGGCCGAGGCGGGTGGATCACCTGAGGTCAGGAGTTTGAGACCAGCCTGGCCAATATGGTGAAACCCCATCTCTACTAAAAATACAAAAATTAGCTGGGCGTGGTAGCGAGCGCCTGTCATCCCAGCTACTCGGGAGGCTGAGGCAGGAGAATTGCTTGAACCCGGGAGGTGGAGGTTGCAGTGAGCCAAGATTGTGCCATTGCACTGCAGCCTGGGTGACAAGAGTGAAACTCCGTCTCAAAAACAAACAAACAAACAAACAAACAAACGGAGTGAGTGACAGTGTCAAATGCCAAGAAAGGTAGAGAGGATAGGGGCTGACAGTGTCTGTTTAACTTGTAACTGGGAAGTCATTAGTTTTTTTTGAGAGGAATTTCAGTGGACTGAGGTGGCGGGGTAGGCAGCAGCCAGGGTATAATGATTTGGAGTATGAATTCAAGGTAGAAATTACAGTAAAAATTGTAGCCTGCCCTTGCAAGAAACTAGGCTATAAAAGAAGAGAGTGTAAGAAGGTCTTCAGAGGCTGCTGCTTTGACTGTCGGGTTAATGCTTTATAAAGTCCTCTTTATTAATGTGTTTTTCTACTTGCAGAGTAGAACATTCTCAGACTCTGCGATTCTTTAATTTTCCTGAAGTGGCACTCTTTGCTTTTTGTTCATGATTTAACCACTATAAAAATGCCCAGCTACAGCTTGCTGCAAGAACATAAGTTTGGCTTCTTATCATGGAATTCTTTTTGAGGCCATTACCTTTGAAGTTGTTTGATACGTTAACAAAAAAAATCCTCAACAAAACAAAAAGTTGGGAAGTACAAATACTAAAGAGATTTAGCTTGTTTATAGGAAAGTAAAAGATAATGAGACTATGTAACTTTATAAGCTCAGGTTATGCTTAATTGCAAGCAATTAAAAACTTTCCCCTTTTTATTGCCTTTGAAATATGGGATAAAAGGAAAAAGTGAGAATGCTTGCAGGTTGTGTATCCTGGGACTGCTTTGAATTGAAGTCGGTGGGTGTTAGAACAAATAAATCCCAAAGAACTTGTGATTTAGTTTTATAGGCACACATTCATAAATTGGATTTTTCAGTAATTCCAGAAAAGCACACACAGGAGAAGCATTTGTTATGTATTCATTTATTCCTCAGTGTTTTAGTGAGCACCCATATGCTCAAGCCTCTGCTAGATCTCGGGGTGAGGGAGATAAAAGGATTTAAATAATGCCCCTCATACTTTGCAGAAGGGGAGATGTGCTAAGAGAGGTGTGGAGGATGTTCAGAGAAGAGAGGGCCTTCTGATGAGTGATCCAGGGAGGCTTCTCGGAAGAGGTGGCATTTGAGCTGTTTGCTGAGAGACAGACAACTGTTACAACTGTTCATTCTCTTTGACTAGTTTGTTTCATGTTAACACCCTTGACTTCTCTGTGTCTTGACCCTGTTTACTTACTTGATTTTCTGATGCTCTGTTATCCGAGAGCAACTCCTGTCCTCCACTCTGTCATGCTTTCTATGATTCCTGTGTATCCTAGGTCCTCTGTTCTTTTTCTTCACTTCTCTCTCAGAGATACCATTTTCTGATTCAGCTCTGTATATTTGCCCACCCAGTTGGCCCCAAACCCAGAGCTTGAGATTCGGTTCTCTCTCAACCTCCACCCTGCATTTCCAACTTGAGGTCTCACTAGCAGCTAACAGTAGCTTGTCTAAATCTGAGCTCTCCCTAACAGCACACAGTCCCCTCCCTCCCTTCCTCCCTTGCCCACCCACTGAGTGCTAGGTGCTAGTTGATCATTCTTCTGATTCCCGTGGCTCAGAGTCTCAGAGTAGTTTTTGTTATGTCTCCCTACCAGCCGTGTTTAATCCTTTTATTTCTGTTTTTTCCAATACGTTTAAAAATTTTAGTTCTCCTTATGCCACCTTAGCCTGCCTGTTAAATGCATTCTTGGATCCCTGCAGTGGTCTTCTAAATATTGATCATCTTTCTTTTCATGATTGACATCACCTGTGCCCACTGTCTACCACACTTGCAATGTTGCTGGGATACCATGTTCTATGGGTTGAAAAATGGAGTTGTGAGGGAGATAAAACAGACCTGAAATGATAAAGGAGCCCATGTCAACTTCAAGGCAATAAGCCCCATGGGAGAGTCAGCAGTGCAGAGGTCTGAGGCAATTGGAGGATGCCAAGCCCATGGCCTGTGGAAGGTGGGAACGTAGGCATTTGGAGAAGGCTTTGTCAGGGATTATAAAGAGGTAGATGACAGGCCCGTGGCAAATGTGAGAGAGGTGGGAAGCCACAGGGTGTGGTGAGAGAGCCATGAGTTGAAGAGTTCAGCTGGGACTAGACTGTGACATGGCTAGCATGTCAGCGTGAGGGAGCTGGGCTTTATTCTGTGGAAGTGAAGATACAGGGGAGAGTGGACAATTGGGGAGGATGGGATGTATGGAAAATACTGTTCTAAAGAAAATCTGGAGATGCTGTGAAGGGAAGGGAGGTCAATATGGAGACTTTGAAGGAGTCTAAGCTGTGACATTTTCTTTAATTCATTCAAAACATGGGGGAGCTGCCAGATTAAGTTTCTAAATCATGACTTTGATCATACTGCACTTCTGCTGAAATGCCGTTGGTGATTCCTCCTGGCATGAGAAGTGGTTCTTTCACTGGCATTAGGGGGGCTTCATCATCACATGTCAGCCTGCCCTTCCAGCATTGTCTCCAACTCCTCACCTTCAGGAACCAACCAATGACTTTCACACAAATTAAATTTGCTCACAGTGATCTCTCTTTCCATTTTCTCCACTGCTTGGGACATTCTCCTGGTTGAAATTTCTCCCAGCCTTCAGTGTACTCATAGGCTCTTCATGGCTCTCTCAGCCTGAGTGCTCTCAGTCCCCTTTGAAACTCCTCTAACGCTTACTGCCTGTATTATTCATTTTGATAATCAACAACTGACATAATTTCTTCTGTAGCTGCTTAAGCTGTTAGTACCCATATTGTTGTTTGTATGTTTTTATATTTTGCTTCTCCAACAGTCTATAACTTCCTTAAGGGTTGGGATTGTGTTTGACACTTTTGTAGCTTGCTATAGCCATCATATTTTCATCCAATATGAAAATACTAGCTCCAGTGACTGTATTTTGAACATCATAGTATTTGCTGACCTTCGGTTCTGTTTTAACCTGTCCAAACAATCAGGAAGATTAGGGAAGATTCTGAGGGCCCCAGGGGGATAACGGATTTGAGGATCCCAACTTTCCCCAGGGTGGAGGGCATTGAATGGGTAAATTCAGGAAGGACATTTTTTTCCCCTGGTTTTCTTATCCCCTTTTATAGGTGAGTTTTCTCTAATCACAAAGGAAGTGATGAATATCGTCTTGCCTCAGGTTCCACAGTGGATTCCTAGTTCTACTTACAATGGGGTCCTTTTCCTGAAGGGAATAGCCTAGTTTGATCCTAGTCTCTTGAGATAATTGTCCCTGAAAACCCAGGATATGATGTCAACTCAGTTAAACTTTTTTGATCCTAACTGTCCAGAAATAAGTTAAAAATGGATGTTTATACTTTGCTGTTAAGTAGGTCAAAAAACTGCAGAGCAATTTAGCCTTATATGGATCAGAGAAATAATTGCAAGCACATAGGTTAACAAGAAATTAAAGGCAGGAAATCTTTGGCTAGGAGTGTAATGTACTTTCTTTTTAGAAAAGACAGTGCATCCTGAGGATTCTGCATTAGTTTTCTTTCCACTTCCAGGGTTGAAAGGCTGATGGGCATAGAGCTAGTGGCTTTATGGCATATGGGCTGGCTCCAAGCCTTTCCTGGGGGAGCCTGGTGCACCGGTTTCTCCAGTAACGTGAAACCTTATTAATTTGTAAGGGGTGATAATCAAAACTGTAACTCAGCTGAAACTTGCCTATGTGTTATGCAAAGAAAGGGCCAGAAATTAATGATATGAGCCAGAGAGCTGAGAGAATGTTCAAAAGAGCAAACATTTTAAGCTCTCTCAGCTCCTATAGAAACATTTATTTATGTGGAAACAGCTGACCTGCTAATTAGAAAACATCCTTGCCTATTCATTAAACCAATTATCCTGAGGAATTCTGCTAAGCAACACTTAGTCCAGTTCTAATTATTGTGTGTCCTTGAAAGCAATAAACTGTACTTTTAGAATAAAATGTTATAATGTAGGCATATACATGGTTTACTCAGACATTTCCCATAATTGGAGTGAGATAGTAATGAGGGGTTATGCTTGTTTCTTATAAAAAGAATTTAACCACCTTCTCTTCATAGGGAGATTAGTGAATTATTAGATAATTTTTTTTTTAAGAGTTTCGCTCTTGTTGCCCAGGCTGGAGTGCAGTGGCGTAGTTTCAGCTCACTGCAACCTCCGCCTCCCGGGTTCAAGCGATTCTCCTTTCTCAGCCTCCCGAGTAGCTGGGATTATAGGCACCCGCCACCACGCCCAGCTAATTTTTGTATTTTTAGTAGAGATGGGGTTTCACCATGTTGGCCAGATTGGTCTCGAACTCCTGACCTCAGGTGATCCGCCCGCCTTGGCCTCCCAAAGTGCTGGGATTACAGGCATGAGCCACTGTGCCCAGCCTAGATAATGTTATGTATAGACCTGAGAAATCCTTGGAAATCATTATTGTTATAAATGAGAGGTTTTTTTTAAGGTTATCTTTTTGGATTACCTTGCATCTTAACTAAAAAAAGTCTTTTTAGGGAATAAACATCATTATGACTTAAGACATTGATGAAGTTTTTTTTCATAATCTCCAACATCATGTTTAAATTTAAATAAAAATGAAGCGAATCAGTTTTCTTGAAGCCACTTTACTCTGTATCTCCCATTTTATCCTGCATAGCTTTTACTAACAAAAACACTGGTTAAGAAATGTAGTAAAAGACCACACAAGGTCTCCTCAGTGTTCTGCAGATAACAGCAACTGTGTCAACAAGCGAGCCGGCCTAAAATGACAAGCCGATATTGTCAAGGAGAACTTGGGCCAGCTCTAGGCTGGTGTTTGGATGGGGGCATAGCTTTCACGCTTAGGAGCATGTGCTTCAGAGGCCACTGCCTGGCTTTGAAAGCTCCATTCAACCCTATGATCTGGGCATTCTCCCACTGGGTAAGCCTGAACAAGTTACTTTGAGCTGTGCGTGTCAGTTTCCTTCTCTGTAAATGGAGGAAACAATGGCCTCCACCACAAGGGATTATTGTGAGGGTTAAATGAGTTCCTCCATGCAAAGGTGCTCTTTCATAGTAAGGGTTTCATTTACAGGTCCATTTGCTCACTCATTCATTCAGCCCCTATCTGTTGTGCCCTTACTATGTGCCAGGCCCTGCTATGGAGGCTGGTATTGAGGGGTCAGCCATCAGAGGAGATCTCTGTCCTATTGGAGCATATAATTCAGTGGAAAGAGATCATAAATAAGTAAATGAATCACCAAGTCCAGATAGTAATAAATGTTGCAAAGACAATATATAAGGGAATACAGTGATTGGGTTATGAGGAGAGAGGTCAACATTAGCTAGGGTGGGCAGGAGTGGTCTCTGAGAAGGTGACATTTGAGCTGAGACCTGAATGACAAGAGACCAATGTCAGCTCTCTTTAAGAAAGTTTTCCTTTGTTTTAGTGGCTCTCTCCATACTCTTATTTTAAACTCACTTAACATCAATATAAAAGTGTCCTTTGCAGCAGGACACTTTTAGGAGGTCTTGAGCCCCTCTCCCACCAGCACTCATCTGTGTACAAACAAGTTGTTGCTAGTGGTGTTGGAGCTCGTTTTTCCCAAGCTTCACCTTGGCATTACCCAGATCTGTTCAACCCTGGGCATCTCTTCCTCCCAGCTGGATGCTCACCCAACTTGTTCTGCCTCAGTTTCTGGAGGAGCCTGACTCTATTTTTGCCCCCCTTGAAAGAAAGTACAGGACTGGGTTGAGGCAGCTGCTCACACTCACCAGAGGCCTCCATATCTTGTAGGCCACACTGGCTGCCATCAAGAGCTGGCAGTCCTGAGAAAGCAGAAAGCAGATGGTGAGGTAGAAGGAGCGAGTGATATGGAAGGGCACAAAACAGAGGGTGAAGAGGCCACACACCAGTAGGATGGTCCGGATGGACCTGGCTCGGGCTGTGTTGCCTGTCCTCATGAGGTTCTCCTCTGGCTTGATCAGGCTCCTGACCATCAGTGAATAGCACACCAAAATGACCAAGGAGGGAAAGAAAGCCAGACAATGTCAGAACTATGCCGTAGGCAAAAAGCCGATCAAAATTCTCTTGGCTGGTCATGTCATACCAGATCATCTGGCCATTGATGTAGTCCGTGTGGGAGAAGGCCAGTGTGGGCAGCAGCTGGAGGACCACCAGGGCCCAGGTGGTGCTGGTGCCCAGCCAGGCATGCCTGCGGGTCCGGTAGGGCAGCGAACACAGTGGGTGGCACACACCTAGGAACTGGTGCACAGAGATGCAGGTCAGCAGCAGGATGCTGCCGTAAAGGTTGATATAGAACAGGAAGTGCACCAGCTTGCAGAGCAGCTCCCCGAAGGGCCACCTGTCATCTAGTGAGTAGGTGATGATGAGGAAGGGCAATAGCACATAAAGCAGGTCGGCCACCATCAGGTTCACCAGATAGGTGGTGGCACAGCTCCAGCGCTTGGTTTGGCCCCAGGAGTGCCACAAGACAGTGCCATTTAGTGGCAGCCCTAGGATAAAGATGATACTGTAGGCCAGGGAGAGGTAGACTTGCTTGTACTTCTCTGAGAACTGGCAGAGACCTTGTTCCTGTGATGTATTCATGTCCACCTTCTCCATGTCCCGGGAGGCTCCCTCCAGGAGCAGAGCTCCACGACGGCTCCCGCTTCTGCTTCCCCTGGAAGGAAGCAAAATGGACAGCATAACATCATGACCTCAGCATGGCATCAGCCTCTGCCCCAACCCGGCATTCAACTTTGTCCCCCAAAGTCTAGTCAGAGGCCTTGTTTAAAAGAGACCAACCCCAGGAAAATAGAGTATTCAACAAGGGCCAAATAATCTTCCAAAGCTGGGCGTCTAGACTTACCAGGTCCAAAGGGTTGGCCTTACATGGACTTGTATGCTGTCTACTCTAGGCTGGGTTGTGATAGAAATGGTGGTGGGATGACACTGTCATTTAAACAGGGTACTCAGAACCTCCAGCTCTGTGTCTCCTCCTGCTAGAATCCATTGCATAGAGTCAGAAAATCTCCAAGGGGAGGTATTCTAGCCAGAAAAGCAGGTATATTCCCAGGGGCCGAAACTGCCCACAATTTGGTCCTAACCACATAGGCCATAGTAGAGTAGCAAGTGACCCTTGGGGATTAGAGAGGATTAGGGAAAGCCCAGGTTTTGCCTACAGGCTCTGCTGGAGGATTTTGATTTGTATCTCTTTCAGGATTTCTTAACTGAGTATTTGAATACTGGGGCTGATTTGCTTATTAACCATCTTAGCATCTGAGCATCCAAGAAAACAAATCTGAGCCATGAAGCCAGGTGCAGCTTCTTCCTTATTCCTTCCTTGCTGACAAAGTAGATGCAATAGGTGGGCCCAAGTAGCTAAGGAAGCCGTGTGCAGAGCCTGAAGGGGTGCCAGTGTGTGGGCCAGCCAATCAGCATGGAGCCCACGGGAACTGAAAGATGTTTAATTCTGGGGCTTCATACTAGAAACTTAATATTTAGAAAGACAGGTTAAAACAAGGGAAGAGAGAAAAGCATAAGTTAGGTAATTTTGGGGATAAGTTGAGTGTTGCCTGCAAACTATGGTATAGACAGAACCAAAGAAACAGAGACTTAATTAACTCTGTCAATCAACATTTATTGAGCATTTGTTGAGTCAGGCACTGGGAACATGAAGATGAATAAGACACAGCTCTTGCTTTCCAGGAACTCACAGTCTGGTGGGGGAAGACATAAATGGATACAGCTGATTGTAAAATGATGTGAAAAATGGTCAACAAAGTGCTGTGAAAATCAGCAGGATACAGCCAATTCTCCCCTGAGGGAATTGAGGGCAGGCTTCTTAGAATAGGCAGCATTTGAACTGCTTGGGAGAAGAAACATGAGCTTGCTAGCAGAGACGGGTGAGAGGCATTGGGTAGGGGGACTGCACACCCAAGGGAATGGAAGCCGAAAGGGCACAGTGTGTCCAGGGAGGGCAGGAGAGTCAGCCGCTGTAAGGAGGATGTCTTAGCAGGACAGTGATGGAATATGGCTACTGTGATGGTTAGTTTCAGGTATCAACTTGACCGGGTTAAGGGATACCCAGGTAGCTGGTAAAGTGTTATTTCTGGGTATGCCTTTGAAGGTGTTTCTGACAGAGATTAGCCTGTGAGTCAGTGGACCGAGTAAGGAAGAGCCACCCTCACCCAGTGTGAGCGGGCACCATCCAATCAGGTTGAGGGCCTGGATAGAAAAAAAAGGCAGAGGAAAAGCATATTCACTGTTTCTGCTGGAGCTGGGACACTCTTCTCCTGCCCTTGGACATCAGAACTCCAGGTTCACTGGCATTTGGACTCTGGGACCTGCACCATCTGCCCTCTGGGTTCTCAGGCCTTCAGCCTCAGACAGTTACACCATTGGATCCCCTGATTCTGAGGCCTTTTGACTCAGAATGTGCCACACCGCCGGCATCCCTGCTTCCCCCGCTGGCAGATGGCATATCGTCGGACTTCTCGGCCCCATAACTGCTCAAGCCAACTCCCATAGCAAATCCCCTCTCCTGTATCTGTATAGGAAGTATAGATGGCAATATGGTCCTGGGCCTGGAACAGAGAGAGTGACTGGTCAGACCAGTGTGGGGCTGTTGAAGTGCACGCAGGTGACAAATGACCAGCATCCCAAGCAAGCCCATGCAGGGTGGATGCAGAGCAGGAGATGCTGCTGAGGCAGGAGTGACGGGCCTCATTGGATGTGAGGCATGAGCCAGATGAGTTGAGGGTGTGTCTGAGCTCTACAATGTTGATGACTGTGTGGGTGGTGAGGGTCTGAGGTGAGCACCAGGCTGAGGACTGGAGTTCTGAGGTTGGTGCGGGGGACAGTGGCTCTCCATGAGGTTGGTGCAGGGGACGGTGGCTTTCCATGCCTCAGCCTGCTGAGGGGCTCACCACCCTGCTCCCTGGCTTTAAAATCTGGAGAGCAAAGTTTTTATGGCTGGGCGAGTAAAAAAGCTGTTTTCATTCATTTTGTACCCTATAATTTGTTCATCTGGGGGGCTGGAAAATGCTTAGTAATTTCTGGTGAAGCTGCCTTCCCATCTCCGTGTTGGCTCTTGGAGGGAAGCCGAGGCGGGAATCCACCATGATTTAGCACTGGCTTGGGTCTGGCAGTCCACCCACATGATCTTACTTAATCCTCAGAACAACCTTGTGAGCAAAACATTATTACCCCTGTTTTATGATGAGGAGATTGAGGGTCAGAGAATCCTCTAGGGCCTATTAGGACCCCTAGTCTAGTAGGCAGTACTCTGATCTGGCCCATGGGCTAATGCCCTTCAAAGGACTGTTTTGGGGTAGTGAGAAGTGCTCAAATCCCACCTGTGCCAGGAACAAGTATGCCTTCTAAAGCGCTCACCATATCTCTGAGCCATGATTTCCTCAGCTGTTGTAAAATGAGACAATCCCTTTCTGGGGAGACTGCTGTGAGAATTACCTAGAAGAGAGGCAAGTGCCCCACAGGGCTGCCACGAGGGAGAGAACCCACACATTTTCTCTTTCCCTCTCTTCCCTCTGCCTCTTTTAGAGACAGTGGTAACCTGGAGACCTGAGCTCTTTGGTTTATGTGGCTGGGTGGGAGGGCAGGTGTGGCTTTGCTACCCCAGGATGGACAGGGTCACTTTATCCCTGTCTGTTACTGTCTGTGGACCCAATTTTATCCACCACTGATTCATATGTTGAAGCCCTAACCCCAACGTGACTGTATTTGGAGTAAGAAAGTAATTGTGGTTAACTGAGGTCATAAGGATGGGGCCTAATCTGATATGATTGGTGTTCTTATTAAAAGGAACACTGGCTGGGCACGGTGGCTCATGCCTGTAATCCCAGCTCTTTGGGAAGTAGAGGTGGGAGGATCATTTCAGGTCTGGAGTTCGAGACCAGCCTGGCCAACATGATGAAACCCCATCATTACTAGAAATACAAAAATTAGCAGGGCGTGTTGGCGAGCGCCTGAAATCCCAGCTACTCGGGAGGTTGAGGCAGGAGAATTGCTTGAACCCGGGAGGCAGAGGTTGCAGTGAGCCAAGATTGTGCCACTGGACTCCAGCCTGGGAGACAGAGTGAGACTCCGTCTCAGGGAAAACAACAACAGCAACAACAACAACAACAAAACAGAAACAAAGGGACACCAGAAAGCTTGCTCTCTCTGCCATGTGAACACATGGATTTAAATCTGTGAGTTGACTTTAGCATTTAATATTTTATCTCCATCTGGAGAATATCTTGAACAAATGAAACCATTTGATGGAGTCTCATAAATGCCTTCAGACAGTAAAAGTTTGTTTTTATAAGTTTTTAAAAATAATAACTTGATTCATATGTACAATTCTTAATTTGCAAAGATGAACTAGGGACTTATTTACATCACAGCATAATTACTTGATTTTTAACAGGTTTATATAAGGGGGGCCCCCTGTGTACAATTAATTAGGTGGTGGATTAAAGTAGCAGGTGGTTTTTTTGGAATTAATTTTCTAACGTGCTTCAAATCCACTGGATAACTTGATGTTATTTGTCCACCTGACCACTAGGTGGCAATAAAGACCAACAGGTTACAATCCCTCCCGCTACCTGCTGCCCCGCCTCAACCCCAGAAATGGAAGCCAGAATTAGGGTCTTGTCCAGGTATAGCAGCTGTGAAAGAGATATGATTCATTGAAGACATGTAAAAAAATCCCACCGATCAAAGAATCTCCTATTGGTCTGTTGTCTGCAGTTACTATGTTAGGTTCACACAAAGGAATAGAGTGTAGCCAGTTGAAAGCTGCCTGTTGGGATGATTCTTCAGACTATCCCGTGAGATAGGCATGGCAGGCACCTTTCCCCCATTTTACAGCTGAGGAAACTGAGGTTCAGAGAGGTTAAGTAGAAGTCATGTCTGTGGTGATTTGGGGAAAGCCTGGACTTTTTACAAAGCAAAGATTCAGCAAGTTCCCAGATTTCCGGGGAATGTTTTCTTACCTACTTGTCCCTCCAGTGCCTGTCACCACCACCTGGAAGAAGAAAGACATGGAAATAAAATAGCAAGTCATCTCTCAAGTCACTAGATATAGCACCTCTGTCATAGATGACAGAACCCTAGCTCAAAAAGCATGATCTGGAGATAATAAAAAGAAAGATAATATATAATATTAAAATAAAAACTGACAAGAGTGAGACCCCTCTCCCATCCAAGTACTAACCAGGCCCAACCCTGCTTGGCTTCTGATATCAGGCGCATTTAAGGTGGCATGGCTGTAGACACATAGCAACCCTATACTCAGTTTAAGATATACCTTGAGTCTGATCATAAACGGCACTGATGTTAGCTTTTTAATGATTTTGTATTATATTTTTACAACGTAGGCTTACATTTTCTCTGTACCTGGGCCCCTCTTCCATGTTTGAATTGTCCTGAAATATGGGAATCCAAGGGCTTTTATTTTTTCACAATCAAAGCAAATTGGGTTCTTTAAATAATTTAGAAGACTTTCTAGAGACAGTGAGTACTTAATTTCAATAATTAATTTGTACAGCAGCTTGCACATTTTTGTGTTCTGTTTACAAGGATCTGACACAAGTTCAACTTTGTGTAAACAGGGAGTGATTGGGAAACTTGTATTGTCACAGCAGAGAAGGTGGCTGCTCTGAAATCAGTGTGACTCTGGAAAAATAATTACTACCTTTCTCTTTTTAATCCGTATGTACATTTGTGTGATACCCCAAATTGACTCTGAAATCAGAATTTTTAAACTCAATTAATGATGTGGTAAAAATAGCTGTAGCTATATTGTCCTGTAGTTGTGAAAGCCCATCACTGCCTCTAGGCTCAGGACTCTGAAAGGGGATTTTGAAAAAATCTTTTTCCTTTTACTTTCATTTAGCATCAAAGATCTTTAAATGCATCATGACTGAGTCTTTCCTGTGTGCTGTGTATGAAGAAATGTAAAAAGCTGGTTTGGTTTGGGGCAAGATAAGATATCAGTTGCAGAGCCGGGGGCTCCAGGAGTCGTGGCAAAGTTGCCTAAGGCATCTGCAGAGTAGGGGCTGTATCCCAGGACCCCTCCTTTGATCTGGTCTTACCCTCAGGCAGCATGTTCCCCTGACAGCCTGCCTGGAAAATGCTACTTACAGTGCTAACACCCTGGTGTGCTGCCCACCATCAGAGCTTTCTTGTTGCTATAGGATTTCTGGGGTGGGAGGGTGGTGCTGGCGGGGGAAGAATCTACAGCAGCTCTGGACACTCAACATGTTGGGGAGGAGGGAGAACCATGCTGTCTTAGCCTGAGTCACCCAGAAAGCAGAGCCAAGGCTGAATGGGCTACCGTTTTATTGGAGAGTGTAATCCGAGGGAGCAGGAGTGAGGGACAGGGGAATGACCTGTTGAAGGCGGGAGAACCAAATGTGAGGATTTGAAGATGCATTATTGAGTTGGCCCACACCCAAGGCAACTGAGTGCTCAATCCCAAGGGACGGTCCTCTGAGAATCTGAAACCTGCATCTCCTGTGTCTCAGGAATCGATTGTGCCTCATATCCTCAGGCACAGGAGAGGGAAGCATTTATCCAGCAGCTCCTGTCTCCTTCTGGCCAGGCCCACACTCCCTGGATGAGCTTCAGGGCTGCTCTTCCTGCAGGGGCTTTGAGAAAGTTCTCCTCCAAAGGGGGCTGTGACAGCGGGTGCATGGCACATCCTGTGAGAACAGAAGAGGATCAGAAAGAGAAGACACACTTAAAGAGAGAGGATTTCCTTTGTCACGGACCCTATTTTACTTTTGCCCTTTGAAGTATTAATCCCTCCCTCCCCACATACTCCTGGGTGCCTCTTCATGGGAGATGAAGGGTTCATGCTGTATCTGGCCCTGGATAGTTTCATGGGAAGTGATTTTTCCAGTTTCTTTTTACTGTTATTTTTTCTATTGACTTGTCTATCTTTTGGTTATTGATTTCTAGGAGTTTTAAAAATATATTTTGGGTAAAAGTCTTTACATTACACATTACAATAATTTTTTTCCTACTCTGTGCCTTACCTTTTCTCTGGCATAATGGTATATATGTATTTTTTTTTGAGGATTGGAAGTTCTTAATTTTAATATAGTCCAAATTATCAATTTTTGTTTTATGGTCCTACTTTTTGTATCTGGTTTAAGAATCTTTCTCTACCTTGGGGTCATAAAGATATTCTGTGTTACCGTAGGGAAGCCTTTCCCCTTTAGATCAAATTGATTTGGACCACTAAAGTGTTTAGTGTTTGTGTGTGTGTCTCACCAGCTCTGTGTGTGTGTGTAAGAAAAACAGAGAAACCTGCTCAAATTTGCATATTGAAAAAATATCACTCTGCTGTTTGGAGAGCAAGGAACACTGGGAGATGAATTAGGAGGCTATTGCTCTAGTCTGGAAGATAGATGAGGAATAGGTGGGTATGTAGGGGGCTAATGAATATGACTTGGTGATGAATGAAATATGTGGGTGAGGGAGGGCTTAAAGACTACCCCTAGCAACTCTTCTGCTGCTATCAACCAATGCCTTCATCTTTCTTCTATTATTTCATTGCTTTCTTCTAAACACTTCCTGTTTCTTCCTTGCCTCTCCTGACTCTGCCTTCTCTCTGAGCATCCTTTGTCTTCTGCTCCTGTTGCAAATTACTAACTGCAGGCAGAGCCAAAGAAATTTTCCCAAGACACTGATTGGCCCAGGTAGTCAGCATTATTTCTGTTTGGGTAGGACAGCACAGCCAGACCTCTCACAGGCAGTAGGTCAGCACACATATTAACTGGCTGGGTGGCCCCTTCACTATGGCCAGAGGCTGGTGTCATGTGGCTCACGGAGTTAATGAGCAGTGCATACTTGATGGAGATGAACATTCAGGGTTGCTCTGTCTTTAGGGTCTTTCAGAAACATAGTTCCCCTCAGAAGGGGGCTGTGAGTAACAGGTGCATGGCATGTATGGAAGAGCAGCAGAAAGAGAAGATACACTCAAGAGGGCAAATTTTCTTTTTCACTTTATGTTTTTAAATAATGTCTAAATTATGAACTTGCTTTCTGAAACACATACTTAGAAATTTCTCATGACTCTAAAACAAATGTGAATAGCAAATATAATATTTGAAGCTGGCCTCCAACACAGAGAGTTTCATTTATTAATAGTATGCCAGTCAGAGCTTTGGCTCTGAGATATTTTGTTCATGCATAAACCATATATTTGAATTGACAGTACTATTAATGATGGAATGCAGTTATGTATATTATGGTAAAAGAGCAAAGTGTGTATTTTTGAATCCGATTATATACAAGACAGATTAAAAACAGTACTTTTAGAAAATGAATATAACCCTTGATTTCCTGTTCAGTAAAACATGTCAATGGGGAGGTCTCTGAAAGCCTTACAGTGAAATATGAGGGGAAGGTGTGGAGTTGCAAGGGGTTTCATTTAAACACAAGGCTCGTGTATTAATATTTTCATTGATTTATTTTCCTGCCAATATGTTCTGACATAAATATGGTGATCTATAATGTATCGACCATAAAAGTCAACATTATTTTTAAAGCTGACTCAGGGAAATAAAACCTCATTGTTAGTGCTGATATATACGGTATGTTATCCTGTTGAAAACTTAACCCCTCTTGTCCTGCTCCCAACTGAACTAAATAAGAGGTAAGCACTTTGACAGCTGCTGACCTTTTGTGCATGTTTTGCCCTATGGCCAGTGCCTGGTTTGCAATGGGATTGGCCCATGATGTGAAGTAAAGGGCAGCACATATTCAACACTCTTCAGAGAAGACTCTGCCAAGAATGAGAAGTGATCAGCAAAAATCTTTGCATTTTAGAGGATCAAAAGGCCCGTGAAACTTTTCTGGACACATACCATGGAGCCCATAACCTGTATCGTTGTTGAACAGTGAGAGCAATGACAAGAGGAGAAGTGGTGCAGAGGCCCCAGCTCAGAGGGGAGATGTGGAAAGCATCAGCCATGGATGCTCACAGAGAAAAGCCTGAGTCTGGGATGCCAGAAGCAAGGGCTGCACACCCTGTCTTCTGCACAAACCAACCACAACAGTGATTTGGGCTTCAATAAAATAATCACTACGAAATGAAAATCGAGCCAAGGAGAATTTAATTTAGTGGCATAGGAAAGAATGCTAATGAGACCTGGGGGGATCTGGATGACCTCTCCTACTTAGTTTCAGGACAGTATAAGTTTGGTAAAAATAGCAAAATACTGAGAATTTTAAAGCAAAAGGGGCCCCCAGGTGCCAGGCAGGTGTAGTCACTTGATAGATGAAGAAACTGTTAAACCCAACAGGTTAAGTAAGTGATTTATCCATGGTCAAATAGCTGGTTAGTGGCTGAGCTGTGTCTGGAATCCAGATTTCTGGTTCTCTGTCTAGGGCTCTTTCTACTCCACGTTATCACTTAGAAGCCATGACTGTACAGCCATGACTGTACACATACGTGGAGGATATCCACAGGACCACTTGAATTTGGTTCTAATCCACCCCTGCACTGCAACTGATCTTGTCAAGGCTCCCCGTGGCCTCCATGTTGTCAAATTCTGCGGAAACTTTCCTGACTCATTTAAACCTCTAATCAGTGTATTCTGCAGTTGAGCACTCCTTGAAGCAGTCTCTTTTCTTGCTTTCTCCATTAGTTAGGACTTTCTTGCTGATGAGAAAAACCCAGGCCAAATGCAGCCAGGCAAAATGATAATCCATTGGCTCATATACTCAAATTTTCCTGGTGAGGGTGGCTTTAGGTATGGTCTCATGCCAGAGCTCAGATGGTGTAGCTAGGACTGCTTTTTGTCTATTTCTTGGCTCCATTTTCTCCAGGTTGGTTCCATTCTCATACGTGCTTTACTCTCCCCTCATGGTGACAAGATGGCTGCTATGGATTCTGCTCTCATTTACTTACGTGCCAACCCAGCAAGAAAAATTACACCTCAGCCAGCAAGTCCTGGGATTAGTACAGACTGGGTCTTTTATCTTGTCTTAAGCTCCGTGTTCATCACTGAAGCAACTGCTGTGGCCAGAGTGATGGAATACATTGATTGGCAAAGTCCTTAGTCAAATTCTTCAACCCTAGACCTATGGGAGAATTAGTCTCACCCAAATCTCGTGTATTTAGAGTGAGAGAAAGGCAGTTCCCCTAAAGAGTATTTGGGTTTCTGTTACCACAAAAAAGGGACTGAATACTGGGAAGCAGAAACAACAAATGCCCATAACTTCTCTTACATCACACTTTCCTGTTATACCTCCTACCTCACTCTCTCAGTCCTGCTCATGGTGTCACCCTCCTCAACTGGCCTCTGATGTTGGAATTCCTCCGGGTTCAATTTCAAGCCTTCTTCCCTCCCATGTCTATACTTGCCCCCAAGGCGATTTCATCCAGTGCATTGTGAGAGGAGAAGTTTATTGTAGCCCAAGGCACTTTGAGTCAACCTTGGCTAAGGTTGTAGTTGAAATTGTAGGCCATATAATTTAATGATAAATAATTTAATGGGAAATCGTGAGAGGAAGAAAGACTGTTGACACAAGTGTCTTTGAGAATGTGAAGCACTGAGCTACTCCTTATCGTTTGCTCAAAAGATAAGGAACGCAGTTGAGGGATATTTACAAATAGTTACCATAAAGGCACAAAGAATAAAGTATATTAGCTAGATGGGCTAAAAGTCCTGTTAAGGTTAGATCTCTATATACTTGCTCTTCTCATTGTAAAATTGAATTTGTGGCTGATTTATTTGCTGGAAAGGTAAAGGGATTTCCTGGGATGTTTCCCTTCTTTCTTACAGAGGTTTATTGTAATCATCTATGGAATATAATCTTTGACCATGAGGCTATGGTTACTGCAAAGTTTCTTTTAAATATTCGTTGTGGGGAATTGCATTTATTCACTTTGTGTGTGTTATAAGACATTGTATATATTAGAGTATGTCTAGGGTAGGAGATTGCATTCATGTACTTAGGCTGCCATGTGCCCACCAACACTGCAAACGACATCACTGACTTTATTCCTTAACTCCTTTTCCACATAAATTCATAAATCCAATTTCTAGTCAGAAACCATCAAGCCACTTTATCTTGGTTTTCTCATTATAGGTTTATTTGAGAAAAATAAGCTTGTGATTCTAGCAAACACAATTTCTAAATAGTATAGGAAACTTCCTTTCTTCACACCATTTATGTCTTGACAAACCCCTAATTCATATCCATAGCTCTGTTCTGTCCTCTGAGCTCCTGACTCTTATATAAAATTGCCTGCTTAGCACCACCTGGATACTTTACAGATTTCACTGACTTAATATGGTCACAAGTGAACTCCTAATTTCCTCTATTTTTCCTCCCACTAAATTTGCCACTCTACTCAACATTGTTTGTCATTTCAGTAAATGGCACTCTTATGTATCTAGTCATTCAAGCAAAAATCCTAGAAATCATTGTCTATTTTTCTCTTTTTCCTGCTCTCACATCAGTCCATCACAAAGTCCTTTCAAATATCTGTTAAACCATCCACTTCTGTTCACTCACTGCATCACCTTGGTCTTTGCCACTGTGACCTCTTGCATGGCCCTCTTCAATGGTACTCCTCACTGGTCACAATGCCCCCTTCTATCGTACTTCAGCACAGCAGCGATGTTCATAGAAATGAAGCACAAGTCAGACCATGTGCCCTTCTAAGCTCCCTATTGTTCTTTGGAATAAAATGCAAATGTCTTCCCGTGGACTGCAAGGTTCTGTGTCATCTTGTTCTTGCCATATTCCAACCTTGTCTTGTCTACTCTACTTTTCAGTTGTGGGGACACACCCACACCGGCTGCCTGCAGTATATGAGGTGAGGTATGATTTGGAAACTGAACACATAGACACACAGACACACAGACACGTACACACACAAACCCCACCCTTATTGGTATAGTCAAGGCCCAGAAACTTCTGAGAAAAAGGATGGCCACAGAGGATGGGAGCAGATGCAGCATATTTTCATAGTGCTTTTTTTCTCATTGCTAATTCCTCATTGAGATGTCTGTGCTGAGCAGAATAGGGTCTTGCTGGTTCTAAGAAACAGCCAGATTTTTGCTGTACCCCAAGTATTTTATATGTAAGACACACATCAAGACTTAGCTTAGTGTTCTATGTACTGTCTCCTTACACTTACCTGATTTGAACCAAATTCAGCATCAGCCAAGCCACATCCTTGTTGGAGGAGAGTCAGTATTCAATTATGTAGGAAAAATATTTCTGCCTCTAGCTATCCAGAATTTATTTTATTTTATTTTTATTAATTTTAAAAATTTTTAGTAGCTTTTGGGGGTACAAGTGGTTGTTGGCTACATGGATGAATTGTATAGTGGTGAAGTCTGAGATTTTAGTGACCCCATCACCTGAGTAGTGTACAATGTACCCAATATGTAGTTTTTTATCCCTCCCCCTCCCACCTTCCTTCTGAGTTTCCAAAGTCCCTTGTCACTCTGTATGCCTTTGTGTACCCATAGCTTAGCTCTCACTTATAAGTGAGAGCGTACAGTACTTAGTTTTCCATTCCTGAGTTATTTAACTTAAAATAATGCCTCCAGCTCCATCCAAGTTGCTGCAAAAGATATTATTTCATTCCTTTTTATGGCTTAGTAGTATTCCATGGTGTATATATATCACATTTTCTTTATCCACTCATTGGTCGATGGGCACTTAGGTTGGTTCCATATCTTTGCTGTTATGAATTGTGCTGCAATAAATACACATGTGCAGGTATCCTTTTGATATATTTGCTGCTTTTCCTTTGGGTAGATACCCAGTAGTGGGATTGCTGGATCGAAAGGTAAACTTACTTTTAGTTCTTTAGGAAATCTCCATACTGTTTTTCATAGAGGTTGTACTAATTTACACTCCCACTAGCAGCGTATAAGTGTTCCTTTTTACCACGTCCATGCCCACATCTACTATTTTTTTACTTTTTAATAATTTTTTGACTTTTTACTCTTCCAGGAGTAAAGTGGTTTTAATTTACATTTCTCTGATGAATAGTGATGTTGAACATTTTTTCATGCATTTGTTGACCATTTGTACATCTATCTTCTTTTGAGAAATGTCTATTCATGCCCGTTGTCCACTTTTTTGGTGGGATTATTTATTTATTTTTTGCTGATTTGTTTGTGTTTCTTGTAGCTTCTGGATATTAGTCCTTTGTCAGATACAGTTTGCAAATATTTTCTCCCATTCTGTGGGTTGTCTGTTTACTCTCATGATTATTTCTTTTGCTGTACTGAGGCTTTTTAGTTTAATCAGTTCCCATTTACATATTTTTGTTTTTGTTGCATTTGCTTTTGGGGTCTTAGTTATGACTTCTTTGCCTAGGCCAATGTCCAGAAGAGTTTCTTCTACATTATTTTCTAGAATTTTTATAGTTTTTGTTCTTAGATTTAAGTCTTTGATCCATCTTGAGTTGATTTTTATATAGGTGAGAAATAGGGATCCAGCTTTATTCTTCTGCATGTGGCTAGCCACTTTTCCAAGCACCATTTATTAAATAAGGTGTCCTTTCCCCAATTTATATTTCTGCATGCTTTGTTGAAGAAGTATTTGGTTTAATTCCAGGTTCTCAGTTATGGTTTATTGGTCTATGTGTCTACTTTTATACCAGTACCATGCTGTTTGGGTGATTATAGCCTTGTAGTATAATTTGAAGTCTGATAATGTGATACATCCAGATTTATTTTTTTTCTTAGGATTGCCTTGGCTACTTGGGCTCCTTTTTGGTTTCATATGAATTTAAGGATTTTTTTTCCTAATTCTGTGAAAAATGATATTGGTAGTTTAATAGGAATTGCATTAAATCTGTAGATTGGTTTGGGCAGTATGGTGATTTTTACAATATTGATTCTTCTAATCCATGAGCACGGAATGTATTTCCATTTGTTTGTGTCATCTCTGATTTCTTTCAGCAGTATTTTGTAGGTTCTCCTTGTAGATATCTTTCACCTCCTTGGTTAAGTATATTCCTAGGTACTTTATTTTATTGTTTGCATATGTTGTAAAAGGGATTGAGTTCTTGATTTGATTCTCAGCTTGGTCATTGTTGGTGTATAGCAGTGATACTGATTTGTGTACATGGATTTTCTAACCTGAGACTTTACTGAATTTGTTTATCAAATCTAGGAGTCTTTTGGAGGAGACTTTAGGGTTTTCTAGGTATACAATCATATTATCAGTGAACAGCGATAGTTTGACTTCCTCTTTTCCAATTTGGATGCCCTTTATTTCCTTCTCTTGCCTAATTGCTCTGGTTAGGTCTTCCAGTACTATGTTGAATACAAACTGTGAAAGTGGGCATCCTTGTCTTGTTCCAGTTCTTAAGGGGAATTCTTTCAACTTTTCCCCATTCCATATGGTGTTGGCTGTGGATTTGTCTTATATGACTTTTATTATTTTGAGGTAAGTCCCTTCTATGCCTAGTTTGTTGAGGGTTTTTATCATAAAGGAATGCTGGAATTTAATGAATGCTTTCTCTGCATCTGTTGAGATGATCACATGGTTTTGGTTTTTAATTCTGTTTATGTGATGTATCACATCACATAATGTATACACATTGACTTGTGTATGTTAAACTATGCCTGCATCCCTGGGATGAAACTCACTGGATCATGGTGTATTATCATTTTGATGTGCTGTTGGATTTGGTTAGCTAGTATTTTGTTGAGGGTTTTTGCATCTATATTCATCAGGGATATTGGTCTGTAGTTTTCTTTTTTATTATGTCCTTTCCTGGTTTTGGTATTGGGATGATACTAGCTTCATATAATGAATTAGGGAGGATTCCCTCTTTCTCAATCTTTTGGAATAGTTTTAGTAGGATTGGTACCAGTTCTTCTTTGAATGTTTGGTAGAATTCAGGTATGAATCTATCTGGTCCTGGACTTTTTTTTTGTTGGCAGTTTTTTATATATTATTATTACCAGTTCAATCCTACAAGTTGTTATTCGTCTGTTCAGTGTTACTATTTCTTCCTGATTTATTCTAGGAGGGTTGTATGTTTTCAGGATTTATCCATTTTCTTTAGATTTTCTAGTTTGTGTGCATAAAACTATACATAGTAGTCTCCAATGATCTTTTGTATTTCTGTGGCATCAGTTGTAATGTCTCCAGTTTTATTTCTGATTGATCTTATTTGAATCATCCCTCTTCTTTTCTTGGTTAATCTAGCTAATGGCCTATCAGTTTTGTTTGTTCTTTCAAATAACGAACTTTTTGTTTCATTGATCTTTTGTATTTTCCTTGTTTCAAGTTCATTTATTTCTGCATTTCTTGTAGGGCTGATCTGGTAGTGACAAATTCCCTCAGCATTTGTTTGTTTGAAAATGCCTTTATTTCTCCTTCATCTATGAAACTTATTTTTGCTGGATGCAAAATTTGTGGCTGACAGTTATTCTGTGTAAGGAGGCTAAAGATGGGATCTCAGTCCCTTCTGGCTTGTAAGATTTCTGCTGAGAAGTTTGCTGTTATTCTAATAGGTTTTTCTTTATAGGTTACCTGATTATTTTTGTCTCAGTGCTCTTAGAACTCTTTTCTTCATGTTACTTTAGATAGCTTGATGATTATATGCCTTTGTGATGTCCTTTTTGCAATTAATCTCCCCGTTCTTTGGGCTTCTTGTATTTGGATATCTGAATTTCTATCTAGCAAGACCAGGAAAGTTTTTTTCAGTT